>NT_187660.1:2443002-2755704 GCF_000001405.40 Homo sapiens | reverse complement strand
GAATTCTGAAAGGTGGTAAGAGGAAGGTGAATTGGTCGGGGCCTCGATTCTGGAGGCACAAAATACAACCCCCATCCAACAAGAGAGGTGATCCAGGCTTGACAATTCCCACCTCCCAATGTAGTAACAGAAGGGAGCTCAAGTAGGCTCATTCTTCTGCAACAAATGAGAGTTCTGCCAGAAATAGCAGGCAAGCAGAGGAGAACCAACAATGGAGACGGGTTGATTAGAAGCCCTGTTAACGGTAAGCTGCCAGAAAACTCTACTTTTTCACCAAGTGTGAGACACCATTTTCTCTACGTCTCTACTCCTCTCCTTCCACCCCTGTTCCCAAGCCCTTGGTTGAGGGCACTAGCAACTGGAATTGCCAAAATCCAACTTTCCAATTCTTTCCCACAAAGGACACAACTCACCTCCTTCACCAGAGACACTGCACAACCAAGGGCACAGGGAAGGGAATTCACACTGCAATGTGCACTTGGCCAGGGAAGCACTCTGCCCCTGTAGGACGGAGTCTCCATTCATTCACTTAGAGATACAGACAACTGATCCTGGGGAAGCTCCATCAGAAACCAGTAGGAGCCCCAGTGGAATGATATTTTTTTAAAAAGCAAACTAAAATAGCTCTGCAAAGACTGAAAATTAAATTGTCGTAGGAGTCAAATCCTTCAAATTAGGTCCAGACCGGCATGCTGAATCCAAAAAGGTGAATGCTTACTAAAATTAAACAAAATGTAAATAGAACCCAGATTTCCTAACATAATATAAAAAATGCGCAAGGCACAGGGAAATGGGAATTGAAATGACAAAAGGCAATCAGTTGATGTTAACAGTGAAATAAACCACATGTTGGAATTATCTGACAACAATTTCAAAGCAACCAGCATAAAAATGGTTCAAGTAATAAAAAAATTATCTTAAATGAAAAAATGGAATATTCTAGCAAAGAAATAGGAGTTATAAAAAAGAAACAAGACATTCATGAAACAGATAAATGCAGTAACAGAAATTAAAAGCTTTCTAGGTGGGCTCAATAGTAGAGGGTGGAGGGCAGGAGATATGATCAGTGAACTTGAAAATGTGTAGAATTTCCCTAATCTGAACAATAGAGGAAATAGACTGAAAATAATGAACAGAACTTCACAGACCAATAACAAAAGATCCAACATTAATATTATCGGAGTTGGGGAAGAAGAGGAGAAAGTCAGTGGGGCTGAAAGAGTATTTGAAGACATAATGGGTAAACATTTCCCAAATTTGTTAAACGAAATACACTCAGATTCAAGAAGTTTAATATATCCCAAATAGTATGAACCCAAAGAAATATATACCAGGACACATCATACTAAACTTCTGAAAAGACAGAAAATATTGAAAGCAGGCACAGAAACATGACTTGTTATCCTTAGGGGCACATGAATTGGAATGACAGTGAATTTCTTATCTAAAGCCATGGGGGCAAGTAGGAAGTGGCACAATATTTTTCAAGTGCCAAAAGAAAAGAACTGTAACTGTTGATCTACACAAATGTTGATGAATTTAAAAGATGTTATGCTAGATTAAAGGATGTAATGTTTAAAGTTAAACATTAAGTTGACTTGGTAGATAGCTGGTAAAACATTTCTAAGTGTGTGAGGGTGTTTTTGGAAAATAGTATTTGTTTATATTTTTTGTTTTTGGAAGTGTGCAATTACTTTAGTTTTTTTCAGCTTTATTGAGGTATAGACAAAAGATTAGTATTTGATTCAATAGACAAACAAGATCTGCCCTCACAAATGTGGGCAGGCATCACCTAGTTCATTGAAGGCCTAGATAGAACAAAAAGGGCAGAGGAAGTGCAAATTATCTTTCTCCTTGAGCTGGGACATACTTTTCCTGCCCTTAGACATCATATCTCCTGGTACTCAGGTCTTTGGACTCAGACTGGTAGTTTCACCATTCACTCTGTTGGTTCTCAGGCCTTTGGACTCAGACTGAATTGTGCCACCAGTTTTCATAGGTCTGCAGGTTATAGGTGGCATATTGTGGGATTTCTTGGCCTTCATAATTATGTAAGCCAATTCTGATTATAGATCTCCTCTTATCTCTGCACCTATCCACAGAGATAGAGAATCTATTATCTATCTACAGGGATAAGAGTGATATGCACAGGCGACAGGGAAATACTGGGTAGAAGAGGCGGTTCCCTGTCAAAGGCCCCACCCTGAAGCCAGGAAACCTGCAGCCCTAAATGGGAACAGTCATTCCTGTTTTTGCACCCAGCTGTTGCCTTTTGGCCCACCATGCCCCCCTCTCCTGAACCCTTATAAACCCCAAGTCCCAGGCTTCACAAGCAGAAGAGCAGAGGGTTGGAAGAGCAGGGTGGCAGAGAAGGAGAGAAGAGAAGGAACGTCTGAACATCGAGAGGTGGTTGGCTGGGGATGGTTGGAGAACAGATTGGCCACGGGATGGCCAAACTCCAGAGGAAGATCATCTTCCTACTGCAACTCCTCTCCAGCTCCCCATCCACCCCGCTGAGAGCCACTTCCGTCTGGCAATAAAATCCCCCACATTTGTCATCCTTCAATTTTTCCATGTCACCTGATTCTTCCTGGATGCCAGGCAAGGACCTTGGTACCAAGAGGGCACTGAGCTGGTTAACACTTAAGTGGTCTGCAGATGGCAGAGCTAAAGAGTACTGTAATATGCCCACTGGAGCTTTGGGAGTTGCAGGCACCCACCCATATATGGTAACGTGGGGCCAGAGTCCAAAAGTGCTTGCCCCAGCTCCTACACCTCCCTGTCTGCGTGCTTCCCCTCCCATGAGGGGTTTGAGCAGGAGGCAGCAGAACAGATGAGCCACACCCACCAATCATCCTGTGTAGGGGATAAGGGAACTCTCCTGTTTCAAGAGGAGATATGAGATACAGATAGGTAGCTAGCTAGCTGTGTACCTATCTACCTATCTACCTATCTATATCAGATTGGTTCTATTTTTCTGGAGAAACCTGAATAATACAGATTTTTGCCCCAAGAGTGGATCTAGAGGAACAGAATTTTAAGGATAAATTCTGTGAATTGGTTTTGAGGTTTCTGGAATTGTTTCTCTAATATGATTAAACTTGAAAATACTAATGACTTTACTTTCAGTGGTAAGATATTACTGATAGTCCATGACGTGAATTTTTTATTGAGATACCCAAAATATCTGCATTGGATAGTCCTAGTCAACTAAAGTAATGCGATATATAATACTTTCAAAAGATTTTGGAAAACTAAGGAAAATAATGACAATAATTCCCAGCTCAAGCACCACACAGATGACCTAAGACCTTCTAGGTGCACCCTGAGGGAGAGTGTTAGGTCTTGTAGCTTCAGGGCTGAAATTGCTGAAAATCAAATGCAAGACTTTATCCTGTGATTGGCTGAATTACAAGGCAAATATAACTCCCAGCCTCACAGGGTGCCCACTGATAAAGTGAGGGCATTGACTGGGAAAAAAATGGGATCCTGTAAATTGGGATGGAAAGCCTTGGTAAAGCTGGGAACATTGAGCCCCTCTGATGAGCCTTTGTTGCCCATGTCAACTTAAGGAAAGAAAATGAGGCAAAATTAATATAAGTAGAGAGTTTATATGGGCCAAGATTAAGGACTGCAGCCTAGGAGTAATAGATTCAAGTTGCCCTACATATATACCCAGATTAGCAGCAGTTACAAGTGGGTGTTTAAGAGAAAAAATAAGCTGGGGGCAGTTTCTAAGTTGCTTATCAATAATCTACATAGGTTCATTAAAATAACACAACACAAACTATTTGTTGGCTATGCATTGTTTTTGTATCACAGATTCCAGGAACATGAAGATATTGGGTGAGGGCCACATTGTGCAACTTATGGTAATGTTTTAGGAAATTTATCCGCTAGTCTGGAAACTGCAGGAAAGGAAAGAAAGCCAAAGTGCCTTTAAACAATTATGCCCAGGCACGGGTGCCAGGACATGAGTGAAGCCTCGTGCTCATCTCTCAGGGCCCGATAAATTTTGCAGACCTCACATTTCTAAGACGACTCGGAGCCACTTTTCTTTCTCACCAGTGGAACAGGTCTCCCTACCACCAGCAGAAGTAGCCACCCCACCCTTGGCAAAAGTGAATTCCCCAACCCCAGAGGAAGTGCCTCCCCATCCCCAGTGGCATCAACCTTTCCACCTCTGTCTGAGGGGATAACCCTGCACTGCCTGAGGAAATGGGAATGGCCTCCCGTAAGGCAGCTGTGGAGCAAGACAATGCTGATTCTCCTTAGGAGCCACCCCACCACCCCTCTTTGCTTTTAGGCCAAGTTCATCCAACCTGTGGCCTGCAGGCCACATGTGGCCCAAGACAGCTTTGAATGCAGTCCCATACAAATTCGTTAACTTTCTTAAAACTATGAAATTTTTTGGCCAGGCGCGGTGGCTCACGCCTGTAATCCCAGCACTTTGGGAGGCCAAGGCAGGCAGATCACGAGGTCAGGAGATCGAGACCATCCTGGCTAACATGGTAAAACCCCATCTCTACTAAAAACACAAAAAATTAGCCGAGTGTGGTCTCCGGAGCCTGTAGTCCCAGCTACTTGGGAGGCTGAGGCAGGAGAATGGCGTGAGCCCAGGGGGAAGAGCTTGCAGTGAGCCGAGATTGCGCCACTGCACTCCAGCCTGGGCGACAGCGAGACTCTGTCTCAAAAAAAAAAAAATTATGAAATTTTTTTGCTATTTTCTTTTTTTAGCCCATCAGCTATCATTAGTGTTACTGTAGTTTATGTGTGGCCCAAGACAATTCTTCTTCTAATGTGGCCCAGGGAAGCCAAAAGATTGGACACCCATATTCTAGACCTATAAGTAGACTCCAGTCCCGCAATCCCCTAAGGTGAGTTACAGAGTATGATCTCTGAGGAGGCTGACTACATCCAGGAACAGGTAGGAAACTGGGGAACATGTGTGGGAATGGATATTAGGGGTGTGAAAGGAAAATAAATATTGGGATGCCAAACTCATTAAGCCGAAGGGAAAAGTTAAGCTGGGAACTGGGTCATGCAAACCTGCCTCCCCTTTTGCTTCCTAACTAAGATGGCTACAAGATGAAAATCTTCATGCCTCCCCCACATTTTGTCCATGAGGAAATTCCTAGTGAGCTCCAAGATCTTTACCCTAAGGTGTGTCTGTTAAAATTTCACCATGATAATGTCAATTGTCTTTACAGTGCAGTCACCCCCCTGCCCTCCAGACACAAATGCATATCTGATCGGTCCCCTGCCCCATTTTGTCTGTTATCTTATGTAAAAATGCAGATTCCAGCATTTTTCCTCTGCCCCATTTGTCTATGTCATCTTATGTAAAACAATGCAAATTCACTGAGCCAGACACATAAATGAATATTTTTCCCTACCCCACTCTCACATGAAAATTGTGTACCTCTCAATATCCTGCCCTTTCCTCTTTAAATTTGGAGCCCTCAAAATCATCTTTGAAGAAAGGCATAGACCTGTCTCCTGGGCATGCATCCTTAACTTTGGCAAATAAACCTCCTAAAATGATTGAGATTTGTCTCATCATTTTTCTCGATTGACAGGGGTATGAGACAATGGTGGAAGGAACATAAAGTTCCCCGTTTGTTGATACGGTCCCACAGAGCAGAGATTCTGCATTTAATGTTGTAGTTCAGGGAGTTACAAAAGGCTCTACCAGTTTGGTTTGTTGGCTGCAATCTGGATCAAAAGATGTCCCACTGTGAGTGAATTGGAAATGCCAGATATCCCTTGATTTAATGTAGAGGAAGGGATTCAAAGACTAAGGAAAATTAGAATGATGGAGTTAACTTATCATTTAGGAATTACTCATTCACACAGGGAAAGCCCAGAATACATACCTTTCGCCAATACTTAATGAAATGAATTTGTGACAAGAGACCTAGCTATTTTATGCTATGTTATGTTATGTTATGTTATGTTATGTTATGTTATGTTATGTTATGTTATGTTATGTTATGATGTAGCAGGATGAGCCTCAGACAAAACCTCTCAGACACCGAGTTGTAGAAGGAAGGGCTTTATTCAACTGGGAGCATCAGCAAGCTACTGCCTTAAAATCCGAGCTTCTTCGAGTGCACAATTTCCATCCCTTTTAAGGGCTCACAACACTAAAGATTTCATGTGAAAGGGTCGTGATTGATTGAGCAATCGAGGGGATACATGACATGGGTTTCATGCACTGGTGGTCAGAGTGAAACAGAACAGAGCAGGGAGTTTCATAATATTCTTTTATACAATGCCTGAAATCTATGGGTAACATCGGGTTCTAAGTCATGAGTTGATTTTTAACTACTAGGTTTAGGCCGGGCAGGCCCAGGCCTGGTTTTGGGCCTGGTGCCAGGCTGCCTGTCTTTGATTTCACTTCCTTGTTTTTTTTCTTTTTTCTTTAAACAGGTACTGAGTATGAAACAATATAAAACAATATGAGAGGGTCTTTGTCTTCCCTCAATGAGATGGAGTCTCACTCTGTTGCCCAGGCTGGAGTGCAATGGCACAATCTCAGCTCACTGCAACCTCCACCTCTTGGGTTCAAGCGATTCTCTCACCTCAGCCTCCGGAGTAGCTGGGATTACAGATGCGTGCCAACATGCCCAGCTAATTTTTGTATTTTCTGTAGAAATGGGGTTTCACCCTGTTGGCCAGGCTGGTCTCAAACTCCTGACCTCAAGTGATCCACCCGCCTCGGCCTCCCAAAGTGCTGGGATTACAGGTGTGAGCTACCGCCCCCGGCCAAGCCTCTTTAATAATATATAATCCTTCTTTTCTTGGGAAGCCTCCGTACTACATAATGAAGTAGAAAGAAGTTGGGAGAATAGTAAGGAGGCATTTGTAAGAGTCCATGTGAGAAATCACAATAATTTGAATTACATAGAATAAGAAGAACTTTGGAAAGATGCTCTGAAAACAAGCAATAAGAAGATATTTCTGTAGAGAGGACCTGTGTGGCTTGAAGTCAATTGTGAGAGACAAGATGTTCACTGTACATAAGACGAACAGAGCGGTAAAGAGAGAGACTGGGCCCCTTCCAGCCTATGACTTAAGAGAGCTTCCATAAAGGTCTGCATGGTCTATGCTCATGACTTAAAACTAAGGGCCAGGAAAAGAGAGGAGAGGTAAAGACTCAAACTGAAGCAAAGGGCTCCTTGTTACAGTTTTGTGGGTGCAGTGACTCCCGAGGCAAAGTCCATATATAAGGATACAATGTGTTTGGGGGCATAGCCATTGGACCCTTTAAGTCATATTCTAGGCTACATAGCTTTTATGTCCAAAATGATCTGAGCTCCAGGACAGCTCTCTTATAGGAAACAATGCCAGATGAGGTCACTAGTGAAGGACTTGCTTTACCACAGGGAAATGGTACCATTTCTCTCAGGTCAATTAGGAGCTTTCAAAGAGAAATATAGATAGAGCTCCAATGTTTCAGGGCAGACAAAGTACAGTCAGGTGACATCTGCCATGCTGTGATGTAATACTGGCACTGTTGGTAAGATTATAATATTGACATCGAGAGCCAAATGTATTGTGAAATTCAGTTAAAAGTTTTCTGGCTCCCCCAGATATTAGTCATATAACAAGAATCGCAGTCAAAGAACAAGGGGTGGCTTGTTGCATAGTAATTAATTTGGCTGATCTTTTTCTCTGGGTCCTGAGAGGAGCCCTCTAAACCCTTGAAGTTTCCTATGATACAATTATATTTTGTTACTGATGGCGGGCCTGACAATATCTGAGCTTATGCTGTGGAGATGACACAGGATGGGGCCCATCACACCAGAAAGAACAACTGTGTGATTCAAGGGTTGGGCTTCGAAGCATGTGCTATCAGCCAGCCTTCTGGGAGGAGAGAGAGGCTAGAGGCTGAGCTCAATAATGTGGCCAAAGATTCAATCCGTCATGTGTCCATAATGAAACCCTGATAAAAACTTTGGCCACGGAAGCTCAGGTGTGCTTTCCTGGGTAGTGATACACATCGATGCGCCAGGAGGGTGACTTGTCCTGAGGAAGCGGAAGTCGTGTGTCTCAGGTCCTCCTAAACCTTACCCTGACGGTTTCTTTCTTTGGCTGGTCCTGATTTACATCCTTTATTATATAACTGTAATTATAACTACAGCTTTTTCCTGAGTAATGTGTTATTCTAGCAAAGTTGTGTATCCAATTTGAGTGGGTAGTGGGAATCTCCAGCTTTGTAGCCAGTTGGTCAGAAGTGTGTGTGTCCTGGAAGCCCCCTCCCCTGCTTGTAGCTGATGTCTGAAATGAGGGAGGCCCTTTTCAGGCCCTGTGCCCTTGACCTGTGAGGTTTGACCTAATTCTGTGTAGATAGCATGACAATTGCACTGCACAGGACAGATAACCACCCCAAAATCTAAAAAGAGAGGTACAAACAGACACTGCAACTGATAAAGCCTAGAGATGTGCTTCAGACAGCAGGAGCCTCTAGAGCTATTGGTCCAAACAATGAAATGACAATTTTAACAAACTGCTGGAGGAAGAGTTTCTTAGGAGGCTCCCTCCAGTAACCTCGCCATATTTTTGTGGTAAGAATCCCCAAAAGATCCCTTCATGCCTTTGCAGAAGAAGGAAAGAGTGACCATTGTGAAATGTAACCAGAGCCTTCTCCAGGGGAAGGACTTTACCAGAGCTCCATTCTGATACTGTATCCAAGCTTGGGGAAAGGAATCCCCCCTCACTTCAGCTCTCTTTAGCCTTCTTTCATCACGTAGTGGCAGAAATAATCATCAATGGATAGAGTGCTTCATGGAGATATACTGGGAGCTCGGCAGCCAGGGAAAGGAGCTAGAAGGTGAACATGCTACTGGAGGAAAGGCAGACACAGCTGGGATAGCTACAGCCATGAGCTACTGGCTTAGGAAATGACCCACACTTCATTAGAAGGTTGGAGAATGCTTACTGTCTTCTATATCCTATCATCACTGTTATAAAGCTTGAGTTTAAAAGCAGTGACTACAGCTGTTTTCAGTGGAATGAACTGAAAGACACAGACTCACTATGAGGAGCAGTGCAGAGACAAGCTGTGAAGCCAGGCGAAGAGCCAAAACAAAGACACTAAAGGAATTTGGAACTTCTGATACTTATGGCTGCAACAAACATTAAACATAGCTTAACTCTTAACCAAATTAACATACATTCTCACATAAAGGCCTATGTACCTCAGTTGTTATTACCTAATGCAATATCTGTCTTTTAACAAAAAAATTACACAAGACACGTCAAAGGCAGGAAAAAACAGTCTGAAGAGAAAGCAATCATCAGAATCAAACTCAGATACGACACAGATGTTGGAGTACCAGAGACGGAATGTAAAAATAACTGTGATAAATATGTCAAGGGCTCTCATGAAAAAAGTAGACAATGTGCAAGAACAAATGGATAATATCAGCACTAAGATGGTAACTTCTAAAAGCCCATGAGCCAAAGAAGAAATCTCAAAAAGTGTTTCGGAATAAATGAAAAGGAAAATATAACTCATCAAAACTTATGGGTTGTAGCTAAAGCAGTGCTTAGAAAATAATTTATAGCACTCAGTTTCTGTATGCATATATTACAAAGTAAGAATTAATAATATAAATAAATTACGCTTGCACCTTAGGAGCTTGAGAAAGAACAGCAATTTAAACCTGAAGAGAACACAGAAAAGAAATCCATGCAAATTAGAATATACATCAATAAAATTTTAAACAGGAAAACAATAGAAAAATTCAACAAAACCAAAAGCTAGGCTTTCACAAACGTAAATAAAATTGATAAACCTCTTCCCAGGCATGAGCGTACAAGATGAGAGAAAGAGAGAATACAAATTACCAATATCAGCAATGAAAGAAGAATCATTACTACTGATTATTGATACCGTGCACTTTTAAAAGATTCTAAGATTCTACAAGCAACTTTATCCTTGTAAATTTGATACCTTAAATAAAGTGGACCAATTCCTTAAAAGACACAAACTAATAAATTCATGCAAGGAAAAACAGACTAGCCCTATACATATTTTCTTTTTTTTTTTTTTTCTGAGATGGAGTCTTGCTCTTTCGCCCAGGCCAGAGTGCAGTGGCGCTACCTCGGCTCACTGCAAGCGTCACCTCCTGGGGTTCACGCCATTCTCCTGCCTCAGCCTCCCAAGTAGCTGGGACTACAGGCGCCTGCCACCGCGCCCGGCTAATTTTTTATATTTTTAGTAGAGACGGGGTTTCACCGTGTTAACCAGGATTGTCTTGATCTCCTGACCTTGTGATCCACCCACCTCGGCCTCCCAAAGTGCTGGGATTACAGGCATGAGCCACCGCGCCCGGCCGCCCTATACATATTTTCTAAAAATTAAATTAATAATAAAAACCTTCCAAAAAAGCAACAGGCTCAAGCTCAGATGATTACACTGGTGAATTATACCAGTGAAAAAATTACTCTCCATATTTTTTTTCCAGAAAAGAGAAGCAGAGGAAAAACCTCCCAACTCATTTTATGATATCATCATTACTCTAATCCCAAAACCAGATAAAGACATTACAACATTGAAAAGAAACTATAGATCAGTATCTCTTATGAACCTAGACACAAAAGCTTCCACCAAACATTAGCAAGTCAAATCCAGTAATGTAGAAAAAGGATAATACATCACAACAAAATGGAGTCCGTTTCTGAATATAAGGATTCAATATTTTAAAATACATCATTGTACTTTATCATATTAATATTAATAGACTAAGAAAAACAACACAATTGTATCAGTAGAAGCAGAAGAAGCATTAAACAGAATTCAAGACCTGTTCATGATAGAAACTCCACAAAGTAATGTGAACTATGGATTTTGAGTGATAATAATGTGTCAGTGTATGTTTATAGTTTATAACAAATGTACCACTCTGGTGTGGGGGGTTGACAGTGGACGGGACTGTGTGTGAGTAGGGTGTATAGGGGGACTTTGTGTGGGTAGGGTGTATATGGGGACTGTGTGTGGGTAGGGTGTATATGGGAACTGCGTGTACTTTCTGCTCAATTTTGCTGTGAACCTAAAACTGCTTTAAAAAAAAAAAATAAAGCCAGCCAGCTGCGATGGCTTATGCCTGTAATCTCAGCACTTTGGGAGGCCGAGGTGAGCAGATCGTGAGGTTGGGAGATCGAGACCATCCTGGTTAACATGGTGAAACCCCATCTCTACTAAAAATACAAAAAATTAGCCAGGCGTGGTGGCACTCACCTGTAGTCCCAGCTACTTGGGAGGCTGAGGCAGGAAAATCATTTGAACCGGGGAGGCAGAGGTTGCAGTGAGCTCAGATCACGCCACTGCACTCCAGCCTGGGTGACAGAGCGAGACTCTATCTCAAAATAAATAAATAAACAAATAAATAAATAAAGCCTATTTTATAAAAAAGAAAAATTCAGCCGGGCACGGTGGCTCACGCCTGTAATCCCAGCACTTTTTTGGGAGGCCGAGGTGGGTGGATCATGTGGTCAGGAGATCCAGACCATCCTGACTAACATGAGTGAAAGAATGGAGTGGTATATAATGTAGCAGAGTTGATAATTTAAGGCTAATTCACTATATATCTCCAAGCAATAGATTTGTAATGCTTTTCCTGCCTAAAATCTGTACAGCTGATTCACAAATACTTGGTTGACAGGTTTTATATATCAGTGTGGCTCATCAGCTTGTATGTTGTTGGGGCCAGAATCTATACTTACACTTCATTCAAATTTGATTTTACAGAAGAGTTGTGGTTTTTATTTTTCTTTTAATTAAGAGGGCTGTGAAATTATCAACTATAACTCTAAATCTCATTTAATTCCTCCCATTAGGATTCAAGATGGATTGGCATCAAAGTTCACTTCTTTAACAAAAGTGCTTTATGACCTTAATAAAATATTAGAGAATGGTAGGATCCATGGAAGCCCTTTACAAAAACTTGTGATAGAAAGTTTTGATGATAAGCAGACTTTGCAACAACTGGAATTGCAAAATGACCCAATTTTACAAAGCTTCCAGAATGCAGTTAGTGAAACAAAGATGAAGATATCAGTATCCCAGAGAGTGAAGAACAGGAGCATGAAGAGGATGGTTCAGAGACAGAGGCTGATGGCCAGGAGGACCTAGAAGATTTAGAGGAGGAGGAGGAAGTGTCAGATATGGGTGGTGACAATCCTGAAGTGAGTGAGAGAGCAAACTCAAGCAAATTCGATCCGACGAAAAGCCCAGTTCTCAGTGATGAGGATTCTGACCTTGACTTTCATATCAACAAATTGGAACAGCAGAGCAAGGTGCGAAACAAAGGACACGGGAAACCAAGAGAAAAGTCCATAGCAGATGAGAAATTCTTCCAACTCTCTGAAATGGAGGCCTATTTAGAAAACAGAAAAAGAAGAGGAACGAAAAGATGGTAACGATGATGACGTAGAAGATACTGATTTTTTTAAGATATTGATTCTGATGAAGATGAAGGGGCACTGTTTAGAAGTAAAAAAACTTAAGGTAAAATTTTGAGAGAGGAGAGAGCACTTTCCTCCTCCTCAAATTACCTTTTGTTCTGTTTTTCTAGGACAGATGTAATTGTAGTTAGAAGATTTGGATCTAAGAAATATTGTGCTCTATCTTATCAGTTATAAATGAATCTGTACTTCCATTCAGTTTCTGTTCCAGTTGTTCTTATAATAGTTTTATGGTAATGTTTTTAGTTGCTGATTTCACCTAATAACTATTTTTGGCTTGTAGTGTTATTAAGTTAGAAAGTAACGTAGACATACAGTATACACACAAATATATATGTGTGTGCTAACGATGTATTTTTCTCTTCCTAATTAATAGTTTTAAAAATCTTTTTATTTTAGTCAGGTAAAAGTTCCAGAAATGTGAAGGACAAAGACTTTTTTTGATCCAGTTGAAAGTGATGAAGACATAGCAAGTGATGATGATGATGATCTGGGTTCAAACAAGCTGATGAAATTGCTGAAGAAGCAGCAGAAGAACTAAGCATTTCTGAAATGTAAGTATTTGAACCATCCTTTATATTGTGAGCTGGAACTGTCCAATCATGTATTGGTACTTGTGGTTTTCACATATGTTTGTTTTAAGAAGTTAGATTCTCTCCTATCAGATATTCTCAAGATAGCCACAGGAAAGTCTGTGTATTTAAAGGGACATTAGAGATCATTTAATGAAGAAAAATATTACTGGCAATGGCAATCAAACCTTTCTGACCAGGAACTTTGATTTGGTTTTGTGCCCCAAAAATCCTGTTATTTCTGTGAGATTGAACAATTTATTTTCTATATATTGGACACTTTTTGTTCTGTTTCTTACATAGCATTTCACTTAAATGATACCTTCTGTTCCTTAATACCTGAATGATTTTGGAACTTCTGAGTATTTGGTTGCATTAGGCATATAAAAGAAGAACTTTATTAAGGGAAATATGTTTCCTTTTGTTTTTCTAATGGAAAGCAGTATATTTCTTTTTATAAGAATTTTGTAGTGTAGGGATGAAGATGATGACCTGGAAGAAAGTGAAGACAGTAAACAATGTAAAGAAAGCTTGAAAAGAGTGACCTTCACTTTGCCAGATGATGAGGCAATTGAAGATGCAGGTGTTTCACATGTAAAGAAAAATTCTGATGAAGTTAAATCCTCTTTTAAAAAAAGACAGGAAAAGGTAATTAGGAATTTAAGGAATTTTTAATATGCTTGACATGATTGTGGAACTCACAGACTACTAACAAATCTTCCCTATTTTTCTTTTTTTTTTCTTGAGATAGAGTCTTGCTCTGTCACCCAGGCTGGAGTGCAATGGCATGATCTCAGCTCACTGCAGCCTCCACCTCCCGGGTTCAAGTGATTCTGCCTCAGCCTCCTGAGTAGCTGAGATTAGAGGTGCATGACACCATGCCTGGCTAATTTTTGTATTTTTAGAAGACATGGGGTTTCACCGTGTTGGGCAGGCTGGTCTCGAACTCCTGACCTCAGGTGATCCTCCTGCCTCAGCCTCCCAAAGTGCTGAGGTTACAGGCATGAGCCACTGTGCCCCAGCCTTCCTATTTTTCTTGTTGTAACTATTAACCATCCTTTGCAAACAAATATCTTGGCCAGGTGCAGTGGCTTATGCCTGTAATCCTAAAACTTTGGTTGTCTGATGCAGGAGGATCGCTTGAGCTCAGGAGTTCAAGATCAGCCTGGGTGACATAGTGAGATCTTGTCTCTTCAAAAAATACAAAAATTAGTGGGGGCATAGTGGTGTATGCCTGTAGTCCAGCTACTCAGGTGGCTGAGGCAGGAGGATCACTTGAGCCCAGGAGGTTGATGTTGCAGTGAGCTATGATCACATCACTGCTCTCCAGCTTGGGCGGTGGAGCAAGATCCTGTCTTCAAACAAACAAACAAAACCAAAAATCTTGCTGCCACTCTCTAAAGCAAAAGCACACTATATGGAGATGCCATATGGAAAGCATCTGATTTGCAAAAATCAGTGCCTGCATTACCCAGCCTATAGCTTTCAATTTGGGGCCTGTGTGTAAAATGGTTGTTTCTTTTCTGTCTCCCTTATGTCTTTATATGCATAGCATGTCTCTTCTGACAAAGCTGTCCCGACAGCCTCTTCTTGTAACTGTTTTGACTGCTCCGGAGGATGCCGCCTATGTCTTTAAGGTGCTCCACAGATTTTGGTGAGTGCCAAATAGCCGTAATTTTAATTAATACCATGACAAAGATATCTTCCAAAGTATGTCATGATTTCAGACAAGTGAAATTTCATTTAATTTTAGTAGATGTAGTCTGGCTCCAATAATTGGGCTATATTATTTATCCAATCTTAAAATTTTATTATAAAAATGAGAATAGTGCCAGGTACAGTAGCTCACACTTGTAATCCCAGCACTTTGGGAGGCTCAGAAGGGAGGATTGCTTGAGCCCAGGAGTTCGAGACCAGCCTGGGCAACATGTTGAAACCCCATCTCCACTAAAAATATAAAAAATTAGCTGGGTGTGGTAGCGTGAGCCTATAGTCTCTGCTACTCAAGAGGCTGATCGGGGATGATCGCTTGAGTCCAGGAGTTCAAGGCTGCAGTGAGCTATGATTGGACTATGGCACTCCAGCCTGGGCAACAGAGCTGCAGAATAGGTAAATAAATGATACCAAGAATATCAAAAGAATTATTTTTAAAATCTGTGAATCTAAATTAAATTCATCATTGTCAGATTGTCCCCAGAAGATAAATTCTAAAGGGAAAAAACAAAACATAAAATATCAACGAGTTAATGTCCTCCTGTCCCGCTCCTCCCACCCTCCCCCAACAAGAAAGAAAAAAAGGTTTGGTTTTGCTTTGAAATTATATCAGACCTTCAAGTAAAATTTTCAATAAATCACAAATAATTTATTGAAATTTCCACATATAAAGAATAAAGTAGAACTTTCAAACTTTTTTCTTTTGAAACTGTTCGAACATGAAAACCCAAACCTGACAAAGGTACCTGACAAAGGTAACATTAAAACACACACACTCTCTCATTCATGGCTAGTGATGCAAACATAGCACAGTGGGAAAATTATGCCGCACAATCACATGAAGCTCATTCCCTTGAATCACTACTAGAAGATCTGGTATGATTCCTGGTTGCAAGACATTAAGAAGAAAATACATGGTTCCCTCCATATATGTTAGAAAGACATTTGATAAAATTCAATATTTATTTCTAATTTTTTTTACTCCTAGTGGATTATAAATACATCTAGCCAAAAGCTGCCATCATGCATGATGAGTGAAACTGTAGAAACATCCCTTTAAGATCAGGAATAAGACAAAATGTCCAGTATTGCAGTTATCCCTGTTAATTAACACTAACAGTTAATAACCACATAAGCCAGTGCAACTACAAAAGATAAAGAGAAGGGATTAGGAAAACTGCCAGGAGCAGTGGTTCTCACCTGCAATCCCAGCACTTTGGGAGCTCAGGAGCTCCCAGCACTTGAGCTCAGGAGTTTGAGACCAGCCTGGGCAACGTAGTGAGACCTCATCTCTGCAAAAAATACAAAATTAGCTGGGTGTGGTTACATGCACCTGTGGTCCCAGCTACTTGGGAGACTGAGGTAAAAGGACTGCTTGAGCCTGGGAGTCGGAGGTTGCAATGAGCTGAGATCATGCAACTGTACTCCAGAGCAAGACTCTGTCTCAAAAGAAAAAAAAAAAAAAAAAAAGATTAGGGATACTAAAACGAAAACATTAGTGTTTGGAGAGAAAACCGAATGGATAAATGGAATCGATATTAGGAAAATAAGAGAATTCTGTAAGGTAGCTGAAAAAGCTGACATTTTATACATTGAAGTCATAATTGTTCATAACTTTTAGAAGTTAGAGATAATAAGAATTTGAGTTTAGAGTCAAAAGGGTCAGGCTCCATCAAATACTAATATCCTAATCAAAGAATTACTTGGCCAGGTGCGGCGGCTCATGCCTGTAATCCCAGCACTTTGGGAGGCCGAGGTGGACACATGACGAGGTCAGGAGATCGAGACCATCCTGGCTAACACGGTGAAACCCCGTCTCTTCTGAAAATAGAAAAAATTAGCCGGGCGAGGTGGCGGGTGCCTGTAGTCCCAGCTACTCGGGAGGCTGAGGCAGGAGAATGGTGTGAACCCGGGAGGTGGAGCTTTCAGTGAGCCGAAATCACGCCACTGCACTCCAGCCTGGGCAACAGAGCGAGAGACTTTGTCTCGAAAAGAAAAAAAAGAATTATTTAACTTAACTTTAGGGTGCTCTAATAATCAAAATTGATAGTGGCTTGTGAACAGATAGATCACTTGAATAGAATAGAGCCCAGAAATAAACCCAAATGCTTCTGGGGGAGTTTAGCATATTATAAACATGGCATTTCAAATCAATGAGGAAAAGAAATCATTTGCAGCTCACCCCACCATAGGCAGCAGGAATAGGAAGTCATTGGCAGAATAAAAAGATGGTAAGGACAGAATTGTAGAACAGTACATTTCTTGCTTCCCCACTTTTCAAAGTATTTTTTGCTTTTACACAAGTATAAGTGTAATTTGATTTTCTCAATGTATACTAATTCTTTTGTCTCTTTCTTAGATGAATGAAAAAAATTACACCTTTAGAAAAAGAGTTGTTATAAAAAAGCCTTGGTTGCGTCTGGGGGAAGTGACAGCACAGAAGAGACCAGAGAATAGCCTGCTGGAGGAGACCCTGCACTTTGACCATGCTGTCCGGATGGGTACGGTGCCCTCTTCTGCAAAGTTTTTCTATGGTTCCATTTTGTAGGAAGATTTGGGGTGATGTTTCTTTTCCCTCAACTTTTTATTTTAAAAACTTGCAAACACAGAAAAGTTGATAAAATAATACAGTGAACATCAGTATGCTATTCAACTGGATTCACCAATTAACATTTTATCATATTTGTTTTGTCTCCCCTGCATATGGAAGATTGTATATGTGCCCTTTTCCCCCCTGAATCATTTCAAAGTAAGTTGCCAGTATCAGCATTTCAGTGTTAAGTACTTTCGCAGATATCTTCTAGGAACCAGGACGTTCTCCTATATAATCACAATACCATTAATCCCACCCCAAAAATTTAACATCAATACACTAATGATACCTACTGTATAGATTATAATCAGCTTTCTTGCAGTAATCTGTTTAGAAGGCTTGCACCCTGTCACCATCCACTGATTAAATTTTGAACTCTAACTTGAAACCCTGCTCATCTCATTGCCTTCTTTCTTATACCCATTAAGTCAAAAAGAGCTCTCATTTTATTTCAACGGAAAAGAGAATGGAAAAGAGGGGAAGGTACCTGGGATAAAGTATGAGCACTTACTGCCATATGTATTCTAGTTCTGTAGTTTTCAAACTTCAGGGAGCATCTCAAGGCTTATTAAAGGACAGACAGCTGTCCCTCTTCCCCACTTTCTGATTCAGGAGGTGTGGGGCTGGCCCAGGAATTTGCATGTCTAACAAGTTCCCACGTGTTGCTGATGCTGAGGGTCTAAGGACTACAATGGGAGAATCCGTGGTTTAGTGGATATCCACCTAAAGAATACTTGTTGTATTTCCTTTAGTGCCTGTGATTACAGAGGAAATACCTTTCAACTGGAAGATATCATTAAACACAGGAAAAGAGATCAGGTCAGTAAGAATTAAATTTAACTTAATTGAAATGTCACTGAAATTTTTAGAAATAATATGACAGGCCAGGCACAGTGGCTCATGCCTGTAATCCCAGCACTTTGGGAGGCCAAGGCGGACAGATCTCTTGAGGTCAAGAGTTTGAGACCAGGCTGTCCAAGATGGTAAACCCCGCTCTCTACTAAAAATACAAAAATTAGCTGGGCATGGTAGTGCATGCCTGTAGTCCCAGCTACTTGGGAGGCTGAGGCAGGGGAATTGCTTGAACTCGGGAGATGGAGGTTGCAGTGAGCTGAGATGCGCCACTGCACTCTGAGACTCTATCTCAAAATAAATAAATAAATAAATAAATAAATAAATAAATAAATAAATAAAAATAAAAAATAAAGGGAAGATGGGGCAGCTTTGTGTAGTGCACTTCCCGAAAATGGGCTGATTTCCCTCAAGAGGCAGGGATTGAAGCTCTCTAGCCTACATGGGATACATACAGGAGAAAAAAGAAGAAAAAGAAAAGAAATGTAAACATAAATAAATGAAAATAACACTTCTCCCTGATTATAAAGGAAATCACATTCTTTTTGTAATAATTTGGATGACAAAATATAAAGAAAAATCTTTAATTTTGCCACTCAAAACATTCTGGTTTGTTGCTTTTTACACTTTTTATGCATATAAACATATTTAAAAGTAGAATCTGCCATGTTGAGACTGTGAGGTTGAAGCCTTCGGGAAAGAACATCAAGATGAATGGAGTCTGAGTTCCTGACAACATGGAGCATCATGCCAGCCATGAACCACTTCTGAGACATCCCTATGAGACAAAAATAAACTTCCATGTTCTTTAATTTATCATTTTGGAGGGTTTTCTGTTATTGCCGCAAAACCTAATCTTAACTAATACAGACATTGTATCTGAAATTCCCAGGAAAATCCCTGTAAACGTGTTGCTTGCCACGAATAACTGGCCTCTACCAGTATCACATTCCAGATGAGCAGAACAGGGAAAGGATTGGAAGACAAGAGAGGGGAGGAACACACCTCGCTCTCTCCTGCTATTGGCTGTGCCTGGCTGCAAGCTAGAAATGCTGGGTCCATTGCAAATGGCCACACATCTAAGGCCCTACCACCATGGGAACAGCCACTGGGAGATAACTAGCAGCTTTTACCATTTGTCATTTAATTATTTTAAAGTTAGAAACTTTTTCTTTTTGAATGTCTGAAAGAGAATGGCCTGAGAAATATTTTGGAAAAGTTAAATAAAGCTGATTTGTGACTGTTAAAAAAAATAAAAGTACAATCATAGTAAATGGGCTTTTGTCACTTATTATATTTTAAACATGTTTCTAGGGCAGAAGTATATCCTGGCATCATCATTTTTAATAGCTGGATTATGTTAAGTGAATCATTGCCACCCCAGAGGTGAATTTCCTCTATATACATTTTAATGGACTCCAGTAAGGATTTTTGCACTGAATTCATAGAAGTAGAATTTCTAGAGGAAAATAATGTAAAACTGTTTTAGGATTTTTAAAAGAAATGTTCAAATTATCCTGTAGGAAAATTGGTTCAGTTTATGCTCCCACCAACAGGGACAGAGCTCCAGGTTCCCCCTTCCATTTGTCATCTTTGCTGGTCTTTAAGCAGAAAATCTCATTGTTTTCATTACATTTCTTTGATTTCTAGTGCTTTTGAATCTTTTTCGTTTGCTCATTGGCCATTTTTATTCTTGTGGGAAGTGCCGGTTTCTCCATTGCCCATTTTCTGCTGGAAATCATTCATTTTTTTAATGAGTAATTTTAAATTTTTCTTTTTAGGCTAAGGATAAGTCAGGATCAGTCAGTTCAAGACTAGACTGATCAACATGGAGAAACCCCGTCTCTACTAAAAAGACAAAATTAGCTGGGTGTGGTGGCACATGCCTATAATCCCAGCTACTCAGGACTCTGAGGCAGGAGAATTGCTTGAATCCAGGAGGTGGAGGTTGTGGTGAGCCGAGATTGCACCATTGCACTCCAGCCAGGGCAACAAGAGCCGAACTCTGCAAGAAAGAAAAAGCAAGAAAGCAAGAAAAGCAAGAAAGCAAGAAAGCAAGAAAGCAAGAAAGCAAGAAAGCAAGAAAGCAAGGGAAGCACGGGAAGCACGGGAGAAAGGAAATAAAGGGAAGAAAGAAAGAAGGAAGGAAGGAAGGAAGGAAGGAAGGAAGGACAGAAAGAAAGAAAGAAAGAAAAAGAAAGAAAGAAAGAAAGAAAGAAAGAAAGAAAGAAAGAAAGAAAGAAAGAAGAAAGAAAGAAAGAGAAAACAAAGAAAAAACAAATGAGACCATGGGCTTGGAAATGCCTTGAGAACATGTCAGGTGTGATTGAGAGTGAGGGAGTGTTACTGTGGAGTATCAGTGTAGCTGTTGTTCTGGTCGTCCAGCTACTCCTCTGCCTGCTCTATCCTGACTTAACCTTTCTCTATTTGCAGTACATCGAGAAATTAACAAAGGAGAGGGATGCTCCGAGTCTGGAACTGTACAGGAACACGTAGGATGGGGGAAGGTGGAATGGGAGGTCTGGGGGCCCTTAGAGTGGGTGGTGTGCTGGGAGGTGGGGGGTACAGGTGAGCATGGTGAGAGGCTTCTACAGGTTTTCATGTGTGCACAGGGAAGCTCTAGTGCCGGCGGTGCCACTGACTCATGGGGAAGCCTCAGGCAACTCATGTCTTCTCTCTGGCCTGCCACCTGTGACTTTTAATTCCTGGGGTCCTTTCCAATGCCACCGTTCTGTGGTTGTGTGGTGAAAGTAGAGGGTTGATCACCAAAGCGGTCCTTTCTATTCTTCGTTCATTCCTTTCTCTACTGCCTCTGGCCACAGCATAACCGATGAGGAGTTGAAGGAGAAAAATGCTGAACTACAAGAAAAACTTCGACTTGTAGAATCTGAAAAGTCTGAGATCCAGCTCAACGTAAAGGACCTTAAAAGGAAGCTGGAAAGGGCCCAGCTCCTGCTGCCACAGGCGAGCAGCTGCAGCCCCGGGGGTTGTGGGAGCCCCATCCGGCTGGGGCCATGGTCTAGGGATCATGTAGGGTGTGGGGAGGCTCCAGCCAAGAGCTGGAAAATTTGGGTCCTTGTTCTGGTCCCACCATAGAATCCTCTGGAGTGTGCTAAAAATATACAAATTGGGGCCCTGCCTGGGGAATCAGAATCTCAGAGTTTGGGCTTAAAAAAATATTTTTCAAAGGATCATAGATGAAAACCATTATTTTATAGATTACATTTATATGGCTAGCTCATGAGTCTGTTTCCTTCTGAGGTTTGAACCAACACTTTCACTATTCCAGCAGCAGCTGCAGGTGGAGGCTGACCGCCTGGGTAAGGAGCTACAGAGTGTGTCAGCAAAGCTCCAAGCCCAGGTGGAAGAGAACGAGTTGTGGAACCTCCTGAACCAGCAACAAGAGGAGAAGATGTGGAGGCAGGAGGAGAAGATACAGGAGCAGGAAGAGAAGATGTGTGAGCAGGAGCTGAAGATAAGGGAGCAGGAGG
Source organism: Homo sapiens (assembly GCF_000001405.40). NCBI lineage: Eukaryota > Metazoa > Chordata > Mammalia > Primates > Hominidae > Homo > Homo sapiens. The sequence goes on along the minus strand of NT_187660.1, from coordinate 2,734,009 downwards.
AGAAGATGTGGAGGCAGGAGGAGAAGATGCATGAGCAGGAAGAGAAGATACGGGAGCAGGAGGACAAGATGTGGAGGCAGGAGGAGAAGATACGGGAGCAGGAAGAGAAGATACGGGAGCAGGAGGAGAAGATGTGGAGGCAGGAGGAGAAGATACGGGAGCAGGATGAGAAGATACAGGAGCAGGAGGAGGAGATGTGGAGGCAGGAGGAGAAGATACGGGAGCAGGAGGAGAAGAGGCAGGAGAAGATGTGGAGGCAGGAGAAGAAGATGCGCGAGCAGGATGAGAAGATACGGGAGCAGGAGGAGGAGATGTGGAGGCAGGAGGAGAAGATACGGGAGCTGGAGGAGATGATGCAAGATCAGGAGGAGAAGCTGCGGGAGGTGGAGGAGAAAATGCAGGAGGAGGAGGAAAAGATGCAGGAGCAGGAGGAGAAGATACAGAGGCAGGAGGAGAAGATCCAGGAGCAGGAGGAGAAGACGTGGAGGCAGGAGAAGCTGCTCAAGCAGGAAGAGAAGATATGGGAGCAGGAGGAGAAGATGTGGAGGCAGGAGGAGAAGATGTGGGAACAGGAGGAGAAGATGCAGGAACAGGAGGAGAAGATGCAGAGGCAGGAGGAGAAGATGCGGGAGCAGGAAGTGAGGCTGTGGCAGCAGGAGGAGAAGATGCAGGAACAGGAGGTGAGGCTGCAGGAGCTGGAGGAGAGGCTGGGGAAGCTGGGGCAGAAGGCGGAGCTCTTGGGGGGAGCAGGCAGAGGTGTGTGCAAACCCTGGAGATCATACAGAACGACCTCACCACAACTTAGCAGATGGTGGTTGGCTCCCTCTGCTTTTCCACCAGTCTGCGGCCTACAGTTTAAATGGTGGGAAGAAGGGTGTGAGATTTGAGGCTGGGGAGGGAGGCATGGGCCTCTAGGCAAGGGAGGCAGTCACTTAGGCCTGGAGGAAGGGGCCAGGGCCAGGGGCCTGAGCAGGCGACAGAGCCCCGCAGTGCCCTTGCCACCCTGTTTATGGGCCCAGAATCTGGAAGCCAGCGACTACCTACCCTGACGCCTATCCTGCAGGTGGAGCTGAAGAGCCAAGAGGCTCAGAGTCTGCAGCAGCAGCAAGACCACTACCGGGGTCACCTGCAGCAGTACGTGGCCGCCTATCAGCAGCTGGCCTCTGGGAAGGAGGCACTGCCCAGCTGCAGCAGCAGGAAGCTCAGGGCGAAGCGGTGGCTGAGATGGCCCACCAATAGTTGCAGGAGACCCAGCTGAGGGAGTTGATGAGGGTGGGGCCCTGAGGGGGACGACCTGGCAAACTCAGTGCCTTCTCACTCTCTTTCCTGGCCCCTTAGGAGCACCTGGAAGCTGCCATCTACCAAGCAGATGACAAGAACACAAATATAATAAACATGTAAAAGCCGGCAGCAAGGCCTGGAGAAGAGTAAGCTGCCATGTGACTGTTTAGAATAGAGTCTGAGCACAAACCTGAAAAAAAAAAAAAGAAAATTTATTTATTTTAAATTTTGGCAAAATACTGGCCAGGCACGGTGGCTCATGCCTGTAATCCCAGCAATTTGGGAGGCTGAGGTGAATGGATGACCTGAGGTCAGGAGTTCAAGGCCAGCCTGGCCAATACAAAAATTAGCCGGGCATGGTGGCACATGCCTGTAATCCCAACTACTTGGGAGGCTGAGGCAGGAGAATCGCTTGAACCTGGGAGGCAGAGGTTGCAGTGAGCTGAGATCGTGCCACTGCACTCAAGCCTGGGTGACAGAGTGAGACTCTGTCTCAAAAAAAAAAAAAAAGTTTCTTCCTTACATGTATGTTTCTATTAGTTTTTTTCTTGGTCTTTCTCATTTAGTCTGATGTTGTCTTATGGCATTCCTAGTAAAGTTTTATCTGCCTCCAGAGAGTATTGACTTTGACTTTATGGCACACAATTGGAGTAAGGGCAGATCGCCTTCATCTAGTTTGTGACTAAGCTAGTTCAAAGCAGGTTTTAGGTTTTGTGACGGCTGGTCTATATTTTATTCATTTGGACTCCTAGGGGTGGCCCTTCCAGGGTCCCCACCAATGTCCCATCTCCTTCCTGGGACCCAAATTCTCATTAGGTCATTTCAGCCCTGTGAGAGTGCCAACATTCAGCTAGGCTCTCCAGCCCCTTAACTACCACTTCATATTCAGTTTCTTAGCCTCTTAGCCCTCTACTGTTGACCGATCACCAAATGTGGGAAAAGCACTACAGACTGTCAGGATCACCTCCCAGGCCTGGTCACTCAAGTGCTGGCTGAGGTCTCCAATTACCTTCCAACAATTGTTTTTGGTGGTGGGGCACATTTTTGTCCAGTTTTTCTAACTGTTCCTATGGGGAGGCGAATCTGTAACAAGCTCCTCTGCCTTTAGTGAAAGTTGAAAACCTTCATCTGTCTCTCTCTCTTTTTTTTTTTTTTTTTGAGATGGAGTCTTGGTCTGTTGCCCAGGCTCTAGTGCAGTGGCATGATCTCTGCTCACTGTAACCTCTGCCTCCTGGGTTCAAGCAATTCTCCTGCCTCAGCTTCCCGAGTAGCTGGGATTACAGGCGTGTGCCACCATGCCTGGCTAATTTTTATTTTTTAAATAGAGACAGGATTTCACCACATTTTCCAGGCTGGTCTCGAGCTCCTGACTCAGGTGAGCTACCTGCCTCAGCCTCCCAAAGTGCTGGGATTACAGACGTGAGCCATTGCATCCGGCCCATCTGTCTTTTAAGAAATGTATTTAATTTGAGGTATAATTTATATTCAGTGAAATGCACAGATCTGGTTTCCATTTTGATCAGTTTCAACAAATGCATTACCCATGTAACCCACCTCCTTTGAAGATATAGAGTATTTCTATCATCCAGAAAGTTCTCCTACGCTTTCATCCTGTCTGGCACTCCCCAGCAGCTGAAGAACGTGCTGAGGACATTGGTACAGGATTCTGGCCTCCCCAGAAGAGCTGCTTTGACAAGCCTTCTTGCCTTACCCAGCACTAAATCCCTGCCTACTCTCTCAAAATTTCCATCTTTTAACTGGTTGTACGTATAACCCTCCCTCATCAAGTCAATAGATAAACAAACCCTGAAAAATAAACACCCCTTCCTGGCCCAGCAGCCCACAGCCTAATATTTACTGTCTTCCCGGGCTTTCAGAAATGCAACTCGCCTGCCGGTTCACCCTAACTAGGGCGGCAGCTGCACGGGAGCTGCTGGGCTCACCCGTTAAGCAAGAAGCCAATAGCTGGACAGTGACACTCAGACCCCAGCCTGGGTGAGCCTGGTTGAAAGCCCCCTTCTTTCCCGTCCGACTGTGGAGAAAGGGGGCGGAGCACACACAACTCTACTGCCCTCCGCATCCTTCAGCTGTGCTTCCTCCTGGGAGAGGGAGCTACTCATTAATTCGGCCAAAACCTTCTTGAGGGCTGTAGGTTTCACAGGCTGGGTGTGTGGGGGCCACCATGCTAGAGAGAGAGGCTGGTGTGTCAGAAGGCAGCCACCTGGCCAGGGGAGGGTCAACCTGCTTGGTGACCTCCTTCCCCCGGCTGGACACAGCGCCCTGCACTCTCTACATGTGACTGTTCCCCTCAGAGCTGCTTCCAGAGGAGAGGTTCTAACCCTGTGGGTGGGGACATTGTGTTACTTTACAGTGGGCCATGGCTCCCTCTGACATCTCCAACTCAGAGGCAGTAGAGAGAAGATGAGAAACTCCATGCACCTCCTCGCTCAGCACCCCCACCTCTGCACACGTCCACATATGGAGACCCTGACGATGGGCCCTGGGAGTGCCGCCATCTGCGCCTCCTTTCCATGCCTGCAGCAGCCATGCCCACTCTCCAGACCCTCACCCGCCTCGCTCAGTAGACGCTGCACTGCCTGTGGTCCTGCCCCTACACCTGGGCCTCTGTACCCATCGGTTCTCGCAGTCTGGTTCTTATTCCTCGCAAAGAGTAGGGAGCCTGTAAGGTCACCTGTTGAGCAAGCTGGGGGAGAGAGTAGGGTGGGGCTGGGAGGATGAGGAGGAGAAGCTCATGGTCGTGCTGGAGACTCAGCTGAGCAGAGTCTCTGCAGGCCCATTGGCTGCCTAGCCAGTGGTGATCCTGCTCCCACCCTCATTTCTTCTTTGTTAACAAAACCATGACCTCATTAAATATTGGACACCTATAAACCTCATGGACCCTCCTCCAGCCTCCCCGCCATGTATTGGTGAGTCTAAGTCAACTCTAGTCATTTCATTCCTCTGGACATTGATTGCTTTGGGCTTGGGCATGAGCTGCCTCTTCGCCTGAGCCTGAGCCACAGGTGCCCTCTGCACCTACCACACTGATGCACTGGGCCAGGGAGAGCTCCATCTCGATGGAGATGAGCTGTGAGGAGCTGGCGGCTGGGCGGATCAGGTTGTGGTAACGGGTTTTGTTCAGAAGGTCGTCCATCAGCTTCTGCTCGGCAGGGCCATGCGGCAGAACCCTGCGTAAACACACAGACCTGCTTGGTCCTTGTGCAGCTGTCCCCCACTGCAGCTGACAGCTATGAAGCAGGAGCTGAGAGGGCCAGGGAGCACAGACACCCTGAGAGCTGGCTGAAGCAGTGAAGGGGCTGGCCGGCCTGGCTCTCCCTGGGGACTTCAAATGACATTCATGACAGAGCTCAGCTACCTCCTCCCATGCCATACCTCTTCCTCCTCCTCCTCCCTCAATCAATGAACAGCATCCCACGCTCTACACATCTGATACAAAACTGGGTGTCTCTTCCTGACCCCTCCCTTGGTTCACCCAAGTGGCCACCAAGTCCTGTCTGTCCTCCCATCTCCACGGCTACAGCCATGTCCCTGCCTCCCCCGCCCTGCCCACCTTCTATTCTCTCCACCTGCACTCTGCCCCTGCCATCCATGTGCCATACAGTGGCAGACTGGTCTTTCTACAGCAAACTGGACTTGGGCCCTTCCCTACCCACAGCTCTCAGAGCTGGAGGTGGAGTTGAAACTCATGTTTTGGCTTGGCATTCAGAGCTCTTTCCCCCTCAGCTCTGGCTTATCCAGAGTGCTCACAGTGCAGGGCAGGAGCCCCATCACTCAAGTGTGGGTTTGGTGCAGAACTGGGTCAGAGGTGGTGCTTTCCCTATGAAGAGACAGGGCTGAGATGGGATATTCGGGGTTCAGAGTCAGATCTATGGAGTGCAAGGTTTCTCTGAGGCACCAAATGGAGGGGTCCAGCTAGCAGCTGGCTCCTGGTCTGGAGCTTCAAGGAGAGGTCTCAGCTCAGAGCCACATTCAATAGCCAGCTTACATGCGGCCTCCTGCAGGGAGCCCCTGGAGCTTCCACAGCCTCCGATCTGCCCCTCTGCATACCCCAGATCTCCTGCTAAGTGGCGTTTGGGTCTTCATGTCATCTCCCTCCCATGTCTGGGAGTAAAGGTGAGGTGCAGGGACTTGCGCTTGTGTACTCTGGTGTCTTAAGGGAGAGTGTGTCAAGTAGAGTGGAGGCAGCTTGGAAAGAGGGAGACTCAGAGGAGAGTGAAGGACACATGACCAGGCGAGCCTGGGAGCAGGAAAAGAGTGAGCAGAGGAAACTGCTGGGTCAGGGGAGCGGATGGGAGGATCAGGGAATGCGGGGGGCTGGAGAGGTGGGTGTGGGGATGCTGGCAAGGGGCTGCCTGGCTCGCCAGGCTCAGGAGTTTTTACATCCTCCCACAATGGCCAGCTCACCTGGTCGCTCCAAAGCCCTCCCTCTGTGGGTGGGACCAGAGGGCCCAGAGCACGGATGACCCAGTTGAGCAGGACTGAGGTGGACTCAGGTGGGTGCTGGGCTGGACTCCTGGCCGTAGGGAGCAGCTGCCACCCTGCCTACTGCATCCACATTCCAACTCGCTGCCTATCTGAGCAGATGCAATATTGGGCACCTTGTGGAACATGCTCCTGGTGCACCTGCTGCCTCCTGCCCTTCCTGCAGAGTGCCCGGGCTCTCCAGAGGGGATTCCTGTGGAGGCTTGGCCTAGATTCTGAGTCCTGCCTCTCATACCCAGGGCTGCTACCCAAGAGGCCAGCTGCTTGAGTACCCTGGAAGCCAGTCTGTAGCCCCAGGCTACAGCTGGGTGCATCCCACAGCCCTTCTTTAGTTTACCTATTTGGACTGAGTGCTCATTTCATAGAGAGGGGTGTGTCTTTCCCCAGGCCATCTGGCATGTCTAAGGCAGCTGTGGGGTCAGAATCTGCAGCTCCCAGCCCCTAGCCCTGCAATAGTAGGAGAGGCTGGACCCCACATCTCTGAAGTCCCACTGGGCTGGTGCAAGTGGGCTCCCAAGTTCAGAGCTGCTGTGCAGGCTGTGGGGCTCATGCACCTGTTCTGAACCCACCTGATGTGCTCAGGTTACTCACCTTTGGGCCTGTCCTGCCTCTCTGGCATTCGGCTGACCCTGAGGGCCTCTCCCTCATCTTGACCACCAGCTATGGGCTCTGACTTAGGGGTTCCCAGAACCTTAGACCATTTGGCCGACCCCCCATTTCTCAGCTGAGGAAACAGGCCAAAAAGGGGAAGCAGCTTTCTCAAGGACCCCCAGCAAGTCAGAGGCAGAACCAGGTCTAGGAACCTCTTTTTGACAGAGGTTCTCCCTGTCCCCTGAGCCTTCTTTAGTGCCTCATTAACTTCCCTGTAAGGAGACTGCCCCGCTGAGGCTGGAAATGGTGCTGTCCAGGGTGGTGTGTGCCCGTGACTGTGCTTGTGTTTGTACTTGTGAGTGTGTATGGGGGTGGGGATGAGGGGTGGGAATAAACGGCAGGGATGCTGGGGGCTGGAATACACTCTGCCTCACCCCAAAAAGGGGCACAGCAGAGCCCAGCCAAGCACAGCACATGCTTCGACTTTCCAGTCTGCTGAATGAGTGTGAGGCCGGCTGGGCCCAGAAGACAAGGGACAGGCCTTTCCCCACAGATGGCAGGGGGGCCCAGGATGGGTGGAAGATTTTGCCACAGCTTTGGGGATCCCATCCCAGCCCATGGGCTGACTGTTAAGCAGAAAAGCCACCTCTAGGGGTCAGTCATGATCTAGTGATTCTGATGAGGAGGGGGCCCCACCAGCCTCTGTCTAGGGTCTTGTCTGGGAAAAACTGCTCCCTGGCAGAAACGGGCTAATAATTTGAGAGGAAGCCATAGCTGAAATCCTAAACTGTGTGAGTGTGTGTCCAGTTTGAAAAAGCATATTTGACCTAAACATTTATATTGAAAAAATGGAAAGATATTCCCCTTGTTTTGGAATACAAACTACAGAAAGTAACAGTTAACAGAATCCTATTGGAAAGGTCAGATTCTGCATCTGGAAAGGCACAGTGATTTTCAACTGGGGTGTGTGTCCTTAACTGAGGAAGGGAAGGTGAGATTTATGTTTAGTAAAAGGCAGCTATGAATTTACCTTTTATAAAGAGCTTGCCATATACTATTAGTGCTTTTTCAATCATGTCAGAATCTGCCGGATGCCTGTGGAAATGCAAATTCCCAGGCTTCATTCCCAGAGATTCTGGTCCTGTGAGCCTAGGGTGGGGCCCAGCAAACTCTATGGGGTGGTGCAGGCTGCCCCAGGACCACACCAAGAAACACTGCAACTGGCCCCCACACACATCCCAGTCCCCAAATATGTAGGCAGGCATCTTATCTCCACGGAACAGATAGGGAAACTGAGGTCAGAGTGGGGAAAGAAATGTCATGGGGTCACCCAGGAAGTAGTAGCATAGCCACGATACACCCACTGCCTGCAGTCACCATCTCTGATGGCAGCTCCACCTCCCTACAGGAACCTTGCCTACCCCCACCCCTACCTCCTGTTGCCCCTATGCTGGGTCTCTGTCCAAGGAAGATGTAGCCCTGGTCCTCTAGGCTGACTGGGGCTTGGCCCAGAGTGTGGGAGTTAGAAGGGTCCTTGGAATTCAGGTGGGGAAACTGAGGCCCAAAGAAGGCAGCCCTCACATTTGAACTCTGTCTGGAGAAGGGCTAGGTCTTCTTCCTGAGTGGTAGTTTTGACTTCACCAGCCTGGCCCTCAGTCAAGCTGGCTGTCCAGGCCCGCCACACCTCGGGGTGGGTGACCAGAGGCGGTGGTGCCATAAAACACGTTTCCTGGGAGATCCACGCCCATAGCTCAAAACATTCCAGGTCTGGTGATTTGGGCAAGCCCCCTTCTCTCTCAGCCTTGTTTCCCTGTCTCTACAATAGCTGTGTTGCAGGAGACGTCTGTCTCGGACTGAGCTGCAGATTTTCTCCTGGCTGCCTTCACCGTCCAGGATGCTGGCTCCTCTGTGTCCACTCTTCAAGACAGTCACCTCTTAGGTGAGGAAGGAGCCTCGGCCCTATCGGGAGTGGGAGCCGGTGCACCCCCAGCCTCCCAGGCCGCTGGGGATGACTTAGGCTGCCTGCAAAGCCAGTGCCATTCGGCGCCGCTTCCCAGGCTGCAGACGACCTCCAGGGAAGGAGGCCCTGGCCCTCACAGCAGCTCTGAGAAGAGGTGGCCCCCACTCCAAACCTCGCCGAGCCACCCACACATTCCCTCAGCCCAAAGAGGCTTTTAGGAAAATGAATCATCTCAAGTTCATACCCATGGGGTTGCTGAAAGAAAGGACAGTGCAGGGTGAGCTGGCATGAGGGAGTGCTGCTCTCTGCAGACTTTGCTGGGATGGCTCTTAGGAAAAGGGCCTGGAATCTGGGATGGTGACTAGCTCAGGGTTAAAGGGAGGGGATGGAGCTGGAGTGAGCTGGCCTCATCGTCCCCCTTGGGCCTTCCAGCCTGGGCTCAGGTGATTCAAGGGAGCAAGCACCTCCTTCTCCTGGCCAGGGAGTTCTCGCCACGTTCTGGAATCAGTACCATTCCCTTGGGGGCTGGGGGACAGCAACCACCTCCGGACCTGGCTGGAACTGCTGCAATTCTGGATCCAAATGGCCCCTGGCAGCTTCTCCATCTCCCTCTCAGTCCAGCCCCCACCCCTCCCCCATGAGGGCCCCAACAGCAAATCTGACAACTGGAGGAACAAGGCAGGAAGGGCAGAATCTGAGGGAGTGACCACCTTCAAAAGGCAGCTCTGTCACCTTCTCTCCAGGACTCTGAGGCTTGCTTTCATATTGCTTCCTCGACATCCTTTTGCTATAATCTGGCATGTTGACATATGGTCTTTAAAAACAAGAACACTGATGACGTGGAGCAGACTTCCCCTTTGGGATGGTGTGGAGAAGTTAGGGTTGAGGGCATCCTCTCTTCTGCAAACTGCAGCAGTAATAGGTGAGATATATAAAGTAAATAAAGGCCAGGTGCGGTGGCTTACGCCTGTTATCCCAGCACTTTGGGAGGCCGAGGTAGGCTGATCACCTGAGGTCAGGAGCTCAAGACCAGCCTGGCCAACATGGTGAAAACCGGTGTTTACTAAAAATACAAAAATTAGCCAGGCATAGTGGCACACACCTGTAGTCACACCTACTCAGGAGGCTGAGGCAGGGGAATCACTTGAACCCAAGAGGCGGAGGTTGCAGTGAACGGAGATCTCACCACTGCATTCCAGCCTGGATGACAGAGTGAGACTCCATCTCAAAAAATAAAAATAAAAAATTAAGTAAATAAAAAAGACACGCCCAGGCTGAAAAATAAGTTAATCACCTTCATGAATGAAAAGCAGTAAAGAAATGCAAAGTGGTTGGAGGCTGAAGAGCCTGGAGCCTGCTGGGCTTTGAAAACCAAAGACAGTGACAGGTCTTTTGGGATAAAGGGGTACCAAATGACTCCTAGCTAGAAGCTGAGAGCTTAGGTGTACCCCAGTACTTGAAAGCATGCTGGCCAGGTGCAGTGGCTCATGCCTTTAATCCCAGCACTTTGGGAGGCCGAGGTGGGCAGATCACGAGGTCAGGAGATCAAGACCATCCTGGCTAACACGGTGAAACACCGTCTCTACTAAAAATACAAAAAAAAATTAGCCGGGTGCGGTGGCGGGCACCTGTAATCCCAGGTACTTGGGAGGCTGAGGCAGGAGAATCCCTTGAACCTGGGAGGCAGAGGTTGCGGTGAGCTGAGATCACACCACTACACTCCAGCCTGGGCGAAAAGAGCGAGACTTCATCTCAAAAAAACAGAACAAAATAAAACAAAACAAAAAACAACCAAGGGTGCTGGAGGGTGGGGGAGTCTGCTGCTGCTCTGTGGTCTGTATCCCTGGCTTTATGGGATGTATACCTTCCCAGTATCCCCAGGACAGGAGCTTGCACATGCTGTAAAACCTGTAGGCCACTGCAAAACTGTCAACGTCAGGCTAGCAAAGGTAATAGGATTAAATAGGTTTTTATAAAAGTTTGACAAGTTTTTTTAATAAAAGAAAAAGAGCTATTTAATTATCTATCAAGAATAATATAATCTTGGTACAAAGCTTGGCACAAAAGGATGTCCAAGGAAAGTTCACGATGGAACAGTCTGAATGACGAGTCTTTGTCACAGGGAGAGGGCACAGGGCAGTGCTTAGTGCTTGGCCTCTGGAGCCAGGAAATCCGGATTTGTATTCCTGCTGCCACTACTTATCCTCCCTGTGACCTTAGGGAAAATGACTTGCCTTCACTGGGCCTTCACTTCCTCATTGATAAAGGGGGAAATAACCTTTACAATAAGCCTTCTAGGATGAAATGAAATAATTCAAGGAAAGTAACTTAACAAGACCCAGAACATAGAAAACCAAATAGATGTTAACTATTATTAACTTTTAGGAACATGAATTCCAAAACTTTAAGTAAAATAATACCAAGTTGAATACAGCAATGTACACACACACAAATAATGCATCATGGTGAATTAGGTTTTATTACAATAATGCAAGGGCAGAGTCAACATCAGATAATGCACTATTAGCAAGCTAGCTTCCTTTTTTTTTAAGACAAGGTCTCACTGTCACCCAGGCTGGGGTGTAGTGTCAACATCTTGGCTCACTGCAACCTCCACCTCCCCAGCTCAAGCAATCCTCCCCACAGCCTTCCAAAGTGCTGAGGTTACAGCTGTGCGCCACCACACCCGGCCCTATCTTCCTTAATGTAAAGCAATTATCATACTTAATAGTAAAATTTTAGAAGTGCTTTTCGTCAAAGTTAGGACATAGACAAGGGTACCTTCTATCGCTGTATCTACTGAACATGGCACTGGAGACCCTAGGTAATGTGTTAGGCTAATACATATGAAATTGCCATTTTTTTAAGGTTATGGAGTGCAGTGGAGTGCAGTGGCATAGCATCAGAAATGTATGTAATTCAACCTATAATAGAAATAAATCAGCTAGGTGAGATGGCTTATGCCTATAACCCCAGCACTTTGGGAGGCTGAGGCAGGAAGATCACCTGAGGTTAGGAGTTGGAGACGAGCCTGGCCAAAATGATGAAACCTCATCTGTACTAAAAAAAAAACACACAAAAATTACCCAGGTGTGGTGGTGGGTGCCTGTAATCCCAGTTACTCAGGAGGCTGAGGCAGGAGAATCTCTAGAACTCGGGAGGTGGAGGTTGCAGTGAGCCAAAATTGTTTCACTGTACTCCAGCCTGCGCAACAGAGTGAGGCTCTGTCTCAAAAACAAACAAACAAACAAACAGAAAGAAAGAAAGTTTCAAGTTTTCTCTTTACACAATATGGATGTACTTCATAATGGACTTTCTCATCATGATTCATGAGTGAAGTGACATTCAAACTTGGTAGCTTTTCAGTAGAACTTCCTTTCCCAACATTTTTTTCTGTTCCTTTAATGATGGCAATATCTGAGAGCTCTGAACATAAGTCAAAGGTTTGATTATTTTTCATGTGGCTGGAAATTTTTGCCCTCTGTCAAACTTGGAAATTTTTTCCTCTGCCTGGAACTTTTTGCCCCGCATCTTCCGATCGCCCCGTGTCCTCTTGTTATGCCACTACCCTTTTTTGAGTGTGTCTATTTTCTGGCACTACAATACACTCTGGCACTACAAGGCTCATCTTGTGTTTTCTCTACCCTGACCCAGAATCAGCCATTACTTCAAGGAGCCCTGGTTCTGATATTGGAGAATGCTGTTAGAAACCAGGATGTGGTACTAGGCATGCCGATTTCTATTGGAGTGTCATATAAAAAATTTGTAAATTTTTTTGTAGGTCCTCCCAGTGGATAGGATTAGGAAATAAAACATGCATACTAACCACACATATACACACATCTACATCTGTTTCTGTATCTGTCTGTATACATATTAAAATAAACATGAGTTGATAACGAATGTTTCCGCTTTAATCCAAGCACAGATTTCATCCTAGCCTCCCCCTCTTCCTTCTTTTTAGCCTTTTCAACAGTGGGAAGTGTGGCTCTTGTTATGTACACTTTATTCACTTATTTGTTTGACCCTAGTATCATAAAGTAGTTCCATATGCCTGTGACAGATTGATTAACTGGAGTCCATTGTTTGTGGAGAAATATTTTTGTCCTAAGCCTTACAGCAGGGGTGGCCAAACTTTTGGCTTCCCTGGGTCACACTGGAAAAAGAAGAATTGTCTTGGGCCACACATAAAAATACACTAACACTAACAATAGCTGATGAGCTAAAAAAAAAATCACAAAAAAATTTCATAATGTTTTAAGAAAGTTTACTAATTGGTTTTGGGCCACATGCAAAGCCATCCTGGGCTGCATGTTGGACAAGCTTGCCTTACAGTATCCAGTCAAAATACTGTTTTCCAAAATTAGTTATTTTCTTCTTCATCCCTTTCAGTGTGGCCACTATTTATAATGCAGTTTGGTTCATTAGTGTTTGTATTCCAAAAACACCCTCAGCCTTCCTATCCTAGTTTTAATGAATTATTAGGGTGAAACATAATAAGAGTCGGAGCTATACAGAAAGGTCTACTCAGAGGTGCTTTGTTCCCTCCTGTTCTGTTCCCACCACTCCTACTTTCCACTACTTTTTCCACTGACCCTGTGAGCATCATATTTATTGTTAATGGCAGTTACATTTTTACCAAGTGCTTACTATCTGTAGGCACTTGGTGTGTATTGCTTCTTCTGGTGTTCACAGCAACCTCTTGAGGTAGGCACTATTATTATCCACCACCCCCCGCCCCGTTTTTTGAGACAGAGTCTCACTCTGTTGCCCAGGCTGGAGTGCAGTGGTGCGATCTCAGCTCACTGCAACCTCTGCCTCCCAGGTTCAAGCAATTCTCCTGCCTCCGCTTCCCAAGTAGCTGCAAGTACAGGTGCGAGCCACCACACCCATCTAATTTTTGTATTTTTAGCAGGCATGGGGTTTTGCCATGTTGGCCAGGCTGGTCTCAAACTCCTGACCTCAGGTGATCCCCATTTTTTAGATGAGAAAGCAGAGTCCCAGAGAGCATAAGGAGCTTGTCCAGAGTGGCATCTCTGATGCATAACCAGTACTCAAACCAGTATTTTTCTGACACCAAGGCCTGTGTGTAAACTGTAAAAGGGCTGTTTGGTACCTGCTTTCCTAAAGTTGTCTGATCCCTTCTCAGTCCAGGTCTTCCTGAAGCTTGGCACTTCTGAAGTCACCTTTCTGAAAACATTCTGGTAACTGTTAGATCCCTTGTTGTAGCTATTCATATGTTCTGTGTGGTTAAACAAGGTTCACAGTGGGCCACCTGGCCTTTGGAACTTGGCTGAAGAGGCTGCCTTCAGTTCATCCTCCCCACCCCCGTTTTCAAAACATGGGTTTCCATGTGTTCGTTGTAAATTAGGAAACATAACCATGTTTTGAGGCTTCATAGAAAACAAACGTCTGGGGTCACACAGGTTAAAGGAGGAACCAAATTCAGCACTATCACTGTTCTATTCGGCAGGCAATTCTGGGGCCTTCCTGTGTCTCAGGTTCTGTACTAGTTGTTTCAGGACTTTGGGATAAACACAAACTATCCCTGCCCTCAGGGGGATTAAGGTCAGGTGTACAAATGACTCTAATGCGAGGCAAGGCTGGATTCAGTGCTGGAAGAGGAGGGCATACCTAACGCTACGGGAATTCAAAGAGGAAATGATCAGAATGAGGAGGGAGAGATGGGTCATTCCGGGAGAAGCTTCAGGGAAAGGCAACATTTGAAATGAGACTTTGGAGAGTGAGGGAGGTTTGGGCAGATGGATAGAGAGGATGCAAGGCCAGGGGAAAGGTTTGAGCCAGAAAGTCAGCTTGGGCAAGTGCATGGGTAAAAAAAGAAAATCCACTTTGGGAGGCCGAGGCAGGTGGATCGCCGGAAGTCAGGAGTTGGAGACTAGCCTGGCCCACATGGTGAAACCCTGTCTCTCCTAAAAATACAAAAATTAGCTGGGCATGATGCTGGGCACCTGTAATTCCAGCTACTCGGGAGGCTGAGGCAGGAGAATCACTTGAACCCAGGAGGCAGAGATTGCAGTGAGCTGAGATCACACCACTGCACTCCAGCCTGGGCAACAAGAATAAAACTTCATCAAAAAAAAAAAAAAAGAAAGAAAATCACAAGGCAGTGTGGAGAATGGTGAGTAATCTAATTTGGTTATTGCAGAGAGGATGTAGAAGGAAGTGACAAGAGAGAAAGCCAGACAGGTGGCTTGGGGTCATCTTAAGGGCCTTTGTGCCAGTTAGGATGTTCCAGACTTCAGTCAGGCTGCCCAGCTCAGACTGGCTCAGACAATGAGGGGGTTTATTGGCCGTGTAATTGGGAAGTCCAGAGGCTCTAGGACTACAGAAAATTATTATTTAGTATTAGTTTGACAGCAACACCTTCTGTTTTCTGGGAGCAGGAGATGCTTGTCAAGCTGTAGGTCACTGAGTTGAATATTATCCTGCTTTATTAAATTGCCAAGGGCACGGTAATTGTTGAGAGGGGAGAAGTACACATGAAAGAAAACATGACCAGCTTAGAAACGTCAAATGATTATGACGTTGTTATAAAGTATTATAATTCTTTGAGCGTCTACTATAAGTAGAGAAACTTGAGTTCCAGGTTGGCGGCTTGGTTCTGCCAACAATCAGGAACGTGGTTTTGCATGAAGCCCTTCTTTCTCCTATAATCTTCAGTGTCCTCACCTGCAAAATGAGGCCTTTATATATATATATATATATATATATATATATATATATATTTTTTTTTTTTTTTTTTTGAGACGGAGTCTCGTTCTGTCGCCCAGGCTGAAGTTCAGTGGTACAATCTCTGTTCACTGCAAACTCCCCCTCCTGGGTTCACAGCATTGTCCTGCCTCAGCCTCCCGAGTAGCTGGGACCACAGGCACCTGCCACCACGCCCAGCTAATTTTTTGTGTTTTTAGTAGAGATGGGGTTTCACCGTGTTAGCCAGGATGGTCTCCATCTCCTGATCTCGTGATCTGCCCGCCTCAGCCTCCCAACGTGCTAGGATTACAGGTGTGAGCCACCACGCCCGGCCAAGGCCTTTATTATACTATGGTTCCTACTGTTTTTTAAAATACTTTTATTAAGTCCAACATTTTTATTAAGAACATTGCTTTTATACATGCCTATTTATGAAAGGGGTTTTCGAGTGTTTACCACTTTTTATTAGAAATAGAGACAGTAAGAATGTTTGACTTAATTGACACAGGCATAATTGAATGGGTATAAATGGCATGCCATAGAAAGAGAAAATTAAGTTGAGCTACTCTGTTGGTTTCACTGATGAGGGGATACATCATTCAAACAGCCAGGAATTAAATCCGTCCAGCTCACAAATGGGGAAACCAGCTGTGTCTGTACCCATGGCCAGCCAGATTGAACACAAATCAGGAAAGTCAATAACTTTTCCTCAGTTCTGAGGGACTTCAGTGGCTGCGGTTCATTTTCCTTTTGCTTCTGAAACAGTGCAAGTTGATGCTCGCCTGGACAGAGCGGCAGTGAGTGGTGGCGTCTGAAGGCCAGGTCTCTGTTGAGATGACTACACGTCGTCTCCCAGTGCCCAATGCATAGAAAAGATACACTACTAAGTGTGAGATGCTCAGTGAAAAATAAAATCTGGGGTTGAATCATCATGGGGGATACTGCATACTCTGTTTCCCCCCTGCAGATTTCCAATGCTCATTAGTTTATAGAGACTCTGAGAATTCCTACAGCAAAGGCACCTGCCAAGGTACTTACAAACTAGTTTAGCTAAACCAGACTTTCAACAATTGGTTACTAAAGACCACTCAAAGTCTGTCAACACTCTGTCATCTCTATGTAATGACAGAAACATAGAAATTCAGGGTAAATGTTTAGAAATTTCTATAGAAACTTGACATTCTCCCAGCATCTGTATGTGACATCAGGGGACTTGTCTCAATGAGCAGTTACAGACCAACTCAGGTTTTGTCAGACTCGATGGAAAGATGCAGAGGCTGTGAGCTGCAAACGAGTCACATACACAAGGACCACATTGCAAGCTGTGTTCTTTAAGGTTAGTTTGTCAACTATAGTATAATCTCACACATCTGAAAAATGGGAACATCTATTCTATAAAGTCTTATTTTTGCAATAATTTTAATTTTAAATCAAGCCAATGTTAGCATTATTAGTGAAAACAAAAGAAAGTTGTGTTATTTATTATTAAACCTAATTTGAGAGTGAAATAAATTGTATTAATTTTTTTAACCAATAAAAGATGCACCTTGTAAACCAAGAGATGATTATGAAAGTGATTCTGAGGACATGAAGACCAAAGGAGTTTGTCCTCGTTTTACTCAGAAGTACTATTTCTAATGGACAGATGATCCCTGACATACAATGGTTTGACTTATAATTTTTTGACTTTATGATGGTGTGAAAGTGATACGCATTCAGCAGAAACCATACTTCAGTATTCAATAAATTACATGAGATATTCAACACTTTAAAGTGGGTTTGTGAGAGAGAATTTTTGCCCAATGGAAGGTGAATGTAAATTTTCTGAGAATGTTTAAGGTAAGCTAGGCTAAGCTATGATGTTAGCTTAGGTGTATTAAATGCATTTTAATTTAATTTAATTTAATTTAATGTTTTGAGACAGTGTGTTTTGTTCTTGTCACCCAGGCTGGAGTGCAATGGCATGATCTCGGCTCACTGCGACCTCTGCCTCTTGGGTTCAAGCGATTTTCTTGCCTCAGCCTTCCCAGTAGCTGGGATTACAGGTGCGCACCAACATGCCTGGCTAATTTTTGTATTTTTAGTAGAGACAGGGTTTCCCCATGTTGGCCAGGCTGGTCTCTAACTCCCGACCTCAGGTGATCCACCCGCCTCAGCCTCCCAAAGAGTTGGGATTACAGGCTGAGCCACTGCACCCGGCCTTAAATGCATTTTCGGCTTATATTTTCAACTGATGATGAGCTATAACTCCTTTGTGAGTTGAGGATCATCTGTCTTGAATTTGGTTTTACAGGCATAACTGAAGGTGAAAGGACAGAATCACCATGTGTTACTGGCACAGATGCATCGGCTAGTGAAGAAAGAAGACATTCAAACTGTAAGTTGCATTCACGTGGGAAGCACAAAGAATTAAATTCAAAACAATGAAACATTAGAGAAAAGCATGGAGTTAAAACACAACAGAATCAGATGTTTACTATTTCTCATTTTAACACTAGTGCTTTGCGGGCTTCTAATAAAGTTGTACTCCAGGAGGCTAAGACTGAAAAGTGACACTAGTGAAAAGTAGCATTGAAATAGTTCCTTAGAAAAGTTGGGTGAATGTGGGGCAAAGATGCCACTAAACTTTAATTTTCCATCGACACACAAATTCAAAGTTTTCCAGAACTGGCAAGTAAAATGGAAGATCCACTCACAGGACACATGCAGTGTGTGAGGGGAATGCTTTTCAGCACTTCTTGATGGATGCACAAATAATGCCAACGTGGTAAATGTCTTTGGTAAATGTGCAATGGAATGCAGTGGTTGTGTGAAGGAAGAATTTTGTTTTCAGCTTCATTTTTGATAAACACAAGCAGCTCTGGACTGTGTGAAACCATGGAGCACCGCACAGTTAACAGAGGTGGTTTGGAGTTTTTTAGCTTTGCATAAGAGGATGTTCTGATGCAGAATCTACAGTGACAGGAAACCATTCTGGACAAGTTACAGAATTAAGGGGCTTGTGCCGGGATGGAAATAAATCAATGACTTCTGTCTTTGAGAAGGTTTTTCTCTGCTCCTCTGTGATGGTTAATTTTTTTTTTTTTTTTTTTTTTGAGATGGAGTCTCGCTCTGTCCCCCAGGCTGGAGTGCAGTGGCGCCATCTCGGCTCACTGCAAGCTCTGCCTCCCGGGTTCATGCCATTCTCCTGCCTCAGCCTCCCAAGTAGCTGGGAGTACAGGTGCCTGCGGCTAATTTTGTGTATTTTTAGTAGAGCCAGGTTTCACCATGTTGGCCAGGATGGTCTCGATCTCCTGACCTTGTGATCCACCCGCCTTGGCCTCCCAAAGTGCTGGGATTACAGGCATGAGCCACCATGCCCCACCTTTTATTTCTTTTCTTTTTTTTTTTCTTTCTTTCTTTCTTTTTTTTTTTTTTTTTTGTTAGTCCTTCCCTCCAGTGTCGTGGAGATAATTGGAAAATATTTTAGAGCAAAAAAGTTTATTTCTCCTTCTTGTTGTTAGCAAAGAAATTTATTTTTCCTTCTTGTTATTTATTGGCCTTGGAGACATACACCAAATAGCTCATTCTACTTCTGAAATTTTGTTTTGATTTCCCTGGCCCTCCCCACGAAGTATTTCAGATTAGCAGGGAGTCAAGCATTGTCTGTCTGTCTGTGAATAAAATATTTCAGGCTGCTTTTGCATAATATACATGCTCTTGCCTTTACGAGTCACACTCACATCTTCTGGTTTTGTAAGACACCAGGTAGAGAAGAAAACAATGTTTCTGAATTCTGCTTTATCAGCCCAGTAGAGAACTCCTCCCTTCCCTGAACTGAGGGCCACATCTAAGGGGTTGAAACAGGGCCAGTTACATTCTATGTTCCCAACATAATTGTCCATGCACGGATCCGATCAAGTTAAATGAGAAATAGGATATTTATTCTAAAAACAAGTTATTGCTACAATAATAATAATACTATAGTAATATTATTATTCTAATAATGATATTAGAAAAAAAACTGGTTATTAAAGTACTAAACAGTTGAAAATCTAAATGTCTCACAAGGTCAACTATAGCAAGTATATAAGATTTCATATTAGTCGCACGTCAAAAATTATATCCATAAAAGTAATGACATATGAAAACAGTTTATTGATACAGATATAACAAATATAACTAAACTGTGCTGAAATGTATTTTAAAATAAAATATGCCAAAATATTATTGATGATGACTTTGGATGATGGTATTACCACTAAGGTTTCAAATTTAATTTGCCTCTTACTTCTGAGTACTTTTATAAATTTTTAAATAATAAAATTAGTGTGTTAAAAAATATCAAGTGATATCTAGAAATCAGAAAAAGGCATATTGCCAGAGGAGGACCGAGTTAGTAGATTTGAGGCTCCATTAAGTTTTGTTTATGATCAAAAAACAAACAAAAACCAGGCAACAGTGGCAAAAAATATCTCACTTCCTTCCTGGAAAAGTAAATGAGACTACAAAGAATTTCCAAACTTAAAAACTATACATTTCAAGTCTGTTCATAACTAGTGAAGTCACAGTTTCTGAAAACAATGATAAAATTTTAATTGATATTTAATTCATATTTTTTGTTTAAAAAACTATCAGTATTGGAAGATAAATTTCATGGGAAAAGCATTGAATCATTAAGTTTTGCAGTCACAAAGGTAAATATAATTTGCTTAATGCTGCCCTCAGTTTACAATGAGTCTTTAGTATTTTCTAAGCTATGAGTTCACCAAAATATAGGATTGTTTTGCTGCATATAATTTGCTCAGTGATCAAACACTAAGGAGTTACCTATGTTAAGATGTGAATAATAAATTTATGCAAAATTTATGAAAGTGTACATTGTAAAGACAATAAAACTTTCCATTAAATTGGTGGGAAAGGAGCTCAAAACCTAGCTGGGTGATTCATTATTTTAATGACTTCCTGCTTTACTGCAAAACCTCTCTCTTCATTCGGTGTTGGTAGTTTGAACCCCTGTTAAGGATATAGGCTCACAATGAAGCTTCTATAAATTTCTGGACCTCTGTCATGCTGGCATGTATGTCATTCTCCTTTAGGAATGATGAAGAGACTGGAAAGCGGTTGCTCCAAGGGAAGGGATAATTTTGCAAACCTGAGCTGTCTAAGCTCAGCATGAATTGGAGTGGGCTGCTGACTCAGGCTAGCAGAGGCAGCCAGGAAACATGCAAATCTGCAATCCGTTCTGCCAGGTCTGTCACAGCAGGTGTCACTAAAGGCACCCCTGTGTGCTTGTCACTGTGGCAGCCTTGACAAGGAAGGTGGAAAGGAAAAAGAGACCCAGTGCTGAACTCCAAGCAGAGATGGGGCTTTTCTCTATGCATATTTTCCCTCCCCTCCCAGCCTGCATTTCCAATAACATATTGATTTATATTTGTATTATGAAACAAAAGTGGTTGTAATCAGATGTTCTTTCCTTTTACACACAATGTTAGCTCCTATTTACATTTCTAACTGAACAATGTCTAAAGAGGTATTTAAACTGATGTAAAACGCAGATAATCTCATGACCAAATGCTTAGCGCAAGAAAAAACTTCAATTTGCAAGAGAAGTCCCTCCAAATACAGAAAGGACCAGTATTGTAAGAGGTACCTTAACTAAAATGTAGCAATGTAAGGCGCAGAGCAGGAAGAACTTTTAAGTCTGAAACTTACAACAAGTCAATTTCATAGTCAGTTTCCCTGGGCCTTCCACAACAGCCTCCGGCACCTGTTTTCTCTACAATGGAGGTAACAATAGTAGCTATTTCAGAGCAGGAAAAGGCTTAGAGCAGTGCTAGAAGAGGGTTGTGGCTATATAAAGTTTAGCTATTTGTATATTGTAAGAAACCAACGATGTGTTCTTTTATCGGTAGTCAGTAATGGATTTCTTGTGGGAAAGTAGCAGCCTCCTATGGGGGGAACACCCGCAGGTCCCACTAAGTGAACACTGGTGTCTGCTAACCTTTGCCTCTATTTGTCGCAATAATATACTGTCAAGCTGTTCCTTGAGTTAGCAATTTTATTTACATTCTTTTTCTTTTTTTTTTCCTTTCCCTTTTCCTGCCACAGAGTCCCGCTCTGTCGCCCAGTCTGGAGTGCAGCAGCGCCATCATAGCTCACTGCCACCTAGAAGCCGGGGTGAAGCAATCCTCCTCCATCAGCCTTCAGAGTAGCTGGGACTACCTGCGCGGCCCACCACACCCGGCTAATCTTTGTGGTTTTTGTTTTGTTTTCCGTTCTGGGTTTCCGTCGGGCGCAGTGGCTCAGGCCTGCAATCCCAGCACTTTGGAAGGCAGAGGTGGGCGGATCACCCGAGGTCGGAGACCAGCCTGACCAACATGAAGAAATCCCGTCTCTACTAAAAAAAAGAAAAAAACTACAAAATTAGCCGGATATGGTGGCTCATGCCTGTAATCCCAGCTACTAGGGAGGCCCAGGCAGGAGAATCACCTAAATCCGGGAGGCCGAGGTTGCGGTGGGCAAAGATCACACCATTGCACTCCAGCCTGGACAACAAGGCTGAAACTCCGTCTCAAAACAGAGACCGGGTTTCACCATGTTGCCCAGGCGGTCTGGAACTCCTAGGCTCAAGCGATCTGCCACACTCGGCCTTCCAAAGTCCTGGGATCACAAGGGGGAGGCACCACGCCAGGCCGATCTATTCCTTTCTGGTTACTAAATTGGACCGGGGGCGCGGTGGCTCACGCCTGCAATCCCAGCACCCAGGGAGGCGGAGGCGGGCGTATCACTCGAGGTCAGGAGCTCGAGATCAGCCCGACCAACACGGAGAAACCCCGTCTGTACCAAAAAAATAAAACCAAAATTAGCTGGCATGGTGGCTCATGCCTGCAATCCCAGACACTCAGGAGGCTGAGGCAGGAGAACCACCTAAACCCGGGAGGTGGAGGCCGCGGTGAGTCGAGACCACGCCACTGCACTCCAGCCTGCAAAACGAGCGAAACTCCACTCAAAAAAAAAAAAAAAAAAGACAGTGTTTCACCACGTTGCCCAGGCCGGTCTGGAAGTCCTAGGCTCAATCGATCGCCGCGCTCGGCCGTCCACAGTACTGGGATCACAAGCATGAGCTACCACGCCAGGCCGATCTATTCCTTTCTGGTTACTAAATTGGACCGGGGGCGCGGTGGCTCACGCCTGCAATCCCAGCACCCAGGGAGGCGGAGGCGGGCGGATCACCCGAGGTCAGGAGCTTGAGATCAGCCCGGCCAACACGGAGAAACCCCGTCTGTACAAAAAAAAAACCACCAAAATTAGCTGGCATGGTGGCTCATGCCTGCAATCCCAGCCACTCAGGAGGCTTAGGCAGGAGAACCACCTGACCGGGAGGTGGAGGCCGCGGTGAGTCGAGACCGGAAAACACTCTAGCCTGGAAAACAAGAGCGAAACTCCGCTCAAAAAAAAAAAAAAAAAAAAAAAAAAGACCGTGTTTCACCATGTCGTCCAGGCTGGTCTGGAACTCCTAGAACCTGTAGATGTTACCTCATTTGGAAAAAGCATATTTTCAGGTATGATTAAGTTAAGGATCTTGAGGAGAGATTATCCTGGATTGTCTCCGTGGGCATTAAATCCTGGCACATATATCCTTATAAGAGGGAGATAAAGGAGATTTAACTTCAGACAGAAGAGAAGGAGGCCCTGTGACCAAGAAGGCAGAGCCTGGAGTGGTGGAGCTGCAAGCCAATGAATGCCAGCAGCCATCAGAAGCTGCGCAAGTCAAAGGATGGATTTTCCCCTCAGCCTCTGAGAGCACTGGCTCTGCTGAGACCTAGATTTCAGCCCAGTGATACTGATTTTGGACTTCTGATATCCAAAACTGTGAGAAAATAAATTTCTGTTGTTTTAAGTCACCACATTTTTGGTAATTTGCTCTAACAGCCACAGGAAAGTAACATACATGCCTACCTGGGTCCAGTTGTGTCCTGTGACTCCTGCTTTCCTGGGACAGGCAGGCTGCTCCGTGCCTCCTGGCCATCCTACTGGGTGCTGGACGCTGTAGGCTGCTCCATGCCTGTTGGCCATTCCCTTTGGTGCTGGACAGCACTCACATTGTGAAATCCACTGGCCCTGTGAAAAACACCTGGAAATGTTACCAGGAGAGGGGTTAGTTCTCTTTTTGGCAACCCATGTTATTGCTTATGGCTTAATATCTGTGCCTCCAAGATCCCTTCTCTCTGCCTTCATCGATGCCAGGAAAGCAGTCACCTTTTGCCTTTCTTTGCTTCTCAGCAAGTGGCATGTCTCCATGTCACTTTAAGCATCAAGCACACGGAGCCCAATAAGATGCTGAAAAGTGTCTGCCTACAAGGTTACAAGGCGGTGGAGACATTCTGAGCCGGTAACTGCAGGGCTCAGTAAAACCGCTACAGGAAATCTCAAGTTCAAAATGCTGAAGTGAAAAATGGGTGATCACAACGAAGGGAAACACAAACCCCTTCTTTTAAAAACATTATGGTGATAAGGCACAACATAAAATTTACCATATTAGCCACTTGTAAGTATACAGTGCAGTAGTGTTAAAAATATACATGTTGAGTAACGAGTTTCTAGAACTTGCTTCTCTTGGAGAACTGAAACTATAGCCACTATACAACAACTCCCCATTTCTCTATCCCCTGGCTTATGGAAACAACCGCTCTATTTTCTGTTTCTATGAGTTTGACTAATTTCGAACCTAATGTAAGAGAAATTGTACAGCATTTGTCTTTGTGTGATGGGCTGATTTCAATTAGTGTAATGTTTTCAAGGTTCATCTATATTGCAGCATGT
Organism: Homo sapiens; assembly: GCF_000001405.40. NCBI lineage: Eukaryota > Metazoa > Chordata > Mammalia > Primates > Hominidae > Homo > Homo sapiens. The sequence continues at coordinate 2,710,158 of NT_187660.1, read as the reverse complement.
GACAGGGCTTCTTTCTTTTTTAAGGCTGATAATTTTATAGTATTCCGTTGCATGGATAGACCACATTTATTTATTCATTTATTTATTTATTTATTTACTTATTTATTTATTGAGACAATCTCACTCTGTTGCCCAGGCTGGAGTGCGGTGGCATGATCATGGCTCACTGCAGTCTGAATCTCACATTCTCAAGCGATCCTGCCGCCTCAGCCTCCTGAGTAGCTGGGACTACAGGCACATGACACCATGCCTGGATATTCGTCTTTCTGTGTAACTGGTTGAGAAACAGGGGAGTAACAGTGAAGAAACGGTCTTAGAATAAATCTGGTGACAGCAGAAGAGAATATGAGACAGATTGTGCTCACAGAGCCTTGAAGAGTGTGACAGTATTTGAGGGCCACGCTGTTGTCTTAGAGTGAAGTGAGGAGAACCTGCACTGGTTTGGTAGTCATGGGAATGGAAGGAGGAAAGAAATGTGAAAGCTCATCGGTGGCAGAGTCAAAATGGCTTGGTCTTTGTAGTCAACGATTAAGTGAGAAGGAGGAATTACTGGCTGACTTAGAAGAAGTAAAAAATGTGAAATACCGATAAAACACAAATCTCGTGATTTTAGTCAGCGTAAAGACTAAGCATTGTGTGATTCTAGATATATTATTAAGCAGTTTTGTTCCAGTATTTTATATCCCATATCTTCTAGCTATGACCCTATTTCTTTGTTTCTTGACATAGACAAACATTTTTTAAACTAAGAGCTTTATTGTGATACAGTTTTTGTATGATAAGCCTCACCCTTCAAGTGTACAGTTCAGTGGTTTTTAGTATATTCAGAGTTATGCAGCCATTACCACTCCCTAATTTCAGAACATTTTCATCTCCCCAAAAAGAACCCCGTACCCACTAGCAGTCACTCCCTGTAGCTCTCTCCCCCACCATTGATCCTGGCAACCTCTGATCTAACTTCTATCTCTGTAGATTTGCCTATCCTGGGCATTTCATATAAATAGAATCATACAACAGTGGCATTTTGTGACTGATTTTTCTTTACAGTGATTATAAATCAAATGCCTGAAGACGCTAAGCTTAGGATAGTGTTTGCTGTACAACTTTGATAACTGAACTTTTGTAAAGCTGAAAATGTGACTGTGTCTGTATATGTGGCATATTATCCTTAGATGATCCTTACTTCGATTATTAAGAATTTTTTCCCCTAGTAATCTTCAACTGTCTCAATATTCAGCAGGAACCCCTTGGAGACAAAGATCAGTACGAATTTGGAACACCTATTGACAAAATGAATGTAATTTAATTTAGTACAGTAGTAAAGTCAACCACTTTTAGGTGTTGATGCTGCTGAAAGTGTATATTAAGGAAAAGTTTACTTACCTTACTTTTTGTGGAGGTGCTAGAACTACTTCTGTCTTGTGTTTAGATTTCAAGAAACCTTTGCATGGGCATTATGTGGTTGCACAAATGTACTTCGTTTTGACCTGAAAATGCAAAAACTTCCTTTCTTCCCACTTTCTGAGACTCTGCAACCTTAAAGGAAGAGTGGGGTTCTTTAAAGGAAAGGTGGTGGTGGTTGGGTCATGGGTAACAATGTCTACTGTGTACTTCCTTTCCCAAAACAAGTCCCTGTCTACCGTCAGCATTTCCAAAACTTGAAGGTCAAGTGTGGTGTTAACTCATGAACTAATGACTAGACTTTGAGCGGTTGTGGAAGCAAAATCTCAGTGAGTGCCTGGATGTTCTAATTCTGTTAAGTCAGTGAGTGCATATTCTGTACAATACTCTCTTAGCCCAGTGGCAGGTTTAAGGAGTGGGAGAGAGATTTCTATGTTTCGGAAATCAAATACACAAAGAATAAAAATTTTTAATCCCATGAATCTTTGCCCGAGTTTAATTTCTTGGAGAGTTTTTCTTTTAGATTTTCTTTCCCTTCCATTAAACTTTTACTTAGAAAGGTCCCAGGGTTTGGGCAAAGCAAGTGGGAAAGACACTTGCTTGGGTTCTCCAGGATAAGGGATTGAAGAGGACTTCTTTCCCTCATTTTATTATTGAATAATGTCACAATAACAATTATTAAGGTGAATAGTCTACAGTGGAAGTGTTTAGATGCCTTGTCTGCAAAATAACTTGGTTTAGTCAACCCAAGGATGCCTTTGGTTAGCTGGAATGGGAGATGTGCAGGTTAGAGTGGTCTTGGCAAGTCTTCCAGGGGGAAATACAGCATTTGGAAGGGTAGGAAGCAGAAGGAATCTCAGGCAAGGGAAAGGCGTGGGCAGAGCCCCGGAGGACAGAACAGGTTGTGGTGGACTTGGTGTCCACATAGACCTAATTAGTGGTCTTAGCTTTTGTGTTTTCAAAATTACCACAGTTTGTGTTCTAAAACTGTCATTCTCTTGATTTTATTTTAGACATACTATCTGTGTATTTTGAAATTTAAAATAACAGTAAAGGAGAAACGAATTTATTTTGTTTGAGAAAGAGTTAAAAGGTTAAAACATCTTGATCTTAATAATTTTCTAAAGGGAGATTTGGTACACCCCCAGAAGTTGTCTTTGGTTCAGAGAATAGTCTTCAGATCTAGAAAGGACTTGAGAAGTCCCAGAGAGGTGCTGCATGGTCTGAACCATTTGATTCTCACGACAGAATGGATAAAAACAATTTGAACCAGGAAACCATGCAGATGTTCATATTTTGGATAGGGTAAGGTCAGTGCGGTCGTCAGAGGAAAAACTCTCGGCCATCACAGGATGGGAGAGAAAGTTTGAGTTGTGAAGAATACTCAAATGCCGTTTAAGGAAACGGGTTCTTCTGCACCTATTCTTTGGAATATTTAGGGCTAAGTTCTTAGTTTTTGACATCATAAAAATGTCAAAGTATTCTGTTCTAAGAGCCATTTCAAACAACTGACTAGAATTTCAGAGCAATTACATGAGAGTAATACCATTAAAATGTTTAAATTACCCATAGTCCTATATCCCTAACAAGTATGTTCACGCTTGCATGTTCTCTTCTCATCTTTACTGTGTGCATACTTTCTTAGTAATGGCACGTAGACATTGTTTAAGCAGGAATAATTCTCGAGATAATTTTGTATGTTTCCTTTTTTCTTTTTAAGGTAGGTATTGGGTGGAGGAGCATTATATTTGCAACTTCTCGCAAAACACGTGATTATTTTCTTATAATATTCAATTTTCACCCTCAATAGAGTGTTTTGATTATGTAAGTTAGACAGAAAGTAGAAGGTTCTCTTAGAGAAATTTTAGTGTTTTTTTTTCATAGCTCCTACTTTCAAGAATGAAAAAGGTAAACCAGTAAAATGACACTGTACTTGGTGCTGCATCTATGCTGGGATAGGCATTAAGAGTGACCTTTATTTAAGGTTCTAATTTGCTCATGTTGGGCACTTAGAACGTCAGTTTGTTGCTTTTTGTGAGATTTTGGAAATGGTCCAATTTTACTTTTTCCCCTTGACTCCAGACTTTTTAACACTGATCTGCTGCTGTTGAGGCATATGCCGTTTTGTTAGGCCTCCTCAAGTGGGAGTCAGGAATGCTGCTGTGTTCCAGAGAGGTTTTGTTCTTCCTGTAGGGCTGAAGCAGTGCCTACTCAATAGAACCAGTCATCGTGCAAAGAAATGCCACCTGACTCAAAGGCAAAGCCAGAGTGCAGCTTGGAGCAAAGAAGGTATTTTATTAAGAATTTTACATAAACCATAAGATATATTTTATATTACTTTGCGAGCCTTCTTCCTGTCTTGACTTAATTCTTTTTGAGAGAATTCATTTCATTTTCATTTGGTTGGTTTTCTTCTTGTTACAAAGATGATCTATAGAAAATATAGAAGTATAAGAAAATTAAAGATACTAACTGATAATTGCTTAATGATTTAGTATCTGCTTGTTTAGTCTTTGTTATATTTACAGTAGGCAAACATGTCTACCGTTGTGAATTTATTACTGGTATGTATACCCTAGTAAGTTAAAAGTTGTACGTACTTTGAAGTTTTGCAAAATTGAGTTCATATTATAGAATTAATTCCTGATGAACTTTTATGTGCTAGGCACTGGTCTTTTTATTTAATTATTTATTTTTACTTTTTTTTCCTCTGTGCCTATGCTTACCAAGTCTTTTTATTTTTTACTTTTTATTAACTCTTTTAATCCTCTGGATAAATTAAAAAGAGGGTATTATTAATATCTGCATTTTGTAGATGAGGTAACTGAAGGTAGGTAACTTGTCCAAGGTCACAGGTGGCAGAGCAAGGATTAAAACTAGACAGTCTGGCTGCCCAAGGCCCAACGAAGAGGAGCTGAGAGCAAGCCACCGGGCAGAAGGATGTTGGTCAGGCTGGTTTCCTGTTCAGTTAACATGAAACGCAGGCTTAACCTTAATTCTAGGACGTTACCGAGAAAGCCTTCCAAAGCCATAGGTTTTTTACCATGACCATGACTTCTTTTTTTTTTTTTTTGAGACAGAGTCTCACTGTGTAGCCCAGGCTGGAGTGCAGTGGCGCGATCTCGGTTCACTGCAGCCTACCTCTCTTGACAGTCCGCTGCTTAAAGTCATTCTCCTGCCTCAGCCTCCCGAGTAGCTGAAATTACAGGCGCCGGCCACCACGCCTGGCTAGCTTTTGTGTTTTTAGTAGAGACGGGGTTTCACCGTGTTGGCCAGGCTGGTCTTGAACTCCTGACCTCAAATGACCCACCTCTGCCTCCCAAAGTGCTGGGATTCCAGGCGTGAGCCACCGTGCCAGGACCCAAGGCCCTTAAGTTTTAACGTCTCATTCTTCAGTCAGGTTTTCCTTGTTCCTGCGTGTTCAGCCATTTGTTTTTAAGTTTGTGTTGAAGGAGAAACTAACAACGAAAATGGACTTGTTGACGGAAGAAAAGTAGGAATGCAGCCTCTGGTGCTGTTTGAGTGATCCCTCTGCCCCAGGCCTGGCTGCGCGCTGCTGTGTTCTGGAAAGGCGCATTGTGCCCTCGCTGTGGCAGGTAAGAGTCCTGTACAGGTGCTCTGCCCACTTTACCTTTCAGGCTTCTGTATCAGCTGTTTTTCCCTTGTAGAATGTGCCCCTGACCTGTGCCCCTGACTTCCACCCCTTAACCCTGCCCAATACATCTTTACATGTCTGACCATCAAGACTCTTCTGGGTCATATTCAGTTCATGCTGATATTTTCCCTTCCTCCCCTCTTTAGTCCTTACTATTTTTGCTTTGGTCATGTTATGCTATATTCTGTAAGCCTTTAAAAATTTTGTTGTATCATGGCAGGGGAGAATATTTTATAATTATGCTTTGTGCGTTTTATCTTCCACTCAATGAATGCTTGGTAAATATTTGTTTTATTGAGTATATGACCCTTTTCTAGCTATACCGTGAACAAAAATGTTAACTGCCTTGTACGTTAACTGCTAAGAATTTGTCAAAAGTGCAGAGATGACATCCAGAACTTGTCAGAATATTACAAAAAGGTCTCTAAGGGCATGATGGAGGTCTGTAAATTGACTTCATGTGAAAGAGTGTAAGAAGTGAAAATGTGAAGCATGACTGGAGAGCCGGAGTGATAAAGCAAGGGTCCCTTTCTCCAGATCCTTTGTAACAGTGTCATGTGACCTCTTCTAGATCATTCTGAAAGACAATGCCAGCTCGGAACCTAGGAAAGCATCCAGTGGGTTTCTGCATGTTAGGTGGTTCAAATCCTCATTAGCACCTTTGTTTTCTCTGCCTCAGTTTGCTTACAGTGATGTTCTCAGTAGCTGTAATTGCTGTCTGTCTTTGAATATTTAAGCATTTTTTTTTTTTAGATCACAGGGTATATGTGCATTTTTATTTTACCAAGTGTTAGAATTTTTACTCTGCCTTTGTGGGCTCTGGGTTAGCTACTTGGCTGTTTCATCGTAAAATGATTAGCAGGAAAAACTGTGTGTGTGTGTGTGTGTGTGTGTGTGTGCGCGTGTGTATTTTAAGTTTCTTAATTGGGTTGGTACATGTAAACCATTTAGAACAGTGCCTGCTGCATATCACATCCCCATCAGTATTCACGTCTCTCATATTCTACCCTCACACTTGATTGATAGTTTGCTTGATTACGTATTTCTAGGTTGAGGATAATTTTACCTTAGAATTTCAAAGTCTGTGCTGTTGTCTTCTAACCAGTCGTGGTGGCGAAGCCTCATGCCATCCTGAGTTTCACTTGTTTATGCATGACTTTCTCCCTGGAAGCTTTTAGGAGTTTGTCTTTTCCTTGGTGAGCTGAAATAGCACAACAGTGTACTTAGTGTGGGTCTTTTTTCATTCATTATGCTGGGTACACCAAATGAACAGGCCTATGGATAGGCTCTTTCAAAGTTGGAGTCTTGAATCTTGTCATATTTTTGTTGTTAACTTTCTCTTTTCCATTTTATTTGTTCATTTGGAAGTGTCTGTTAATTGGATTTTAGACCTCTTGTCTTGAGTCTTATATCTCACGTTATTTCTAAATGTTTTTTAAATTTTCAGTTCTGGAATATTTTCTTATCTTTCGACTTTCAGGAAATTTTATTTGGACTGTCATAACTTTAAGTTTTGTTTTGGTTATTTATTGTTGCTTAACCAATTATCCCAAAACCTAATGGCCTAAAACTACACATCTGTCTATCTGTCACGACTGTATGGATTACCTGGGGCTAGCTGGACAGTTTTTCTGCTGGTCTCATTTGGCAGCTCTCACTGTGTGGTTAAACAGTGTCAGGGACTGGTCATCTGGATGCTCAGCTGCAGTGGAATGTCTGAGACGGCTTCTTTACCCACAGGTCTGCTGCCTTGGTGATTCTTGATGTGGCCTTTCTCTCTGCATAGCATCTCATCCTCTCGGATCTCTTCATGTGGCTTTTCTTTCTCCAAGAAGGTAGCCAATTCTTATTTTTGGCTTCCAGAAGCACAGAAATGGAGCTGCCAGGAGTTCTTAAGGCTTAGACCTGGAACAGGTCCAGTGTCATTTCTACCACATGCTATAGGTTAAAGTGAGTGTTGGGGCCAACCCAGATTGACTATGGGATGGGCCTGTCTGAGGACATGATGACAGGAGGTATGGCTCATTGGAGACCAACTCCCAAGATGGAGCATGAGTTCTAAGAACTTTTTCTTCTCTGATTATTTCTTATTCATATTGTTTTGTTTTATACATGTAATATATTCACAAGTGTCTTTATGAAGTGATTTTGATACTCTTTGTCTTCTCCCTGGCATCTCCTTGTTCTTTAATAATTTTTTTCTTAGTTTATTTTGGTCTTATTTTTCTTTTTAAAGCCTTTCCTTAAATATCTATTCTATGTTGCTTATCATTTGTAGTCTTTTTTTTTTTTTTTTTTGAGACCCAGTTTCGCTCTTGTTGCCTAGGCTGGAGTACAATGATGTGATCTTGGCTCACCACAACCTCTGCCTCCAAGGTTCAAGCAGTTCTCCTGCCTCAGCCTCCCAAGTAGCTGGGATTACAGGCATGTGCTACCACGCCCAGCTAATTTGTGTATTTTTAGTAGAGATGGGATTTCTCCATGTTGGTCAGTCTGGTCTGGAACTCCCAACCTCAGGTGATCCACCCACCTCGGCCTCCCAAAGTGCGGGATTACAGACATGAGCCACCGTGCCTGACCTGTAGTCTTTTTTCCATTCCTTTATTTGTTCATTCATATTTGAGAGAGGTACTAAAAGACTGGGAGCCGAGGTGTGGTGGCTCACACCTATAATCTCAGTGCTTTGGGAGACCGAAGTGGGAGGATCACTTGAGCCCAGGAGCTCAAGACTAGTTTGGGCAACATAGTGAGACCCCATCTTTACAAAAAAAAAAAAATAGCTAGGTGTGGTGACACCCATCTGCAGTCCCAGCTACTTGGGAGGCTGAGGCAGGAGGATTGCTTGAGCCCAGGAGGTTGAGGCTGCAGTGAGCTCTGATCATGCCACTGCATTCCTGCATTCCAACCTGGGCGAAAGAGCAAGACCCTGTCTCAAAATAAATAAATAAATAAATAAAAATAAAAATAAATAAAAATTGATTGGGAGTTCTTTGTGGCCAAGACTTGTCAACTGATAGCTTTAAGGGGAATGTATGCTGATTCCTAATTGTTATCCTCCATCCCTCTATCTTATCTCCTGTTGCAATCATAAATGATGGCTGGATGACTACTCCATTCCTCTGGATGTAAAATCTACATTCTCTTGCCTGAGGTGGATACGTTTGCTTGGGTTCTGTTTAAGGAGATGGGGCCAGCAGTGTGTTTCAGGGCCTGTGAAATGTGTTCTCTATCCGGGCTTTTGCTTAATCTCTGTTTTCAGTCTTGCCTATCAGTCCCACTGTCGGGGGTACCTCGTGTCTGAGTCTAGAACCTTTCCAGGTTGCTGTGGGACAGATTAGCCTCCTTGTTCTCAGTATCCCCCTGACCTCCACCTTTGTTGCTTTGCTCCATGAATTAACCATTTTCCATGTACTGTCATTGTCTAATGAAGATGAATTCTCTTCTGTTGGTAACCCCATTCCTTTTTTGTAATGGTGTGCTTATACAATGTTTATTCTTCACTGTATTTCTATTGGAGCCTCAGGACAAAGAGCAGATGGTGAGAATCTGTGTTCAGTGTTAAGTTTTCCTTCTGTAAGACATGTGCAACTTGTGTTTTTCACTGAATAGATCATGGACTTAATGCATATAGAGCTACTTTGTTTTTCATGATTGTGCCTTCAATTATATGTAGAAATATAATTTGTGAATTGCCTGATGAAATTTTCCTAATTTTGAATTATCTTTGCATTCCTATAATAAACACTGTTGGAATGGCTATGGTAATATTTTATTTTTGCATTTTTACTTCTGTATTAAATAAGATTATAGTTTTGTTTGTTTCCTTTAAGGCTGTTATTTCAGTATCAAGGGTATGCAGGGCTGAGTTGGGAAGCTTTACATCTTTTTTCTAAGATCTAGGATGTAGATCTGGTTTACACAGTAATTTTCAACTGCAGGAGTATTTTGCCTCCTATGGGACGTTTGGAAATATCTGGAGACATTTTTGTGGTCACAACTGGTCATGGTCGGGAGGTCTCATTGGCATTCTGTGGGTAGAGGGAATGTTACTAAATGCCCGACAACACACCAAGAGAACCCTCCACAAAGAATTATCTGGCCCAATATATCAATATTGCTGAGGATGACAAATTCTGGTTTAAATATCCAATTTGGAGGATGAGTCTTTGTCTTTTTCCTTCTTCTGCATATTGGTCTCCAGATTTCCCACTTCTTCAGTTACTTTTCGTAACTGTAGGTTCTTAAAAAAAAAATGAACACTTTGGATGGGTGCGATGGCTCATGTCTGTAATCCCAGCACTTTGGGAGGCCGAGGCAGGTGGATCACGAGGTCAGGAGATAGAGACCATCCTGGCTAACATGGTGAAACCCTGTCTCTACTAAGCCAAAATACAAAAAATTAGCCAGGCGTGGTGGCGGGCGCTTGTAGTCCCAGCTACTCGGGAGGTTGAGGCAGGAGAATGTTGTGAACCCGGGAGGCGGAGCTTGCAGTGAGCCAAGATCACGCCACTGCACTCCAGCGTGGGTGACAGAGCGAGACTCCGTCTCAAAAAAAAAAAAAAAAAAAATGAACATGTCATCCATACTTCTAAGGTGTTGTAAAGATGTGTAAAGTTTTCACTTTTTGCATCATATTCACATGTGGCTATATGCCCTTTTCTCTTCAAAGTTTTCTTTATCTTGATTACTTATCAGAGGCTTGACTGTTTTATTATCTCAGTCTTTTGAAAGAATCCTCCTTTAGTTTTATTTTTTAAATCTAGTGGTTTTTCTTTTTCCTTAGGTCTTAATTATTTCCCCCTTTTTGTTTGTTTTGCTTTTCCTAGTTTAGTGGATCAATGTAATTTAAATTGCTTTTTAAACAAACGTGTAAGGGTATACATTTTCGTTGGCTGCTGTTTGACTTCGTTGCACAAGTTTTAAAATCTATTTTTTAATAGTTTGTATTTTCTAAATTATTTTATTGCATCTTTTGTTCACATTGCTCTTACTATTAATTTTTTATTTTAATTAATTAATTAATTAATTAATTAATTGAGATGGAGTCTTGCTCTGTAGCCCAGGCTGGAGTGCAGTGGCATGATCTTGGCTCACTGCAAGCTCCACCTCGGGGGTTCATGTCATTCTCCTGCCTCAGCCTCCCAAGTAGCTGAGACTACAGCTGCCTGCCACCACATCCGGCCTTTTTTGTATTTTTAGTAGAGATGGGGTTTCACCGTGTTAGCCAGGATGGTCTCGATCTCCTGACCTCATGATCCACCCACCTTGGGCTCTCAAAGTCCTGGAATTACAGGCATGAGCCACTGCACCCAGCCCAAAAGCTTTGTGCTTTTACAGATATTAGACATGTTTCTTGTTTAAGAAAAAAAATCTTAACGAAAACGTAGGAGAATAAGAGAAACATTTTTCCAAAAAAGAGAAATCATTGTGATTATTTTATCTTATTAGAATGTTGGATAATATAGTCTGCTTCATTAATCATCAAGCATGCTATGCATTTTCCATTTTTATAGGATCTGTATCTCAGTTAAGGTAATACTGGTAATTTTTGTACTGTAATCAAAGATGAAAAATATAGGCCAAAATCATAGACCTTGCATAGAAGCTGGATAATGAAGACAGCTATGGAGAAAAACATAGATACACACACATGGACACACATATATATAAAGTATACACACATATATTTTTTAAAGTTTTAAAGCTTTTAAAGCAAAAGCCAGCCCCTCTTCTCTTCCAGAGTGGGAGGCCTCTCCCCTCTCTTAGAGTGGGTGGGGAGAGCGGTTGCCATGGGCAGCTTTCCTTGTGAGCCGCAGGGCCCTCTGGACACGCTGCTGTCTGGCCACGCCCCCTTTCCCTTTCATCTTTCTCATTGACCAATGGGCTTGGAGCATTAAGGCCACGCCCCTATTCCGCATTCTACTGGGGCCCTGGTTACGCCTCCTCTGGCTCAGTCACACAGCTGCCTGGTAGGTGACTGGAGGCCTTGAACGGTTCTTATTGGGATTTTGCTGCTGTGGCCCCAACCCTTCCTCCCTCCCCACCCTGCAATGGCAGAAGAAACTCAACACAACAAATTGGCTGCAGCCAAGAAAAAGGTAAAAACGCACTAGGTCATAGCCCCTCAACCCAGCCACAGATCCCCTCTGATGACAAGACCCCTGCCAGAGTCTATATGACTCCTGAGGCACACTGGACTGGTCCCCCCAACCCCGGTGCCTTGGGCTACCCCCACCAAAGTTTTGTCAGTCAGCCCCACCCCTTCAGCAAGCAGCCCAGTCCTTGCCCTCGCCAATCACCCCAGGGTGACTTTGGGTGGGTGACTCCTGGGGCTTCCCGCTCCATTACTGGGCCCTCATCTCCTGCCGCCCCAAGCTTGATCTCCGTGGGCTCTTTGGGCTCTCATCTCCAAGGAGCCAGGCCCCACCCTCGCCAGTCATCCTTGGGTGACTTTGGGCTGGTGACTCCTGGGACTCCCTGCTGCAGACTGTGCCCTCCCCTCCTGCTGCCTCAAGGTCGACCTCCCTGGGTTCTTTGTGCTGGCGTCTCCAAGGAGCTGGGTCCCAACCCTGTGCTTCCCTCCCCCATCGTGGAGCAGCGACTTGGACATGGTGCTGACATGGTCCCTCCCCCCGACGAGGAGGAGTGGAATGTTGTGATGTCACAGTCCACCTAGTAACTGCCGTTACTGCAAGACTGGCCTTTGACCTTACGACCCAGTCCCCTAAGCGTTCTCACCCCGTTTCTGGTTCCTCTGGTCACAGCACAAATTTCCAGCTGGAAGGGGAATGGAGACTATGGGACCTAGGAGCAAGAGGTTCCAGGCTGCCTCACTCCCTTACAGATGTTGACGGTGGGAAAAGCCTACACTTCCCCCATGAACTCAAAACGTTGACAGTATCTCTGGGTGGCAATGAGAGAATGGGTTTGATTTGGTTTTCTCCCAGGCTTCTACTTTCCAGAGAGATTTTAACATTTTTTTCTGAGTTCTCCACCTCATATTCTAATTCTCCATGGTTCTGGGACCAGACTCTCCTTCAGTCAGTGGTCTCTGAAGTGAGATTTGCTCATCTTCTGTGGAATAGATCTTGGGAAACTGAACTTGACACCTTGAATCTTCCTCATATTATCTCAACCTTGGGTACTTTGAGTGCCACAGGATAAATGTGGGACATCTTTCTGAAGCATCAGTTTCCCTTGATTCTCTTGAGATCAAGAGAAAAAACATGAATGTACTTAGGGAGGACAGTCACATAGGTTTCTAAGAGTATACCAGACCTCTCTCTGAAATGAGGCTTGGGTTGTCCTCTTTCTGATAAATTCTGATTTAAGAGAAAGGCTGCCTTCTGCCATGAGGACACATTGATATAAAAGTTTGAGAGGTACTGGTGCACTTCTTCACACTAACAGACGTGTGAGGATGTATGACTAAACCACATGGCATACAGTTCCTGCCTACTTAATGTTTACTTTTCTACCTCTGCCTCTGGTTTTGGTCCCTGGCAGCTGCTGATTCTTGGCAAAACCTCAGAGCTTGGAGTCAGAAGACTGAGTCTCAAAGTTCCAGTATTGCCTTTTTCTTTTTTTTTTCTAGCCATGATATCAATCCTTCTCAGTCACTAAATGAGTGTGACAACACCTTGTACAGTTGTTGGTGTCATTAAATCAGATGGTGTGTAAGTGTATTTTGTAAAAACTGTAAAGGAGGTTGTGGCTGTAGGGGCTGACGGTTCTCATGAATATTACTGCTCTTCTTTCCAACAGTTAAAAGAATATTGGCAGAAAAACAGACCTAGAGTTCCAGCAGGAGTGAACAGGAACAGGAAAACAAATGGCAGTATCCCTGAGACAGCCACTTCCGGTGGTTGCCAGCCACCTAGGGATGTGAGTCTTGGCTGACCAGGCTTCTGGGGACAGGGGGCCCAAGGGGCAATAGAGGGTAATTCTTAAGATTGTGGATGGACTGCTGGGTACTGGTTAAGAATTCTGGCTTTAGCCGGGTGTGGTGGCCCACGCCTGTAATCCTAGCACATTGGGAGGCCAAGACAGGCGGATCATGAGGTCAGGAGATCGAGACCATCCTGGTTAACACGGTGAAACCCTGTCTCTACTAAAAATACAAAAACATTAGCCACGCGTGGTGGCGTGTGCCTGTAGTCCCAGCTACTCAGAAGGCTGAGGCAAGAGAATGGTGTGAACCTGGGAGGTGGAGCTTGCAGTGGCCAAGATTATGCCACCGCACTCCAGCCTGGTGACAGAGCAAGACTCTGTCTCAAAAAAAAAAAAAGGAATTCTGGGTTTGAATCCTGCCTCTCCATCTGCTCTGCTAGGGATATGATTTAGGGCAAGTTGCTTGACCTCATGGGGCCTCTCTTTTCACATCTGTATAATAGAGGTGTTATTGTTTCACTTCCATTTGTGAAGTTTAAATGAGATTTGTTATTGTTGTTTTTATGTTAATCCCTAGTACATGGCCTGCTGTAAACACTCAGGACACCCAGGATATGGTTTGATTTTCCTCATCCCCAGTCTCAAGGGGAAACCAGGACAAAGAGAACAGCCACTTGCCATCAGGAGTCACTGAAGGGGCCCCAGGATGGGATGGTGGGGAGATAAGAACCATGAGAGAAGTTGGCACAAAGGAGTTATGGGACAAAAGGTCCAAGATAGGCAGAAAAGAAAATGTTGCCAGTTGATAGGGAAGAAAGGAAGTCAGAGGGCTCAGACACTGTGGGGGACAGAACATCTCCATGTGCACTCTCATCTCTTGTAGTCAGCAACAGGTTTCCACAGGGAAGGCCCTACATCATCTGCTACCCTGAAAGATCTGGAGGTAAGAGGCTCTGGGTGGAGGTGCAGTGACCCTTCGGGTCAACCCTCCAACCTCCTCCTCCAGGTGGGACTGGGTGCCCCTCTGCCAGCTGAGACAGCCCACACACCCCAGCCCTAACGATCGTTCTCTCTACCTCTCCCCCCACTCCTGCTCCACCTCCTCCTCTCTGCATGCACCTCAGAGCCCGTGCCAAGAACGAGCAGTAGTCCTGGATTCAACGTCCGTAAAAATCAGTCGACTGAAGAACACCATCAAATCTTTGGTAAGAGTCCGGTGGGGTCCCCTGATTCCACACTGCCAATCCTGGGCTCCAGTTTCCCCTTGGGGCCCTGAAGAAAGGGGCTGGGGGTCCCTGGTGCCCGGGACAAATAGGGAGCTTGGGTGCCCAGGCCTCACCTGGAGGGACCCCAGAGCATGCAGCATGGCTCTTCTTTTGCTGCCCTCTTTGCCGACTCTCTCCTCTCCAGACACCCCTGCTCGAGTCCTTGCTACACACGCCCTGGGGTTGTTGCCTCTTGGGGAAGTGCTAGCCTGACTGGTTGTCAAGGGCCCCGTATTTCTGCCATGACTCAGTCCCTAATTTGCTCTTTGATTCTGGACAAGCCACCTCTCCTTTTTGGGCTCGTGTTTCCAGAGGAGGTAGTGAGTATCAAAGGTCTCTGTTAGCTCTCGAGTCTGAGATTTAAAGGCCCCCGGGAATGGAAACCTCAGGGCTAAGGGCTCCTGTCTGTCCTTTTCCATCCTATATCTGCTGTGAAGAACCGTACCTGGCCCATACGTGCTCAGTAAGTGTTTATTGAATGAACCCACTTTTCTAAATCACAAGCTGCCAGAAGGAGGGGCCTTTCTGAAACTCCATCTCTAGAGGTTTATGTTGCTGTCCTCTCAAGAGATTCCAGATTCAGACTGAGTTCTGTGGCTGTGGGCAAAAGCCAACAAAGACCCAAATCCTCTGTCCTTGGGAGCTTGAGGAGAGTTTACCGGTTCGTGTTCCCATTATGTCTGAGAACTCTGCCTTTAAAATCCATTCCTGGCCCCTGCCTACCGCTTCCTGATCTGGGGAATAGAGTTGAGGGGGCCACCCTCCATCACCTTATTTGACTCTCCCCACAGAAACAACAGAAGAAACAAGTGGAACATCAGCTGGAAGAAGTAACGTGATTTCGTTTCCTCGCGACATGACTGCTGGGTTTGGGGGGCACTCAGACATAGAGGCCCCAGTCTCGTCTCACCCACTCCCAGCCTGGGGAAGAAGGCTCACCCCTCAGATTCCACCCCATCCCCACAGGGCCCCTGATAACCTGGTCCCATGGGTGGGCCTGTCCTGGGGCATTGGTGGCATTCTGGGGGCATGTCTCTTGCTGTGCCATCTCTGCCTCCCCCTGGTAAGAGCTCTGTCTTCCTCTTCCTACAGGAAAAGAAAGCAAACAACGAGAGACAGAAAGCCGAAAGGGAGCTAGAGGTGAGTGGAGGGTGTGCAGTTTCCTCCTGTCCTCCGGAGAATGTTTCTTTCCTTCTCTTTCAGCACTTGCTTGGCTTTTCTCCCAAAGGTTCAAATCCAGACATTGATCATACAGAAAGAGGAACTAAATACGGACCTGTACCACATGGAACGTTCTCTCAGATACTTTGAAGGTGGGAATCTGGGCACCCTGTCATCCTTCAACCTGGCACTTTGACAGGTCTTCAGGGGGAGTCCTTTGGGCCCCATCTCAACTCTCTCATTACAGAAGAGTCCAAGGACCTGGCTGTCCGCCTGCAACATTCATTGCAGTGTAAAGGAGAGTTAGAGAGGGCTCTGTCTGCTGTCATCGCCACAGAGAAGAAGAAGGCAAACCAGGTGAGTCCAGCCACCTGCCCCATCCCCTGGGAGCCTGGTTTTGCAGATGGAGGAGTGAGCCTAAAGGTCCCTTCTGCAGGATGGCGTGTCCTGCCCAGAAGGCAGCATGGCCATTTCTTGCTACTTTTTTGTATGGTTTTTAGTGGCAGCCTGGGGCCGAGTCAGCTGCTGTGGGTGAGTTGGGGGGTACTGTGGGGAGTGAGCACTGGACGCAGAGCTTGGAGGCCAAGTGCCTGCCCCGCCCTTACCTGGCTGTGGTCTTGGGCAAGTCCTAGGTGGGGTATTGGGTACTTGTACTGTGAAGGTACAGAAGAGTACCTTTAGTATGTTACCATTTCTGTAGAAAGAGGAAACGCGTGCATGTGTGTGTGTGTGTGTGTGTGTGTGTGTACATACTGTGATAATATACATAAAACATGTCTGCAAGCGTTCATAAAAAATTCAGGAGAGAGAACAAGATGGCTGGGAGATACTTCCCTTCTGTACCTTCTGAGTTTTGGACTATGTGAATGTATCATCCTTTCAAAAAGTGAAGAAAAGATTAATTTTCCCCTTCCTATCTGTGCCCCCATCCCCAGCAAGAAAAATGGGCTTAGAGAATTGGATAGACCTGGGTGTTTATATCCCAGCTCTGCCTAAGTGAACTTAGGCAAGCACTTAACCTCAAATACTCCATGTTTTTTCATCTCCACAATAGAGGGAATCATAGTAACTGTCTCCTATGGTGGTTGCGAGGATTAAATGGGATTGTTAGCACGGTACCTGGTGAAGCATTCCACAAAGGTTCAAACAGTGGTAATAATGACAATAATAACAATAGCAATATTATCTGATCTCTCTGGGCCTCTGTTAGCCAGCTATAAACTCAGTCTCATTCCCTGTCCGTTCCAACTTTACTGTGTTCTTTTAAAAACCAGACCACGGGCTGGGAAATGCCTTGATCTTTACTGACCGAGTTGTATATTGGGCCTAGCCCTAGCCCTGTTAAGGGGCACTGTGTGGAAATGCCCAGGCTCTCCAGATTGAAACTTCTAACTCTTCACCATCCAGTTGTCCAGCTGCAGCAAAGCACATACAGAGTGGGAGTTAGAGCAGTCCCTACAGGACCAGGCACTGCTGAAAGCGCAGCTGACACAGGTGAGGTTTTCCGAGGGAGGGATGTGGAAGGACGATGACCCCAGGTGGCCAGGAGCAGGTGAGGACCAGTGACAGCCCTTCCTAACTTCTGTGCCCATTCTTGCAGTTGAAGGAGTCATTTCAACAACTCCAATTAGAAAGAGATGAGTGTGCTGAACATATAGAAGGAGAGAGGGCCCGGTGGCATCAGAGGATGAGTAAAATGTCGCAGGAGGTGAGATCTGACCCTTCAGCCCCCCCACATTAGATAGGTCACTGGATCTTTCTGGGCATCTGTAAAATGGGAATAGTAGAGCCAGAGGTGGTCATGGGTCTGGGCTTTGTGGAGGTGGGGGCAGAGAGGGAGAGGGCAGCCTGTCCAGCCACCAGCCCCTCTCTCCAGGGCCCTTTCCCCCTGTGCTTTGGGCAGATTTGCACATTAAAGAAAGAGAAGCAGGATATGCGTTGGGTAGAGCAGCTGGAGTGGAGCTTGTCCAAACTCAAAAACCAGACGGGTAAGATGGGGCTGGCATGACCTGGGAGCAGGACTGGCATCAGAGGGCTGTGAGGGTGGCTTAGAGTGCCCCAGGGAGGTGGGTGGATGGAAGGGCTTTGAGGCAGAGGGAAAGAGATCTGTGCCAGGAGACCGCAAGTCTTGTCATCTCAGTGAGTCTCAGTGTCTCAGTGTCCCCATCAGCAAAGAGGGCCCGTTGTCAGCCACCCGCAGTGCTCTTTCTCTGAAAGTGCTTTGGAAGACTGGCTACCATCTGGGTGCGAGGAATCATTAGCAGTGAGGCCAAGTTTGAGGAGCCTGAGAGGAGCTGTGCGCCAAGAGGAGGGTTTTTCTTTTCCAAGAATCCAGAGGCCCTTATTATCTGCTTCCTTTCTCAGCTGAACCCTTGCCCCCGGAGCCCCCAGCAGTGCCCTCTGAGGTGGAGCTGCAGCACCTGAGGAAGGAACTAGAGAGAGTGGCAGGAGAGCTCCAGGCCCAGGTCAAAAACAATCAGCACATAAGTCTCCTGAACCGGCGACAAGAAGAGAGGATTCGGGAACAGGAAGAGAGGCTTCGGAAGCAGGAGGAGAGGCTTCAGGAGCAGCACGAGAAGCTTCGGCAGCTGGCCAAGCCACAGAGCGTCTTCGAGGAGCTGGTGCGTTGCCCCAACTGGGGAGCCTGCCCTCCTCCCTAGCCCTCCGGGCCTTTGTTTCCCCACCTCTAAAATGGGGCAGTGTAGCCCTCGCGTGAAAGGTTACTTCTAAAGGCACCTGTGAGCCAGGTGGCTGTGGGAGAGAGGGGGTGATTTTTCTAACCTGCCTCCAGCCTTCCCAGTGCCATGGGAGGCAGACACCAAGTTCTGGGGTCTCCAGCTGCAGTGGGTGGCTGCTGATTGCTTCTCTCTGTCCAGAACAATGAGAACAAGAGCACACTGCAGTTGGAGCAGCAAGTAAAGGAGCTACAGGAGAAGCTTGGCGAGGTGAAGGAGACGGAAACCTCCACCCCATCCAAGAAGGGCTGGGAGGCGGGCAGCAGCCTCTTGGGAGGGGAGGTGCCAGGTCAGAGGCAGCTTCCAGCCTGGGGGCTGGTGACCACAGCACCCCCCAGGGCAGTCCTGCGACTGTTTCTCGCTTCCTGCCTCTGACTTTTAAAGGTGGGTAGCCCTGGGCTCCTCTCAGGTCTGGACATCATCATCCCAGCTAGAGGCATGGAGCCCCCAATCACAGGGGAAGAGACAGTGCTATAACAGGCTCCTTATACCAGGTGCAGTGGCTCATGCCTATAATCCCAGCACTTTGGGAGGCTGAGGCAGAAGAATCACTTGAGGTCGGGAGTTTGAGATCAACCTGGCCAATGTGGTAAAACCTCATCTCTACTAAAATTTAAAAAAAAAAAATTAGCAGGGCATTGTGGCGCATGCCTGTAATTCCACCTACTCGGGAGGCTGAGGCACGAGAATTGCTTCAACCCAGGAGGTGGAGGTTGCAGTGAGCTGAGATTGCACCACTGCACTCCAGCCTGGGCCACAGAGTGACACTCTTGTCTGAAAACAAAACAAAAAGACTCCTTAGATTGAAACTGGATTCCAGCCTCGGTTCCACTGGTCACCGTTCAAGTACTTTGCATCTCTAAGTCTCTGTTTCTTTAACTTCAAAGGGAAGTTAGCATTTTCCTTACAGAGGTGCTGAGGATTAAATGAGAAGAGGGTATGAGATTTGAGGCTGGGGAAGGAGGCATGGGGTTCTAGGAAAGGGAGGCAGTCACTTAGGCCTGGAGTAAGGGGACAGGGGCCTGGGTAGCTGACAGAGCCCCACAGTGCCCTCGCTACCCTATTAATGGGCCCAGAATCTGGAAACCAGCCACCACGTGCCCTCACACCCAGGGTCTTCCTGCAGGTGGAGCTGAAGAGCCAAGAGGCTCAGAGTCTGCAGCAGCAGCCAGACCATTACCTGGGTCACCTGCAGCAGTACGTGGCCACCTATCAGCAGCAGGTGGCCGCCTATCAGCAGCTGACCTGTGAGAAGGAGGCGCTGTACAGGCAGTGACTGCAACAGACCCAGCTAATGAACCAGCTGCAGCAGTAGGAAGCTTGGGGCAAAGCAGTGGCCGAGATGGCCTGCCAAAAGTTGCAGGAGACCCAGGGGAGGGAGCTGCCGAGGATGGGGCTGTGAGGGGGACGACCTGGCAAACTCCATCCCTTCTCACTCTTTCCTGGCCCCTTAGGAGCACCTGGAAGCGGCCAGCCAGCAGAACCAGCAGCTAACGGCCCAGCTGAGCCTCATGGCTCTCCCTGGGGAAGGTACGGGAGACCGCTCAGAGGAAGAGGAGAGAGCCCCAGGAGGAAGGGGGGACTGCTAGCAGCATAGGATTGAGGAGTTGGAAGAGACCTTTAGAACAGCTGGTCATTATGCCGACCGGGTGCCTGCACTAAGTTCGGCATCAGTGTGGTGACCTCCTGTGAGCGGGCGGTCACCAAGTTGCCTAAGGGTGGCTGAACTGGCCAAGGTCAGAAAGGGAGCAGGTCAGAACTCCCACATCGACCAGTAGTGGGAGTGTGCCTGGGCGGAATAGCAAGATCTTGATTCTTAAAAGTAAAAATAAAGAACAACAGCTCATTCCTCTCTGGGGAGGGGCTGGCTCAGGGTTACACAGTGAGGGTGGAGGTAGAGGTGGGCCCACAGTACCTCCCTTGTTGGGTTGTCTGAAGACCCCTCTGGCCACCCCCCACAGGACACGGAGGAGAACATCTGGACAGTGAGGGGGAGGAGGCACCTCAGCCCATGCCGAGTGTCCCAGAGGACCCGGAGAGCAGGGAGGCCATGGTGAGCCTGACTCCCCCCTGCACCCATTTTGCCACCTTTCTCTGTGGTCCCTCCAAGACCCCTTTATGCTCTTCGTTTCCCTGCCTTCTGATTTCTCTGGACCCTCACCCCTTCCGAGAGCCAGTGGTCAGACACCATTTCACCTGTGGCCAACAGGTGCACTCTCTGAGGCCCCAAGGGAAGGGGCTGCGCTCCACCTCTCTGCCCCATTTCTTCTGTGTATGCCCCTAGAAGAATGCTCACATCTTGCCCTCAGGTGGCATTTTTCAAGTCCGCTGGAGCTAGTGCCCAGGAGAAGCAGGCACAGTTACAAGAGCAGGTGAAAGAGCAGAGGGTGTGCTGCCAGCGCCTGGCTCACCCGGTGGCCTCGGCCCAGAAGGAGCCAGAGGCAGCCAGAGGCCCTGGAGCCCCAGGGCCTGGGGGCGAGTCTGTGAGTGGGGAGACCCACTGGGCCCTGCAGGAAGTCACGGAGAAGCTGGCCCATGCCAGGACTCACCTCCGCCTTCTCCATGACTTGAAAATGCCACCTGAGGGCAGGTCGCTGCCGAGATGTGACTGCAATATTTTGGCTCCAGAGCAGCTTTATGGACCACCTGGAGGAGAAGGCAGACCTGAGTGAGCTGGTGAAAAAACAAGAACTTCGCTTCATTCAATACTGGCAAGAGAGATGCCATCAGTGAGTGGGAGGCCAGGGCACGGCAGGGGGAGCTACAGGGCCATCAGAGGGGCCCCAGAATCTGAGCCCTGTCCTCCCGCAGGAAAATCCATCACCTTTTATCAGAACCAGGGGGCCGTGCCAAAGATGCAGCACTGGGAGGAGGACACCATCAGGCTGGAGCTCAGGGAGGAGATGAAGGTAGGGTGTGCAACATCTCTGTGGGGGTGGGGGTGGGGGTGGGTGTGAGGGTGGGCGCAGGCAGCGGCATGGCAGCTGAGCACCCCTCCCTCCAGGTGAAGCTGCTGGAGCTGCAGCAGATGGTATTGCGGCTTACAGCAACTACAACAATGGGCACAGAAAATTCCTGGCCGCTGCCCACAACTCTGCTGATGAGCCCGGTCCAGGAGCCCCAGCCCCCCAGGTGCTTGGGGCTGCAGACAAGCATGGTGGTGAGTAGAGCCCTCAGGTGGGGTGGGTAGGCAGGAAGAGGGGGGCTCCCACTGTGCTCAGATCCCCGCCTCCCTCTCTCCAAAGATCTTCGTGAGGTGACCCTCACCTCCTCTGCCCAAGGAGAGGCCAGGGAGGATCCTCTCCTTGACAAGCCTACTGCACAGCCGATCGTGCAGGACCACCAGGAGCACCCAGGCTTGGGCAGCAACTGCTGTGTGCCATTATTTTGTTGGGCTTGGCTGCCAAGAAGAAGGAGATAAACATCACCATCATCAAACAGCTGCTCAAGAAATTTTTAAATAAGAAACCAAGTTATGGGGTTAATCTCCTACACAATTCATTTACTTCCTTTGAATGTTAGACTCACTCATGATTATTTGTGTTTCTAATTTATAGTTTAAGTTTATTTGTAAAAAGTTAAAAGAGAGTGGGTGTCTGTGGCTCTCACTGATGTTCACTCTGGCATCCTTTAGCATTTTTCTTTTTTAATTTCATAATTGTAGGTCATTAGCATGCATATCGAGTTTGCCCTTACGTGGTGGGAGTTCAAACACACAAAGACCCACTCTTTGCCCAAAACTGTTCTCTTTGGTTTGGAATAGGCTGCCATGCTTTTTTAATGTTATTGCAGCATGTATATTCACTACAGCATTCAGACAAAATTTGCCTATGTTCTGCTGTTGTTTGATCTAATCTTAATCACAGTGAGCTCTTCCTTAGCTCAATATGTAGTTTGCCCCCAAGTGTGCACTGTTTATTACTTTGTAATACGCCACTATGAGTACTGACATTTAGAGTTGTTTAAAGGCCAAGAATTGGAAACAGCCTTTCCTCCATTTTCTGTGTATTGGTGATGGGAGTGATAACCTTTTGGGGGAGCTTTTTAAATCTCACAGAAGAGGAAAGTGGCCTCCTCTGGCAGGTACGTGCAGGATAGAGTGTGTTTCATCTGTTCCGGTGCCAGGAATTAGCAGTGTATTATGGTGGTTCCCTTAGGATTTGTATGTGCTCTGGGCTCATGAAGATACTGCATCATGAGCTGCAGCAGTTGCACTCTTTTTCGATGACCTAAAAAGGGCTTATTTCTGAGGAATGAAAGGTTCCCATCGTTGACTGTGGATGTGGAAAACCTTTCCTAGCTTAGAGCATTTGTATCTACAATACATTTTAAAGTCAGAGTTCATGTTACCTGTTTTAATCACATGACTACATGCCCCAGTACACAAAAGGGCACTGGTTGGCATTCTTCTTAATGTATTTAGTGAAGATCATAAGAAATCCTTTACGAGTTCAAATGTCCCTGGAACAGGCATACAGGCTCTAGTCAAGAATGAATTAGAGTGAAGGAAAGCTGTGTGACTCCTGGCATTCCTCTCTGTTCACGGAGATTCTTTGAGGCTTGAAGATTGATTTTACCATCTAGACCTCTTTGGCTAATACCTATTCTTCAACCACCTTGGTTACTCTGACATAGGAATTTACTTCTTTTTCTTTGAATGGAAAACACTTTAAAAAAAATAGAAACATTCTTATAAACTAATATATGTGAGATAGTTGAAACAAAAAGGAGTTTTAGTAGATGGTATTATACTGTCTTTGAAAATCAAGGAGAAGTTTATGAAACTTAAAATGTGTACAAACTGCAGTGCAATCTACTGTTGTTCGTGAATGTCAATGTATTATCAGGAAACGTGTCTATACAACCACAGAGTTATATTTTCTCACAAACTTCTTTACAAAGTGAAATATGTTTTTGTACCTCTGGGTTTCTGTTCGGGACATATTTTGTGCAATATTTATGTGATTGTGCCTATGCATGATGAATGAATGCATTTCAGTTATGTATTGCCTAAATCGTAACTTGATGATGCTTGGGAAAGACTCAACAGTTAAAACTTCATGAAGTTCTAATGTCTGTGTTCCAAAACACATCACATTGTTAGGATGCAGGGAGATAGGTGTGTGTGCTCCCTGCGGTGGGGATTTCTAGTTACTAGATCATCTCCATTTTTAGCATTTGGCATCCTCATGATACTTCTATAAATATAACATTAACAGGAGAGCAACAATACGATTTTACCGATGGAATAACAGATTTGCTGGCATTCACTGAAAGAGAGCAAATATTCGGTCCTTGTGACTTCCACTGACTCTTCCAAATTTTATGAATGTATCAATGTATTAGATAAACCCAGTTTCAGAATGATAAAGAAAAAATCTTAGACCAAATAATGCGGCTAATTAACAGTGGTACGATTTGTAGCCCGTGGGTTTAAAATGCACTTAAAGTCCTGTTCTCGCCTTTTATTTTCTGAACTTGCCGCTTTTGCATTCTTTGAGTTCAGTTTAAAGACAGTTACTTTAAGAGCATTTTAAACCCTCGGGCTAGAAATCGGACCACTGTTAATCAGCCACATTATTTGGTCTAACGTTTTTTCTTTTATCATTCTGAAACTGGGTTTATCTAATACATTGATAAATTATTGCAAAGGTACTTTTATCGTTGAAATCACTTCACTTTTACCCTGATAAATATCAGTGACTAGGAATGACCTTCGGATAGCGTTTAGCATCTGTAACCAATCTGACAATAATGTGTTCATGAGGTGCCTATGGATTAAATCACACACTGGCATATTTAAGCTGAAGGTCAGTCTGGAAAATAAATTTACTATATTGACTGAAATACCACTCTTTGTGTAGGTATTTGTCATATATTTAAGAAAAAGCTAAAAAGAATGGAAATTGTATGACAATAACTCAAGTCTTTCTCCAAAGTGCATGCAGTCTTTTGCGATACCTCATTCAGCCGAGTATTTGTGCTCTTCCTCATTCAGTATAAGGCAGCTTTCAGTTTGCTTAGAAGGCAACATTGGAATGTTAGAGTTCATCAGAAACATAGAATTTTAAACTGTGAGTTCCACTGAATACATTTTAATGTCTGTAGGAAGAATCAAAACACCTATTTAAAGATGGCAATGTATAATAATCATTTTAAAAGTATTTGATTAAACCTGATAATTTTCCAGAAATGAAAAAAAAAATCAGCTCTAAAACCAAAGCTGATTTTAGAAAATTTGAAAATGTAAATCAGCCCTATCCATAATATAGTTTCTCTAAAACTTTATTTTAAAGAGTCATTTTAAAATAATATAACTATTAAAAAATGTAACTGCTATCTTAATGTTCTGAAATAATTTAAAACATTTTAAAATATGAATACTGTAGTATAAAAGAAAGAAATGGTGGGAACGAAAAGCAGAGAAAGAAATGCCAATTCCAGTCCAAAGTTTTATTTGCCAAGTTTTCTTAGAATGAATTTTACCAGTTTATGAATTATTGTAAACAGAATGTGTCGTGGAAATACTGAAAGATTTTTCCCTAGAGTGGCCTTATTGACTGCTGGTGTGATGCCACTGTAATGTAATAAATTATTAAATTGTTTCTAAGTGTTGTTTTTGTCTTAAAATTTTATTTTGCGTTTCTTGAAAACTATAGTATTAAAGGTATTGATACTGTGCAAATGCTGGGCATGCTTGGCATGAGATAATGTGTTTCATTTTTACAAAGTTGTAATATAACTATGCAAGTGTTTCTTAAAAGAACACAAGATTTTAAAAGTTATGGGATTAAAAAAGTTATGGGGTGAAAAAGTTATGGGATAAAAAATGTAAAAACGTTGTGGCAAAAAAACTTGTGGGAACAAAGTAGAAAACAGTATTATGAAAAGTTACCAAAAAAAGTTATGAAAAAGAAGTTACGGGATTCTTTTTTAAAAAGTCATGGAATAAAAATAAAAATTAAAAGCAGGCCCCTGTCAGCAAAGCCTGGAAAAGTGGGGCTGGGGTCTCCACCGCCACCATGTCCCTACCACCCCTTCCCAGGCACCCCTTTACAATGAGGGTAGCAGGACAAGACCTCTGTCTAATGGGGAAAGACAAACAGACCCTTTGCCACCCTGACCAGGGCTGAGTCCCTAAATTTCTGGATGATGATGATTGTTATTTAAGAGCCAGAGGCTGGTGGAGTTGGTTTGTTTGGAGGAGGCCTGATGTCCCCCTTACTCTCACCATAGCAACTTTTCCCTCGGGGGGCTCCCTTCTTATTCAGAGAGGCAGGACAGTGGGGCTAACTGTGGACCAGGCGAGGGCACGGGCTGCTGGGGTGGCCCCCGTTCCCCGGTGTACATATTGTGTCTGTGTAAGGTTTTGTATATTCCAGAGGGTAGGGCCACCCCTGTGTCATACCTAGCTGAGGTTGGAGCCGGCACATGGGGAGGAGGTTGTAATAATTATTTGTGGCTGGGAAACTTATTTATTGCTAGCATAGGACAGAGGAAGGAGGCGGGGATGGGGTCATGGCTCCCTGGTGATGTGACTCCTGTTTATTTTGCTTTTTATTTTGGAATAAATGGATTTAGCCATACTGCTCGGCCTGGTGTGTTTCCGTTTCCCTCACTGGGTCCTGGAGTTTGTGCCACCAAACGAGGAGCCCCAGAGTGTCTTGAGCATGTCCAGCTAGGCTGTTGGGGACCTTCCAGGCGTGTTACCTGTATGCTGCTTGGTGGCGCCTGGGGGATTCCAAGGGGACTGCCATGTAGTCTATGGGGCGCAGTCTGGCCCTGACAGCCAACAGGCTCAGAAGCCTGATCTAGCGGTGGCCGGGAAGACAGGTACCAGCACCTAAGGGCACTGACTTCCACCCAGCCCCGGCATCTTCCGTTCTATCCCCTTGTCTCCCTCTCCTGTCTGCACCTGGTGGCCTGTTCTGTCTGTGCCTCCAGAGTGCCGGCTGCCCTGCAGGCTCCCTCTGGGCTGAGTTCATGGCCCTGCCCCCTGGTGGCCAGAGCCGGCTTCACAGGATAAGAGCCCGCTAAGCTCCAGGGGCTTTCCAGGAAAAGTGTCCCTTGGAAAGGGCATGGCCTTTTCACTGCTCCCAACAGCACCCTAGAAATGGCTTGGCCTTTCCCCTCCCCTGAGCTCCACAGAGAACACAGCCAGCAGACGACACACTTCCCCGCCATCCAGAAGCGGGTTTGATTCTCAGCCAAGGGACAGCAGGACTGGTAGAGACTGTCAGGCCACTCAGCTGCCTGCACAGCACTCCCATGCTTGGTGGAGGCGGGGGGGGGGCGGGAGGGATGGCGGGGTGTGTCTCTCCATAGGCTGGGCGTGACAGGGAGGCTCACTGAAGGTAGCGCACTTTGGAGGGGCAATGTCAGGGGTTAGCTTTCTCTTGTTTGGCCACAAGACTCCAAAAGGACAGCACGGTGACTGATTCCCAGCGCTAGAGGCGAGGCGGTTGGCCACATGTAGGTGTATGTGTGTGTGTGTGTGTGTGTGTGTGTGTGTGTGTGTATATGTATATGGGTATTTGTAGATATTTCTAGAACAGGGCAGGGGCATACCACAGAGGGGGGCACAAGTTTTCAGCAACGGTCACACCTGGATGTGTCAGCTCACCGCAACAATAGACTAAGTCACAGATGAAGGGGGGCTGGCTTTGGGGCTGGGGGAGCCACTGCCAAGTCACAGAACAGCCGCCCAGGCAGGCTTGGAAAGGGAAGTCTCTGAGAAGAGGAGGAATCTGTTTAGAGTTCAAAGGGGGGCCTGGGGCTCTCAGGATGGGATGGACTTGCCTGAGCCGATTGGCTGGCAGTTGGAGAGAAAGCAGAGAGAAGACAGGAGAGAGAAAAGCGAGCATATCATCTCACACCAGTTAGAATGGCAATCATTAAAAAGTCAGGAAACAACAGGTGCTGGAGAGGATGTGGAGAAATAGGAACACTTTTACACTGTTGGTGGGACTGTAAACTAGTTCAACCATTGTGGAAGTCAGTGTGGCGATTCCTCAGGGATCTAGAACTAGAAATACCATTTGAGCCAGCCATCCCATTACTGGGTATGTACCCAAAGGACTATAAATCATGCTGCTATAAAGACACATGCACACGTATGTTTATTGCGGCATTATTCACAATAGCAAAGACTTGGAACCAACCCAAATGTCCAACAATGATAGACTGGATTAAGAAAATGTGGCACATATACACCATGGAATACTATGCAGCCATAAAAAATGATGAGTTCATGTCCTTTGCAGGGACATGGATGAAATTGGAAATCATCATTCTCAGTTAACTATCGCAAGAACAAAAAACCAAACACCGCATATTCTCACTCATAGGTGGGAATTGAACAATGAGAACACATGGACACAGGAAGGGGAACATCACACTCTGGGGACTGTTGTGGGGTGGGGGGAGGGGGGAGGGATAGCATTGGGAGATATACCCAATGCTAGATGACGAGTTAGTGGGTGCAGCGCACCAGCATGGCACATGTATACATATGTAACTAACCTGCACATTGTCACATGTACCCTAAAACTTAAAGTACAATAATAATAAAAAAAAAAAAAAGCGAGCAGAGAGCTGGTGAGGCAAGTGCAGAGCACAGGTGTGCCACAGCAGCTGTGGGAGGGCCAAGGAGTAAAGGGTGCACGTGCGGGTGTGGCAAGGTTCCTGGAAAAGAGGGGCTGGAAGGGAAAGGGGAGGAAGACAGAGGGAGGAGCCGGAGTTTCACAGGTAGTGCCTGGGGGCTGTGGCAGCCCTCCCCACCCCACACGTGCTGGCCTCTTCCACGGCACCCAGTGCACCCACTGTTAAGACTGATGCTCAGCCCCTTTGGGCTTCCCTCTTCTCTGGTCACCGTGTCTTCCAACCCACTTGTCCAGGGCCACCTCTCGCCTTGGGGAGCCCAAAACAACAGCCACCAGGCCTGATAGAGAAGAAACACTGCTTGAACCAGGATGATGAAGCTAAAAGGGATGGATGGGTGGAGTGATCGCCGGAGCCCCCTCTGGGGGGTCAGAAAGCCCAGGAACCCTTGAAGGGTCCCTGGGGGAGGAAAGGAGGGCATGCAGCTGGATGCCACTGGCTATAGACTTATAAGTCTAAGAGGGGAGCCTCAGCTTGTTGGGGGTTGCAGGTCGGATAGGTGAGGCTGGGCCCTTCCTGCTGGGAAAAGCAGAAGAGGGAGAGTCTATGGCAGGGGAGGTGGGTGGGCTTGTGGGGCGGAGGTCAGCTGGGCCAGCAGGCACTGTGGTCCCCTTGGCTGAATAGCAGAGGTGACCTCTAGGAGCAACACTCCAAGGTGCGTGAGCCTGCTGGCCAGCAATAGTGCTTCAGCGGGGGCCAGGGACCCTGCCTTCAGTCACACGCTAGCAGCTATGATGGTACCTGGGAGGGAGGGAAGGGGCCTGTGTTTCCTGCCTGGCCTGTGAGGTGTGTTGTGGGTTGACCGTGTGTATGGGACTCTCAAGGTTTTATCCTATCTCACCACTGCATTGCCGACAGATAGAGGAGGTGGGACTCTGACTATCACCCCTGCTCTGCAGTGGATTTGGCTCTCAGCACTCCCAGGCTGGGAGCTGGATGCCCTGCCCTGGCAGCATGACTCAGACTGCCCAACAGGTGCGGTGTGCACAGGAGGACTATCCTAGGACTCTGGCCGCCTCAGAGTACAGCCCCACACACCACCCCCTCTAAGCTCTCAGCCCTTACACCATAAACCATGAGCTCTGTGACGGCTCCAGGGAGCACCCATGTCTACCAGCGTGGGCACGGAGCCTGTTCCAAGAGTCCCCAGGCTCAGCCATGGGGGCTGGGGGGCTTTGGGGCCGTGGGAGCCAGCCTTGGTACCTGCATCCGGCAAGGACGCTCTGCACCTGCAGGCAGGAGTTGTCCACGGGCCCCCATGTGCGTGCTGATGGTGGTCGTGTTGATGTCGCCGATGATGCCGAGTGCCTCCTTCAGCACGTGGTACATGCGCAGCATCTCGTCGCGCCACTGTGCCTGCTCTGCCGACTCTTCCATCAGCGTTTTCTGGTCCCCACGTGAGTACAGGTTGGACAGCAGCTCCGAGAAGATGAACTCCTTGGTCTGAGAGCGGGCAAAGAGGGAAGGAGGTTGGGACCTGATGCCTTTGCTGCCCTGGCCTCCTGCCGGGCCCTGCTGGGACTGTGTGCTGGACTTGGAGCCCTGAGTATGGCTTTTCAGACGCGGCTTCTACACCGCTTAGACTCAAAGATCTGCCTCCCCACCGCCCTTTTCTCACTCAGATAGGGACACTGAGGTCCAAAGGAAAAGTCACCTGTCCAAGGTCACACATCTGGGAGGGGACCCAGGACCTATCATGCCACCAGGACACCGGTCTACTCAGTTTCTTAAAAATGTTTTTTGGAGATAGGATCTTGCTCTGTCGCTAGGCTGGAGGACAGTGGGCGAGATCACCACTCACTGTAGCCTCAACTTCTTGGGCTCAAAGTGATCCTCCAATGTCAGCCTGTAGAGTAGCTAGGACTATAGGTACGTGCCACCACCAAGCCCAGCTATTTTTAAAATTTTAGTGTAGAGATCAGGTCTCACTATGTTGCCCAAGCTGGTCTCGAACTCCTGGGCTCAAGCTATCCTCTTGCCTTGGCCTCCCAAAGTGCTGGGATTACAGACATGGGCCACTGTCCCCAGTCCCACGTTATATTTCTATGAGACAGCTCTGGTCTGGACTGTGCCTCCCTCCCTGGACCTTGGTCCCATAGGGCTGGTCAGCATCTCCCCCAGGCCAACATGGCCACCTGCATCCCCAGTGCTACAGGAGCCCCCTGCCCCTATGAGGCGGTGCATGCACGTTGTTGATCATGACGTGCATGATGGTCTTGGGCATGACACCAACCATGAGGTCCCACACGGTCTTGTTGACAATGGCCATGTAGGAGTCCACAAGGTTCTGGGTGGTTTCCATTTGCCGCTCCAGCTATGGGTCCATGGAGTGCATGAAGCTGTCGGAGCCATTCTCCTCAGCCTTGCTGTCCTGTCATGGAGAACACAGTGGCATCAGGGTGGCCAGGCCATGCAGCCAGGCTCCAGGAATCCCTAGGATCTCAGCACCTCCAAGGGTACCTGGAACATTGAGGCACAGAGAAAAACAACTGGCGTGAACATGCACCGAGCTCCCCACACGCTCTAGACGGTTTCAGGTATCTGCCTCTCAGGACCCCAGACTCCCCTGATTCAGTCTCCTCTTAGTTCTGACTCTAGTGCCCAGAATCTGCCTCAAGTTACCAATCCAGAAATTGGAAAAAAACATCTCCAGGTCCCCTGTTGGAGACCTGGCCAGAGCTTGTGCCAGGCTGCAGACGCCTGGCAGGGGGCAAGAAAGGGGCATACTCACTTTCCCCTTGTCCTGGGAGGCCCATGCACCAACACTGCCACCGCCGCCGCCACCAGGGAACACGGCAAAGTAGACACACACAGAGAGGAAAACGGGAAGGGTTGAGTGAACCTGGGACACTGCACCCCAACTTTAATGTGTTGTGGAATTCAGTTAGCTAATATTTTATTGAGGATTTTTGCATCAATATTCATCAGTGATATTGGCCTGTAGTTTTCTTTTTTGGTCTGTGTGTTTGATTTTGTTATCAGGGTAATGCTAGCCCTGTAGAATGAGTTTGCAAGTATTCCCTCCTTCTCTATTTTTGGAATCGTTTGGGTAAGGTTGGTATTAGTTCTTCTTTAAATGTTTGCTAGAATTCAGCAGTGAATCATCAGGTCCCAGGCTTTTCTTTGCTGGGAGACTTTTTATTACCACTTTGATCCCATTATTTGTTATTGGTTTGTTCAGGTTTTGGGTTTCATCATGGTTCAATCTTGGTAGGTTAGATGTGTCTGGAAATTTATCCATTTTTGGTAGGTTTTCCTATTTATTTGCACACAGTTGCTGACCACTAGTGATCCTTTGAGGTTTTTTTTCTTTTCTTTTTTTATATGGAGTCTTGGTCTGTCGCCCAGGCTGGAGTGCAGTGGCGCGCTCTCAGCTCACTGCAAGCTCTGCCTCCCGGTTTCACGCCATTCTCCTCCCTCAGCCTCCCAAGTAGCTGGGACTACAGGCGTCCGCCACCACGCCCTGCTAATTTTTTGTATTTTTTCCGTAGAGACGGGGTTTTACCGTGTTAGCCAGGATAGTCTTATCTCCTGACCTCCTGATCCACCCGCCTTAGCCTCCCAAAGTGGTGGGATTACAGGCGTGAGCCACGCCCCCTTGGGACAGGGACACACACACACACACATAGACACACACACACACACACACACACACAGAGTTGGTGGTTGTGCCGCCCAGTCGCGAGTGTGAGGAAGGGACCAGATCGGTCGGGCAGAAAGGTGCTGGGTCAAGAGAGGAGGGGGCAGCCGGTAGCGCGGGCACGCCGGGTGCGCGCGGGGCGCGCCGGGTTGAGGGGTGAGGGGTGAGGGGTAAGAGGTGAGGGGCGACGAGGACCGGGGCGGGGTAGGGGCAGCCCTTTCCCAGGCGGTAGCGGGGGCAGTGGTGCTGTTGCCCTTTTAAACTGCGGCTTGACGGGAGCCGCGCCTCCTGTCGGTGGAGTCGGTTATAAAGGGAGCAGCCCCGCAGGCCGCCACATAGCTCCCGCCAAGTCCTCGGTGCCCCTTGCCATTTTCCAGCCGCGCTCCCACGAGGGTCACGGCGGCGGGGAGAGGTGGAGCCGCGAGAGCTCGGCCGGGGGCCCCGCCTGGTGGCCGCGGCCATGACAGCGGCTCGGGACTGGCTCCTTTTCCGCGCCCCTCCCGCCGGAGGTGAGGGGAAGATGTCCATGTCAGGGTTCAAGGCCAAACCGAAGTTACTGGCCTCTATCTTCCAGGAGAACCAGGAGCCACAGCCGCGGCTCACGCCCCACCGCAACATTAAGGTGAGTCGCCGGGTGGCGGCCTGGCGGGGCAGGGCGAGGGCGGAAAGCGGGTGCCCAGAGTCCCAGGAGAAAGGGGAAGCTGCCCCAGAGAGGCCGCGGTTCCCCGCCCCTTTCTCCCGCAACTGGCCCGCCCGGCAAGGCAGAGGCTTGGGTGGGAGAAGGCGGAGGGCGCGTCTCTCCAACTCCTAGCGCGGGGCTGGCTTGGGGGCTGCTGGCCCCTCTCGGCCCCTGTCGCTGCGCCTCGAGGTGGGAGCCCGCCGCTGCGGGAGCCCTCTTGGGACCCATGGTCGCCCTCAGTCAGCCCACCTGCTCTAGGGACCGCGACAGGGCGGGGCAGGGCGGCTCCCGCGTTGTTGGAGCCCAGGCGGGGAAGGGGAAAGGCCTTTAAGATTTTCGGTTTTTTGGCCGGGCGTAGTGGCTCACGCCTGTAATCCCAGCATTTTGGGAGGCCAACCGGGCTGATCACTTGAGGTCAGGAGTTGGAGACCAGCCTGGCCAACATGGTGAAACCCGTCTCTACTAAAAAATAGAAAAATTAGCCGGTCGTGTTGGCAGGCGACTTAATCCCAGCTATTTGGGAGGCAGAGGCAGGAGAATCGTTTGAACCCGGGAGGCGGAGGTTACAGTGAGCTGAGATCGAGCCATTGCACTCAAACCTGGGGGAGAAGAGCGAGACTTCTCTCTCTCTCTCTCAAAAAAAAGTTTTCTTTCTTTTTTTCTTTTTGTTGAGACAGAGTCTCACTCACTCTGTCGCCCAGGCTGGAGTGCAGTGGCGCGATCTCGGCTTACTGCAGCCTACCTCTCTTGACAGTCCACTGGATAAAGCGATTCTCCTGCGTCAGCCTCCCGAGTAGCTGAGATTACAGGCGCCCGCCACCACGCCTGGCTAACTTTTGTGTTTTTAGTAGAGACGGATTTTTTAGTAGAGACGCGGTTTCACCATGTTAGCCAGCATGGTCTTGATCTCCTGACCTCATGATCCACCCGCCTCAGCCTCCCAAAGTGCTGGGATTACAGGCGTCAGCCACCGCGCCCGGCCTCTGTTTTGTTTTATACATGTAATATATTCACAAGTATCTTTACGAAGTGATTTTGATACTCTTTTGTCTTCTCCCTAGAATCTCTTTGTTCTGTAATAATTCTTTCTTAGTTTATATTGATCTTATTTTCCTTTTTAAAGCCTTTCCTTACATATCTATTCTATGTTGCTTATCATTTGTAGTTTTTTTATTTTTTATTTATTTATTTATTTATTTATTTTGAGAGGGAGTCTCGCTCTGTTACCCAGGCTGGAGTGCAGTGGTGCAATCTGGGCTCACTGCAAGCTCCGCCTCCCAGGTTCACGCCATTCTCCTGCCTCAGCCTCCTGAGTAGCTGGGACTACAGGCGCCAGCCACCACGCCCCAACAATTTTTTGTATTTTTTAGTAGAGACGGGGTTTCACCGTGTTAGCCAGGATGGTCTCGATCTCCTGACCTCATGATCTGGCCACCTTGGCCTCCCAAAGTGCTGGGATTACAGGCGTGAGCCACCGTGCCCAGCCCTGATTCTATATTATAGTGAGTTGTACAATTATTTCATTATATGTTACAATGTAATAATAATAGAAATAAAATGCACAATAAATGTAATGTCCTTGAATCATCCCAAAATCATCTCCCCCAACCTTGTCTGTGGAAAAATTGTCTTCTGCAAAACTGGCTCCTGATGCCAAAAAGTTTGGGGACTGCTGGCATAAGTGGTCTCATATAGTAGTTGTCCTTTTGTGCCTGGCTTATTTCACTTAGCATAATGTCTTTAACGTTCATCCATGTTGTAGCATGTGCCAGAATTTCATTTGTTTTTAAGGCTGAATAATATTCCCTTGTATGTATTTAATATGCCTTTTTATCTTTTCCTCTGTTGATGAATACTTGGGTTGCATCCACCTATTGGCTATTGTGAATAGGTTTGCATTGCCTGTCTTTCTCATGATCGCCATCCTATTTCACATCTAGCAGGTGTGAAATTCCATTGATTGAGTGATTGATTGAGACAGGGTCTGACTCTGTCGCCCAGTCTGGAGTGCAGTGGCATGATCTTGGCTCACTGCAACCTCCATCTCCCAGGCTCAAGCAATTCTTCTGCCTCAGCCTTCCGAGTAGCTGGGATTATAGGCATGCACCACTACCAGCTGGCTAATTTTTGTATTTTTAGTAGAGACGGGGTTTCACCATGTTGGCCAGGCTGGTCTCGAACTCCTGACCTGAAATGATCCACCTGTCTCCGCCTCCCAAAGTATTTGGATTACATGTGTGAGCCACTGCGCCCAGCTAGTAGGTGTGAATTTCTATGTCTTAGTGGTTTTGATTTGCATTTACCTGATGGCAAATGATGTTGAGTATCTTTTCATGTGTTTATTGGCCATTTGTCTGTTTTTTTGGGGAAATACTTATTCCAAAATTTAACTTATTTTTAATTGGGTTATGTATCTCTTTATTATTTAGCTGTAAGAATTTTTTACATATTCTAGATAGGAGTTATAACAACTTTCTTCCTTTTTCTGGATTGTCTTTTTTCTTTCTTGATGGTGTCCTTTGAAGCAGAAAGATTTTAAATTTTGATATAGTCCAATTTATCTTTTTTCATTTGTGTTTTTTTGCTCCTTGTGCTTTTGGTGTAATATCTAAAAAAACGTTGCTACTCCAAGGTCACAAAGGTTTCTGCCTATGTTTTTTTCTATGAGTTTTATAGTTTATCAATATCTCTTATATTGAGCTCTTTTATCCATTTGAATTAATTTTTGCATGCGGCATGAAGTAGGGGGGTATAGCTTCATTGTTTTGCACCTAGACATCCAGTTATCTCAGAACTATCTGTTGAAAAGCTTATTCTTTCCCCATTGAATTGTCTTGGAACGCTTATTGAAGATCAATTGACTGTATATGTGAAAGTTTATTTCTGGATTCTATTCTTTTCTCTGTTCATCTGTCCTTATACCAGTAGCACACTCTTGATTACTGTAGCTGTTTAGTAAGCTTTGAAATCAGAAAGTATGAATCCTCCAGAAAGTTTTTTAAGGTGGGTTTGGCTGTTCTGGGTCACTTGCATTTCCATATGAATTTTAAGATCAGCTTGTCAGTTTCTGCAAAGGAGCCAGCTGGGATTTTAATCACAGTCGCATTGAATATGTAGATCAACTTAGAAAGTACTGCCATTTTAACAATATTAAGTTTTCCTCCACGAACACAGGATGTATTTGTACTTATTTAGGTCTTCCTTTAATTTCTTTCAATCGTAGTTGTGTTGAATGCAGACCTACTTTGAATTAATTCTAAGTAATTTTTATGCTACTTATTGGTTGACAAATATAATTGCTTTTAGTTTTTAACTGTAGTTTTGATGTAATGTGAACTGTATTTGGACCTTGTGAAGCTTATTTCTGCTTTGAAATTTAGTATAAATTGGTTATAATAAAATCTGACTGTGCTAATTTTTTGGTTATGTGAAATAGAAAATCAATGTAAATTTAAAAATTTATTCTGGGCCGGGCGCAGTGGCTCACACCTGTAATCCAAGCACTGTGGGAGGCTGAGGAGGGCAGATCACAAGGTCAGGAGATCAAGACCATCTTGGCTAACACAGTGAAAGCCCATCTGTACTAAAAATACAAAAAATTAGCCGGGTGTGGTGGTGGGCACCTGTAGTCCCAGCTACTTGAGAGGCTGAGGCAGGAGAATGGTGTGAACCTGGGAGGCGGAGGTTGCGGTGAGCTGAGATCGCACCACTGCACTCCAGCCTGGGCGACAGAGTTAGACTCCGTCTCAAAAAAAAAAAAAAAAAAAAAAATTCATTCTGAAATGCGATAGATGTTGAAGCTCTTCTGGCAGATGGTTATAAAGAGGAATATATAATCATTCTATTGAGAAAATATAATCAATAATGTGAATACCTAAGGTAGTTTATTTTACATATATATCTCGGTATTTATTTATTTTTGAGACAGAGCCTCACTCCTGTCACCCAGGGTGGAGTGGAGTGGCACGATCATGGCTCATTGCAGCCTCAACTTCTTGGGCTTAGGTGCTTATCTCATCTCATCGCAGCCACCTGAGTAGCTGCGACTACAGGTGTGCGCCACCATGCATGGCTAATTTTTTGTATTTTTAGTAGAGGTTTCCCCATGTTGTCCAGGCTGGTCTGAAACTCCTGGACTCAAGTGATCTGCCCGCCTCGGCCTCCCAAAGAGCTGGGATTACAGGTGTGAGCCACTGTGTTGGCCTTATGTTTTATAATTTTTAAATGATACTTTTTATTCTATTACAAAACATATATAATTGTAAAAAACTTGTAAAATATAAAAGAGGACAAAGACAATAGAAAAATTATTTACAATGTAATTCCCAAGTAAACACTGATTACCTTTTTTTTTTTTTTTAGAGCCTGTTGCTCAGGCTGGAGTGCAGTGGCACCATCATAGTTCACTGTAACCTCATACATCTCATACATTTTGATATTACTACTTCTGGTTTTATACATAATGTGTTCACTTTGAAGCAAGAGAGTATAATTTTATAACGATTATTTTCATTTAATGATCATGATCTCATTGCAATTATTGATCATTTAGTTTATTCCTGAACATTTTGTTTTATATATTTTTGCTATTGTGAGTGGGATATTTGTTATAACTTGGCATTTGTGCCTACACTCAATTTACCTATAGGAAACTAATTTTTGCATACAATTGTTTTAATTGGTGCAGTGGCACAATCTCAACTCACTGCAACCTCCGCCTCCCAGGTTCAGGTGATTCTCCTGCCTCAGCCTCCTGAGTAGCTGGGATTACAGGCACATGCCACCACACCCAGCTAATTTTTGTATTTTTAGTAGAGACAGTGTTTCACCATGTTGGTCAGGCTGGTCTTGAACTCCTGACCTCGTGATCCACCCGCCTCGGCCTCCCAAATTGCTGGGATTACAGGCTTGAGCCACCGTGCCCGGCCTCGGCCTCTTTGTGTGTTTTCGTATATCTTTCATCTGAGTTGCAAGGGGCACCTTGGGTTTCCAGGAATTTTCTTAGCTAACTCTGTTCCTTTATCTATGACCCTTCCTCACTAGTTTTGGATAATTTATTTTCCTTCTTCCTTACTTCACTGATTTACTTTTCTATTTTATTTAGTTTGCTAGTCATTGTTTCTTTTAAGGTTCTTAAGCATAAATCCTTTTTTTTTTTCTGATGGGAAATACTGGGGCATAGCACTAGGAATACAAATTATGTTTAAATAGAGCACAAAGAACCATCTCAAAGGAATAACTGATGGTGAATGTCTGGTGATTGATTTTATTATGTATCATCTCTAATGAGGCTTAATAAATAATTGAGGTTTAACACTTAGGTAACCGGTCTGTATTTAAGTCTGAAAATTTTTGTATGTTACAGTTTCAACTTCACATTGAATATTCTGTAAAGCAGAAATAAATTGATCAGCATTCTATGAATGAAAAATAAAGCCATGGGTCGGGTGCAGTGGCTCACACCTATAATCCCAGCACTTTGGGAGGCCGAGGCAGGTGGATCACCTGAGGCCAGGAGTTTGAGACCAGCCTGGCCAACATGGTGAAACCTTGTCCCAGCTACTGGAGAGGCTGAGGCAGGAGAATGACTTTAACCCAGGAGACAGAGGTTGTGGTGAGCTGAGATCGCGCCACTGCACTCTAGCCTGGTGACAGAGCAAGACTCTGTCTCAAAAAAAAAAAAAAAAAAAAAAAATTAGCTGGGCATGGTGGTGCACACCCGTAATTCCACTACTTGGGAGGCTGAGGCAGGAGAATCACTTGAACCCAGGAGGCAGAGGTTGCAGTGAGCCAGGGTTGCACCACTGCCCTCCAGCCTATGTGACAGACTGAGACTCCATCCCTAAAAAAAAAAAAAAACCAAAAAAAACCATGCTGGTAATCGAAAAAGCAGTTTGCCTCATCAGAGTTTAGAACGTTGAATTGTAAAGATCTTTTTTGTAGTCCTAGCCAGTTTTAATGGTAACATGAGCAATTCAGTTACTTTCTCAGAGTTTTATATTTTTATCTGTAAAATGGAAATTATGGTACCTACAGTTTAGGATTTTTGTGAAAATCAAGTGAGACTGCAAGTGTCTTGAATAGCAGTGGAAGTACATTGATATAGGTGATATTTTACAGTGGTGTCTTCCTCAGCATCATATTAGTTCAGTGTTTTAAAGCTCTATATTAGTCACAGAAACAAAGTCAAATTTTTGTTCTCATTTCAGATTACAAGTGGACACCTGAGTCAGCAGGACCTGGAATCCCAGATGAGAGAGCTTATCTACACGACTCAGATCTTGTTGTCACCCCCATTATTGACAATCCAAAGGTGCAGAAAGCACTCTGACAAGTGAGTTGTAGACTTTACTGAGATCTGAAATCTGCATAAGATTTTCATTCAGAATATTATTTACTGTCTAATCTTTCCTGTTTCTCTTGTCCGCTACTCTTTCATTTGTGCTGCATGTCTGCATTTCCAGCTCCCGCTCTGTCTGCAACCCTTTCCTCTGCCTTCACTTCCGCTTCACTGGAGTTCTAAGTTTTCCCCCCTCTGTTTTGAATGAGTCAGCTCTGCTTCTCACTACTGCTTTCTTCCACATGCCACGGAGGGGTTGCCAGCCTCTTGACCTCAGACCTTAGCTCTCAGTCCCATCGTTTCTCCATCTGCACTAATGTGAATCACTCTAAGTATTCTAGTCTCTGATGTGTTTTGAAGGCAGAAGCAGTCAGAGGGCACTGCTCACCAGGCTGGGCTGGGCAGGCAGATCACACGGAAGCCCTGCCCTGTCACAGGTTGTTAATACTGCAGGGGAGATGGTGGGGAGACACTATGGGAACTTGAGGAGTCATGGTTCACAATGTACTTCTAAACCACTGTGAGTTTTTTTGCTTCTTGTCTTTTGGAATATAATACTTTATTGCTGGGGGATAATGAGTATTTACTTTAAAAAACAGATGCATTTCTAAGTCCCTCTGTTTTGTCTTGACTTCCAGCTCCCCAACATACTCACATTCCACTACTTATTCTCTATTTTAACTTTACTGCTTCTTTTACTTTTTTTTAGTTTTACTTTTATTTTTTATTTTTTTGAGACAGAGTCTTGCTCTGTCACACAGGCTGGAGTGCAATGACGCGATTTTGGCTCACTGCAAGCTCCACCTCCCAGGTTCATGTCATTCTCCTGCCTCAGCCTCCCAAGTAGCTGGGACTACAGGTGCCCGCCACCACGCCCTGCTAATTTTTTGTATTTTTAGTAGAGACAGGGTTTCACCATGTAAGCCAGGATGGTCTCGATCTCCTGACCTTGTGATCCACCCACCTCGGCCTCTCAAAGTGCTGGGATTACAGGCATGAGCCACCACACCTGGCCTTCTTTTTCTTTTTTAAATATCTTTTTCTGTATTAATTCATGACTGTTTTTTTCTTGTCTCATTGGGAACATTAGTGTGGTTTAGAACAATGTAAGGGTTTTTGGATTCATGTTTATTTTCTAGATAGACAGCATTTTATATAGATGATTTAGCTGTTTTTCATAATGGAGCTAATTCTTTTTGTGAGTTCATATGTCTGGCAGTGTAACTTTATTATGCTAAGTTTGATGTGCATTGGCGCATTTTCAAAATGGGCTTTCTAGAACAATTTGTGATATCTTTCCCAGGGGTGTCCAGTCTTTTGGCTTCCCTGGGCCACACTGGAAGAAGAATTGTCTTGGGCCACACATAAAATACACTAACAATAGCTGATGAACTAAAAAA
Organism: Homo sapiens; assembly: GCF_000001405.40. Taxonomy (NCBI): domain Eukaryota; kingdom Metazoa; phylum Chordata; class Mammalia; order Primates; family Hominidae; genus Homo; species Homo sapiens. The sequence goes on along the minus strand of NT_187660.1, from coordinate 2,670,332 downwards.
CCAATAAAAAAAAATTGCAAAAAAATTCTTACAATGTTTTAAGAGAGTTTATGAATTTGTGTTGGGCCATATTCAAAGCTGTCTTGGGCCACATCCAGCCCACGGGCTGCGGGTTGGACAAGCTTGCTTTACACAATATTCTGTGTTTCCTTTTTTCCTCTTATAACCATATTTGATAGTTTATGGGAAGCCTTCATCAGTGGAAATTTTTGTGTTTAACTTTTAATTCTAAACTACTTTTAGAGAAAAGATTAAAAAATAGTTGAGAACTCCTGTATAGCTTTTGCCCAGCTGCTCTTAATGTTCACATCTTATAGGTCTATAGTATGGTTAGCAAAACCTGGGAATTAACATTGGTATAGTGTTAGTCAGGCGGGATAATCCTTACCTGTGCCTCCTTTTGGAGGGCAGTAGAATGTGGTAGTTGGAGTTGCATGATACTTGATTCATATCTCTGTGTAATGATGGCATGCAATACCCTGACTGCTCCTTTCGAATTCTTCCTGAAAAGGGAAAAATAAAACATGAGAATAGTGCTGCTAACTACCAAATGCATTTGAATTTTACCGGTTGCCTCTAATGTCCTCTTTTTTTTTGTTCCAGGATCCCACATTACAGTTAGTTGTTATGCCTCCTTAGTCTCATATAGTCTGTCCTAGTTTTTCACGGTTTTGTCAGAATTTCTCAGACTTTGCTTGTCTTTCATGACCTTGACAGTTTGTCTTTTATTTTGTTTTGTTTTGTTTTTTGTCACCCAGGCTGGAGTGTAGTGGCGCGATCTCAGCTCACTGCAACCTCTGCCGACCGGGTTCAAGCTATTCTCCTGCCTCAGCCTCATGAGTAGCTAGGATTACAGGCACCTGCCACTGCACCTGGCTAAGTTTTGTAGTTTTAGTAGAGATGGGGTTTTACCATGTTGGCCAGGCTGGTCTTGAACTCCTGACCTCATGATCCACCTGCCTAGGCCTCCCAAAGTGCTGGGATTACAGGCGTGAGCCACGGCACCTGGCCTTTGTATGTTTTTGTAATACATGTTATAAAACGTATGACTCAAGTCCTTGACACTTTGAAGAGTAACTGGTTGGGTGTTTTGAAGAATGTCCCTTAATTTAGGTTTGTCTAAGGGTTTCTCATGACTCAAATGAGATTATGAATTTGGATTATGAGATTAGAATGAGAATATGCATTTTAGTAAGAATACTACAGTAAGTACAGTAATGCTGGTTACTTAATTAGTAAAGGTTTTAAAAATATTACATATAGAAGTTTTGCAGAAGTTAGGTATAGAAATGATGGTTGAATTTTTAATTAAAAGTCTCAAGATGCAGTATCTGGCTGTCCTAAGCTCATGGATCCAACTACATGGTTTCTTCACATTTCTGAAATAAATTATGCACTTTCCAATTCATGCTATTATGGCTTCCTTGAATGGTGTCTTCTCTGATATAATCATAAAGTTCTAGCCATCCTTCAAGACCTCAACCCACCTTCTACCTCTTCCGTAAACCCGGTGTCAACTATATCAAGTAAAGTGCTTGCTGTATTCTCTAAACTACTATTTACAAAAAAAATTCTTTCTGTCCAGGGTTTTGTCTGTAGTTATGTCCTGCCTCTTTTGAATTGTGAAATATTTTCTTGTTTATCAAATGTTTGTCTCATCTTCCCAACCAGAAAGTCAGCTCGCTGAAAATAGGATTGTGTCTTTTATATCTTTGTATCCCCCTTAGCACTTGACATAGAGCCTTACCTTGGCAGGTAAGCAATAGATATTTGTTGAAAGACTGAATTTCTAATTAGAGGTAAATTACCTAAAAAGTAAGCCAGGATGGGGTGAATTTTTTCTTTGAAGCTTTATTTTATTACAGATATCAATTGAAATGATTTTAAAAAATAAATTATTATCTATATATGTATGTTTTAATCTGAAAAGGCATCGTTCTTTTTGTTTTTGGTAACAAATTTTACACATTCTTTTTTTGTCCTCATTGATTTATTATCTGATATAAGGGACATATAAGGAGACAGATATCCATCTTTAAAATTGCCTCAAAAGTTTTTTTTTTTTTTTAACCACAGATAATGAAACAACCACCATCGGTTAAATTTGATGCAAAAATATTGCATCTACCAGCATTTTCAGGTAGGATCATAAAGGAGTTATCGAACATGTAGACTGTCTGTATACAGATACGAATATGAAATTTATTCACAAATGGAATATTTGTATGTGAACAACTAAATTTATTTTGTCTTGACAATTGGTTATATTCTTGGGTCAGTGTTATGTGAATTGTAAATAATCTGTAATTCATTTGTGCCAGCTGTTGACATTTCTCAGCTGAGTCTGGGCTGCCCTGTCCTCTTGTGAGTGGGGAGGTTCCTGTAGATCTGGGCAAGTTTTCCTGTAGAGTGGGTGGGGGGCCTCCTCCCTTCCGTTCATAGAGCTGGTTGAATTTCCACCATTTATGGCAGGTGTAGGTGCACAGGGTTGGGGACAACAAGGAAGGATTGGGATTCTATTGGCGGGACCAGGACATTTGAGAACGGGACTAGGTGGTTCATGACTGTGGAGATGGTGTGGGAGTGGAGATACTTAAGGGATAATTATTACATTTCTGTTGAGCTAATGAAAATCTTATTTACGGTGAAAGTCAGAAATTTTTACATACCTTAAACTTTTTTTTTTTAACAAATTATATTTTAAGCTGTTAAACTCAATTTGGGGAAAATTATTCATTGTGGCTAGAGTAGAATCTATGATTTGAAGTAAATTTAAAATATATTTAGGTTTAAATAAACCAGCTAAGGGTTTATATCAGTCAACTTAATTAGTGATAAAAACAACCAAAAAAACCTGTGTAGAAGGACGTTTTTGAAAGACCAAAGTGAAGCAAAATATTAATAGTGCTTTCAGTGCCAAGTAGGTCTATTTATGCAAACCTAGAGAATTATTATTGGGAAATACTATTTCCTTTTTCTTCTTTGAGTTACTTAGGAAATTATATTTACAATTTCTTTGTCTAAAGATTGAGATCAGCAAAAACATGTTAGCAAAAAATTTTAGGGAGTATCACATTTCCTAGATTTTGCCCTTTTTTTATAGGGATTAGGAGGTAGGAATTTCAGGTGATTTTAGCTATCATGTTATCCTCGTTATTTTTTTACAGTAATTTCATTGGAACTTTTTAATAACTGTGTGGTTTGTGCTTTTCTCAATATCTGAGAGTTGATTTATTTATACAAAGGCTTTTTTGTCTTTTACTCCAGTTGTATTGAACTTTGCATTTTGTTATAATCTAGGTTGTGAGACAATTCTGCTTTAGACATCTGCTTGGTTTGAAAGCATAGTTTTCCATTGAAGTGTTTAAAAAGTTTCCATGGATAGATAAAGAGATGAGGAATATAGAAGGACAAATAGAAGTAGTGTCATCTTTGGAGTATTTTTGGTGTTGACAGAGTAATGTTTTCTTTGTCCTCATCTTAGCTGTCGTAACTCTGTGTTTATTTCTCATGTAATGTTTCCAGCAGTTGTTTTTCTCATCATCATACTTTTGTTATTTTCTTTCCTTGGCAATGGATAAGTTATAATTTCTGAAAGACCAAGATTGGAATGACTTTTTGTAACAAGTGTGCTCGCAGATCGACTCCAGTGAGAAGAGCTCGGGGACCTCCTGAGCCAAGCTTAATCTCCTTTGCTGTTTGTGAGTGGTGGCTGGTCACCAGGAGGTGGCCACCAGGCTCCTCCTTTCCCCGCTGGTAGGCCTCTGTGACATGACTTATGCATTTAAATTTATGTTTTTTATAGAGGCTCAAACAAGTGCTAAAATAGCAATTTGATTTAACTACCATGAAAAAACTGATTTATCACGATTTTAGGTTTATGCAAATTATCCTCTGCTTAATCCTTACGTCTTAAAGTAGATAAGAGTAGACGGTGATTTTGAACTTTTTGTTGTTGTTGTTGTTTGTAATACTCAGGTTTCCATTTTATGTTAACTTGTAAGATTTTTAAAAAATATGTGAAATCAGGCCGGGCGTGATATCATAAGACAGACCTTTTACCTTCTCATCAGTGACTGGAATGAACGCCTGTAATCTCAGTACTTTGGGAGGCCGAGGCAGGTGGATCACCTGAGGTCAGCAGTTTGAAACCAGCCTGGCCAACATGGCGAAACCCCATCTCTACTAAAAATACAAAATTAGCAGGGCGTGGTGGTGCACTCCTGTAATCCTAGCTACTTGGGAGGCTGAGACAGGAGAATCACTTGAACCCAGGAGCCAGAAGTCGCAGTGAGCCGTGATCATGCCATTGCACCCCAGCCTGGGCAAAAAGAGCGAAACTCCATCTCAAAAAATAAAAACAAAAAACAAAAAAAAAAATGTGATATCATAAGACAGACCTTTTCCCTTCTCATCAGTGACTGGAATTAACTGCCCATGTGGAATGGGTTGTGGGTGTTGGTTCCTTTACTGGGTCATCTGGTAAACTGCAAGGTTTCTGCTGTGACATTGAAGGCAGACATCAACCCTCTAAGACATTTTTTTCCTATCCTCTGGGAATATTACTTTTTGGACAATCTTGGTCCATTGGTAAGCTCATGGGAATTTGTCAGAGTTTTTTTGTTTCTTTTGGCTCATGTTTAGCATCGATTGGCAGAGTGTTTGGAGTCATCCTCAGAAAGGAATTACAGTGGTTCGGAGGTGTTTTCTGTAGTGGGCCCTCATTTGGGAATTGGCTTGAAAAAAATGTAAGTTCACTTGCTTCCAGGATGGTATTAAGATTGCTTTTTTTGATAGTTGGCGTGTGTCTATCAGGTAAGGGCTGTCATTTAGAGAATATAAAGTGGTAGGAGAAACTAAAAGTACTGTTCTTAGTTTTTATTTTAATCTTATTCATATACAAGTGCCTTTGTAATTTAGCAAATATCATTTTTGGTGTACAGTATAAATTTCCTTTTTATAAAGATCTGAGTTTTTAACTTTGCTGTCACTTTCTGTGTTTCATGACTTAAATATTTTAATTTTTTCTTTTTTTACATTTACATTTTTTATTCTAGTTCCAATTGCTAATCCAGCATTTGTGGATAGCTGCAAACTGCGATATGTAAGTAACATTTACATTTTAAAAATTATTTCTCATGGTTTTATTAAGTAGTTACAGCATACATATTTATCAAAAGCAGAGTCCTAAGTAATTATCATAAATTTTTCTGATGTAATGATGAATCTACTCATAGGCAATTTTTATGGGCATTCCAATTATAAACTTTAGAATATTTAAAAATAGCCCTTCTCCTAATATAGATACGATTCTGGGATTATCTAAGCTACTCCTGGAAACTTTATTAACTGTTGTTGTTTTTTTATTTTCGTAGAGACAAGGTCTCTCACTATGTTGCCCAGGCTGGTTTCCAACTCCTGGGCTCAAGTGATTCTCCCATCTCTGACTCCCAAAGTGTTAGGATTACAGACGTGAGCCACTGCGCCAGGCTAACTGTTACTGTTTTGAGTATTGGTTATAAAATACTTCAACCCTGATCCCTGTGTATTAATTTAGTTATACTTCCTCAAAGTTTCCCTTGGGCACCCTTATCTGTCCCTATGTAGCACATAGCTTCCCTATGATGTTATTTATAATCTGAGATTAATTATGATTTATAAACTCCCGATGGAAGGAAGTGTCCTTACTTTTTATAGAAGCAACATACCAGGTGGAAAGCACCGTAGATCAAGTGTTAGAAGGCTCTGGGTTCCTGTTGCCTATAAGACTTGGCCAAATGATTATCTTTTTCTCAATCTCTGTTTCCTGGGGAGTGTGGGTGGGACAAGGAAATGGCATAGGTTTAGGATTCAGACAGACCTGGGTGTGGATCAAAGATCTGCTTTCTGGGCCAATTACTTTAATTGCTGAGCCGCAGTTTCCTCATCTGTAAAATTGGGATGGGATAACTACTTCATAGATTTTTGGTAATTATTCAACTTTGAATGTGGTAAATATGTGAGATACCTGGTATAGTGCCTGTTTCTTTCTTTCTTTTTTTTTTTTTCTGAGTCGGCATCTCCCTCTGTCACCCAGGCTGGAGAGCAGTGGTGCGATCTCAGCTCACTGCAAGCTCCGCCTCCCGGGTTCACGCCCTTCTCCTGCCTCAGCCTCCTTAGTAGCTGGGACTACAGGCGCCCGCCACCACGCCCGCCCGGCTAATTTTTTTCACCGTGGTCTCGATCTCCTGACCTCGTGATCTGCCCACCTCAGCCTCCCAAAGTGCTGGGATTACAGGCATGAGCCACCGTGCCTGGCCGTATAGTGCCTGATTCTTAGTGGGTATTTCATTGACAGTGGGGTTGGGGTTGTAGAAGTTGTAGTTATTATCATGAAGCTTGCTTATCTCATGATTGTTAGGACAGGCACATGAAAAAACGGAGGTGAAAGGATTTTGTGAATTGTGGCAGTGGTATAATAATTATTCTTCTATGCTGGTGAAATATGGGTGAAACAATAGGAGTTTAGAAAATGTTTAATAATAAGGGTAATTCTTATTATACGTCTTCTAATGTTACTCTCGCAAAGTAAAATCTGGTAATAGAAAGTAGGATTTTTAGGTAATGGTTGAGCATTTAATACTTTGAGAAGGCTTATGGTATGCTCATTAAAAATGAATCAATGAAATATGTATTTAAACACTTTTATTTAAAACGTGTTATATACCTGAATGGGGTGCTCCCTGCTGACATTTTCAGACAGACATTCCAAATCATTTCCGAGAACAGTCATCCCTCTGTATCAGCCAGGAGAATGGTTCTAGTATCCCCTTGGATACTAAAATTAACACATACTGTTTTTTCCCCCACTGTTAAAAATTGAGGTTTGATTGTAAAACAGTTTTAATTTGAATAAAATGATACTGAGGTAGACAAGTTCTCTGGTAGGAATCTTCTTTTATTCTCTTTCTCCATCCAAAGCCACTTCCAGCGAGGTTTTCTCTGACCTCAGGTTATATTACCTTGATAGCATATGATAAAGGGTCCTTAACTTAGTCTGGGAGATAATTATTATTGAAGTAGATACTTAGTTTTGTTTTGCTTATAAAAAATTAGAATCACATGATATAGTTTTTTATGTTTGTTTTCCCCCATAACATATATATTATGTATTTTAAATGTTATCAACATTTTAAAATAAAATACATAATACTTAAGGTAAACGTTTTATATGTTGTGAATATCTGATCATTTTGTTTACTATTTTTGGATAGTATTATAATGTTGTAAACAACATTTTGATGAACATTTTTGAGATTAAATCTTCGTGCCCGCTTTTTCTTTTTCCCTTTAGGAAAGATTCATAGAACTAGAACAAATGGGTAGAAGGCAGTAAATATCTTTGTGACTTCTGAAAAATTGCTGAAATACTCTTAAAAAAACATTGTATCAATAGATAATCCCAGTCAATGTGTTTAAAATGCCTTTTGTTAGAACTTCCAACGTTGAGTATTTATCAAATTGTATATCCTTTTATCCTTGCCAATCAACTTTATGAGGTATAATTCATATATAGTAATAGTGTAATACTGTAACTTTAAAATGTGTTACTTGTAAATTACACATAATTTAAAATGTTCCATTTTAGCTATTTTTATGTGTACAGTCAGGAGATCGAGACCATCCCGGCTAACATAGTGAAACCCCCGTCTCTACTAAAAATACAAAAAAATTAACCAGGTGTGGTGGTGTGCACCTGTAGTCCCAGCTACTCGGGAAGCTGAGGCAGGAGGATGACATGAACCCAGGAGGTGGAGCTTGCAGTGAGCCGAGATCATGCCACTGCACTCTAGCCTGGGCAACACAGCAAGACTCTGTCTCAAAAAAAAAAAAAAGATATATATGTGAAGCACAAACCAAGTGTGGGTCCGCTTCAAGAGGCTGGAACTAGAGCTTTGGACACAGCGAGTGAAAACCCTGCCCCATGAGGCTCACAGGGTGGCAGCGTGCCTCACCCACCCTCTGTTCTTCTGGACACCATGAAAATGTCACATCTGCCGATGTCCTCCAGAGTTGTTTACAGGTTTCATTTGGTTAAGAGCTTGGTTTTATATACATTGTGAGAAAAATCACCAGTTCGGTGTGAAAATTGAAATGGGGGTAGACACTGGCCCTTCCAAGCTGTGCCCGGGGAAGACCTCCCAGGCCAGTCCCAGTGGTGCTCTCAGGCAGCGTGTGGGGTTGTGAGGACAGACAGGGGCCCCTCTCAAGGTCTTTGCTGCTCCATCAAAGACAGACCCCAGGGCTTCGGGAAATCCACAGCCTGGTGGCACTGGCTCATGCAGTCCTTTTCCTGTTTCTAGTGCTGATGAGCGCTTTGACGCCACATTCCACACTAACGTGTTGGTGAATTCTTCTGGGCATTGCCAGTACCTGCCTCCAGGTAAGCTGCACCTCCTTTGTCCTCTTCCAGTTAGAAAACTGAAGCGAGTTTGGGTGTCAGTCAGTCTGGCCGGTGCCCCCGTGTGGTGGACCAGCTCTTTGCTTCGCCTTTGCTCACTCCCACCTCTTCCTCTCTCTTCTCTTCTGTGCTTCTGTGTGCTTTCTACCCCCAGAAGTCCATCCTCCTCTTTTGTCTCAATCAAGCCGTCTTTGCCACTATGTCCTTATTTTCTGCCATGTGTGCCTTAAAGCCAATGTACAAATACAGCGAGTCTCCTTTGCCGGGCAGTGGCCACCTCACCTTCCAGCCTGGCAAGCCACCTCTCCAGGCTCTGCTTCTCAGTTCCAGCTTGCCATCCTCCTCCCTGCGGGACTCAGTGTCTTGGCAGGTGCAGCGCTCCAGCTGCCGGGGGTGAGATATGACAGTTCCAGGATCCTGAGTGCGTGCGCTAAAGAGCACACGCAGGTTACAGGCAAGGTCTGGTGGTTTCAAGGGAGAGCTCTCTAGCGGCTGACTTCTTCCCAACAGTGTCTCACCTCCAAGGCTAAGTGCTCCCTGGATTGGTTCTTTCCCCCCAGTCCATCTTTTCAGTCGATTCACAGGGCAAGGGAAATGGGTTTATGGCCTAAAGGTGCATGCAGAGTGCGCACTAGCATATTGATAGGAACAGCTGGGGTTTTTGATCTTTTAGAAGATTTTTAATGTGTTTATTCCAGGGTGATCTCCCACACTGCAGCTGTTTAACTTTCTGCTCAGAGGCAACCTGCAATTACCTCCACACCTAACTACCACTCACACATACGACTCACACACACACCACTCACAACCACTCACACACAGCCACTCACACATACCACACACCACTCACCCCTCACACACACCACTCACACACACCTCACACACACACACACCACTCAGTACTCACACACACCACTCACACCACTCACACTACTCACACCACTCATACACACCACCCACACACACTGTTCACACAACACACACACCACTCACAATCACACACACCACTCACACAACCACTCACATACCACCCACGACTCAACACACACACCACTCACACAACCACTCACATACCACCCACACGACTCAACACTCACACCACTCACACAACCACTCACATACCACCCACACGACTCAACACTCACACACCACTCACACAAATATACCACCCACACACCACTCACCACTCCACACATACCACTCACACAAACCACTCAAACCACCAACACACACACACCAGACACACACACACCCCTCACACACACCACTTACACACCACTCTCACACACCATACACACCACTCACACACGACTCACAACCCTCACACACACCACTTACACACATGCAGGCATGCACTCTCAAACCAGATACACTATTCACACCACTCACATACCACACATACTGGCTGTGCCTTCTCGGTTGCTGTCTGTGTGCCTTCCCTGTCAGCAGGTGACAAGCATCTGGGGGCACAGTCAGCCTTTGCTCACCTTAGCATTTATCCCTGAATGAACAAAGGAGCGAGTGAACCTGTCAATGGTAGACACCTCCCAATAATATTGGAAGAGATTGAAGAAGTCCAGCTGTTCAGGCTTCTCGAAGCATCCGCTTTCCTGCTAGCCCTGGCATTTCCTCCTACCAGCAGGACCCTTGCAAACAGGGGTAGTGGGGGGAGCCTTCCATCACTCCCGAGGTCTTTCTCGCCAGGCCTGCGTGTTGCAGCTTCTGTTATGAGGGCTATTTTAGAAAACAGCCTCCGGTAGTCACCAGTGTAGAATATGCTGCTGCAGGTTGTTTGGAAGGCTGAGGCTATTTTCAGCTGCAGGACCAGCACTGCAAGCCTCGAGCTGCCTGAGTGCAGCAGCCCCCTCTGGGGCTCCAGGCCTGTGTCCCCACTGCAGTGGCCCTGGATTCCGGTCAGGACAGGACACGTTGTCTTGTGACCATGAGGGGCTTCCTTACGCTGGCAGGAAAGGCCCAGGGCTGCCTGGATTGGGAAACCCCTGCCTGCTCCCTGGGAGTGTAGAACGAGTCCCAGGATGCTGCCCTGTCTGTAGTTAGAGGGGCATGGATAGGAAAGAATGTTTTGAGTTCAAGCTTTGAAATAGAGACTTGACCATAACATGACTTTCCCCCCCATTTCATGTGTTTATTTTTTAACAGCTTTATTGAGAGAGAATTTACATATCATGCATTTTAAGTACATGATTCAACAACTTTTAGTATATTTACAGACTTATGCAACCATTACCACAGTCTAGTTTTAGAACATTCCCATCACCCCACAAAGATCCCTTTTGCTTGTTTGCAGTTAATTCCCATTCCTACTCCCAGCAACCACTGATCTGCTTTCTGTCTCTAGAAATTCTCTGTCTCGGGCCATTATTTCGTAGAAATGGGCTCATGAAGTTACAAAGCTTTCCAACTAACTGGCAGACAAGGTGGGTTTTGGGGGGATCCAACTATTAATGGAGGGGGATTGTCTGTGATGATTCCAGATTCCTATAAACATTTCATGTAAGGACGCAAAGCATACTTAAAGGAACTTCAGGGGACAAAATGTGTATCTTTTCCCAACTCGGTTGTGGGGTGGGGTCCTTGTGTGCAAGGCTGTGGAGGCCCTTCCTGCGTGCACTCTTTCTGTAACTCAGTAACAGAAGTTTGCAGAGTGCCAGCCCTGCCCCAGGAACACCTGGACACCGAGTCTGTGCCTGTCTTCTTGTGCCATGCAGCCTTCCTCTGGGCAGGGAAGAGCACATGAGTGTAAATAACTGGAGTGGCCTCTATCTGGTTTCCTCCCCTTGGCCCTCTGGGAAATCCACTTCCAACCTGTCCTAGCCTGGAATAGCTCTTTTCAGCGGAAACTCTTCCTTCAAGCACCATCTCTTCAGCTTAAACCTATCTATCTGTTCTTGTTTTTGTTTGTTTGTTTGTTTGTTTTAACTTTTTTTCTTACAGACAGATTCTAGGTGTGTTCCCCAGGCTGGAGTGCAGGGGCTCGATCATAGCTCACTTCACTTTAGCCTCAAACTCCTGGGCTCAAGCAATGCTCCTGCCTTAGCCTTCTGAGTAGCTGGGACTACAGGCATGCATCACCTCACCCAGCTAATTTTTTTTATTAGAGATGTCTCACTATGTTGCCCAGTCCGGTCTCAAACTCCTAGTCTCAAGTGACCCTCCCACGTCAATGTCTTAGAGTCACTGGGATTACGGGCATGAGACACTGTGCCCAGCTTGTTCTGTTCTTCATCTAGAATTTAAATTAGTTAAAATTCTAGCTTTAACCAGAATTCTAGATTGTATTTCTCGATAATCATGTGTTCTTCCCATTTTTAACCTAAAGAAAATGCCTACCTCACCCCGCACCAAACAGACACACACACACACACACACACACCTTTTAGATTCTATTTCTAACTTCATCATCAGGGTTATCAACTTCTCTGAGATATTTTGCATTCTTTACTTTTATTATTTAGAGTCTGAAGATGCTCATGGTAAATGCAGATTATAGAGCTAACTTTTTGCACAAAAAGCCCACAAAACAGTCTTTGAGAGAGCATGTCAGTGTTACGTTTGGATTTTAAAAGACAGTGAAGCTTAGCTGAGATTCTGTTTTACAGATTTTGCGAATAAATAAAAAGACAGATTCCGTTTGCTCTGGACTGTGTTAGCTGCAGTGCGGAGGGCGGAACCGGCTGAAGGAACTGCTGTGTATTTTCAGCACATCTCAGTCAGCTTCCGTTTCAGTCTTCTGTTTCCATCACCCACACAGGCATATTCAAGAGTTCCTGCTACATCGATGTACGCTGGTTTCCCTTTGATGTGCAGCACTGCAAACTGAAGTTTGGGTCCTGGTCTTACGGAGGCTGGTCCTTGGATCTGCAGATGCAGGAGGCAGATATCAGTGGCTATATCCCCAATGGAGAATGGGACCTAGTGGGTAAGCCATGAGACTAACCGCCTGGAAGAAAGCTTTCCTATTCCTGGGCAAGCTTTAAAAGTTTGGGATTTTCCACTGTCCTTTCCGGTGCGAGCATTTATTGAATTTTGCAGTAGTCTCCATAATTTACTGAGAGCTACAGGAGGAGAAACAGAAAACAGTTAGGATATGCCATGCTTTCCAAGAGGAACTGGCAACTGCAGTGAGGATGCATTTAAACAAACCAGTGTGAGGATAGATCTCTCTACGTTATGCAGATCCACTCCATTTCTAAAAGCAAGTTGAACAGCAAATTTCAGTTGATGGGAACCTATATTTGATTATTTTAAAATAGGGAAACAGTGATTACATTTATAACAGTGTAAAATTGGTAATGTATTATTTATAATTATTATAATCATGTGTTTCCAATCCACCAAAAGAATATGTACCAATTTGGCCAACTATCACTAAAATACTCTTAACTCTATAGTAAATCAACAAGGTTTTATTCAAGCTAATTACAACCCCCCCCTTTTTTTTTTTTAGCACTTTGCAAACTTTAGGACTGTGCTTGTGTGTGGTATACACATTGAAATAAACAGGGTAATTTATTGTATTCTAACAATGGCTCCTTCTCTCCTCCTCCCTATGGAGGAATCCCCGGCAAGAGGAGTGAAAGGTTCTATGAGTGCTGCAAAGAGCCCTACCCCGATGTCACCTTCACAGTGACCATGCGCCGCAGGACACTCTACTATGGCCTCAACCTGCTGATCCCCTGTGTGCTCATCTCCGCCCTCGCCCTGCTGGTGTTCCTGCTTCCTGCAGATTCCGGGGAGAAGATTTCCCTGGGTAAGCGCCCCAGTGTCTGGCGGGAGTCTGAGACTGGAGACCTTCTGCTGAGATCAGCTCTGGAGGGCTCACAGCAGACAGCGCAGGACTCCATCAGGGTTCCTGGGGATTCCCTGGCTCATCCCATGGACCTCCGAGCCCACGGTGGCTCCAGGACACCAGAGGTCCCTGATTCGGGCTCCGTGCTGGACGGCTGTGTAATCCTGAGAATACTGGAGGACCCTCAGAGGATGGGGGATGCACAGGGAGGGGGCCAGCTCCATTCTGCCTTGAGAGGCCTGTGCTTTCTTCCCTCCTGCCACCCCACCTGTTCCTCAATGGCGACTGGTCATCGAGGGAACAATTTAGCTTAGTATCAGCTTGCATTTGTATGTTACAGTACCCAGTGTAATTCTTACAATCACTCCCATACGAAGCTAAGGAAACCAAGATTTTGAATGGTGGAATGAGTTTCCCAATGTCTTAAAGAGTTGCTAAACATCAGATGTAGGATATGGTAGAAATCATTCCCAAACCCATATCTTCTGAGTATGAGGTTCAGAAAGGTTGAATGTTGTATCTAAGGTCACATAGCTAGCTGAGTAGCAAACGTAAGACCTGAAATCAGGTCTCCTGACTGCATATTTTCTTTTTCCTGCTACGTGAAACTACTTCTCAATAATATTTTACAGAGAATATGAAAGATAATTGTGCCAAGTTAAATTTTTCAGTTTGTGTTGATGCTTTTAAAATTCTGGGTCCTAAACTTGTCTCCATAAGAGACTCCTTTGGGACTCTGGTAAGTGGCATGGAACGTCCCCTGGAAAATGCACACGCCCATACATAGGGAAAACGTGCATTCCACGACATTCCCCCCAGCGCCTCCCTTTCTTTTGAGTGTCAGGTTAGGAGCCCTCGTTAGACAGAATTGAGGCCTTCTTGTCTGTTTTTGTCTGAGGAACCGCTGTGTGTTTATGTTTTAGGGATAACAGTCTTACTCTCTCTTACCGTCTTCATGCTGCTCGTGGCTGAGATCATGCCCGCAACATCCGATTCGGTACCATTGATAGGTAAGGCAAGAGTTGGGCTCCTCTCTTAGAGATATGGGGTTAGGGTTAGAGTGTGCCCAGGATTTCCCAGCAGATGAAACTAGAAGAAATACGGCTGCACTGCCCCCATTTTCTCTGGAAGGTGATGATTTGCTGTAACTATTCAGAGTCACCCGGGCCCAAGTAAGGGGAAGGGGATATTCAGCTTTGAGGTTTGACTTTTATCTCACAGAAATGCCCCCCTTCCCCTCATAATTCTCCTCCTCATGCTTGCTTTGAAGCCAGATATTTCATCGTTAGAGATGCATCATTTTAGCTTAAGATGTTGTTTTCCCACAAAGCCTTTGTTAAAATGGGAGAAGCACACAGTTACTGTGTCCTGAGATAACTCAATGTCTCTGTATAAAAGTTTCTAGGGAAATATGAATGAGAAAAATATATTTTGCACAGGTATAAGGCATGATCCTCTACCCAGGGAGGGACAACAAAAACAAGTCTCCACTCCCACTGGGCAGGGAAGGTTGGAAGGAGGTATACAGACTGTCATTACACCTGCTGGCCCCTGCTGTTTGAGGACCTATGCTGTGTCTACCTGGGGGTGGGCTAGAGGGAGAGCCCTACCTGGATACCCCCAGGCTTTAGGAACCAAGCAGCAAAGGCCCTTCTTTGTGGAACTCCCTGTATGTGCAGTATTTTGGCCAGAGAAACTGTTGGTATGAAAAGCCTTTGTGGGTATCATTTTTCTCTTGGTACCATCCAGACAGGGAAGAACCACCTTTCCACCTGATTCTGACTCCATTCTTTCTACCTTCCAGCACACTGCTTTCAGTAGAGATTTGCAGCCTCCCTTCCGGGGGCAGTTGTCAGGCCTTCTCTCTCTGGACTGATGACCCGCTGGGAAAGGCTTGGTTGGTGCATAGCCCACATCTCGAAGGATGGGATGTTGATGGCCCCAGGGACATCAGCTTTGCTGCCCTCTGTTGATGGAAATTCAGTCTGGGCAATCCTTTGACCCCCATCTCTCCAGAGGTGGTTGGTCTGCTCAGGCTGCCGTGACAAAATACTATGGACTTAGGGGCTTAAATAACTAACAGAAATTTATTTTCTCACAGTTGCACTGCTGAAAGTCCAAGACCAAGGGGCCATTAGGGATGGTTTAACCTGAGACCTCTCCCCCTGGCTTGCAGACAACCACTTTCACAATGCTTTGTCCTCCCCTGGTAGTTCCTCTGTGCACCTGCATCCCTGGTGTCTCTCTGTGTGTCCAAATTTTCTCTTCTTCATTAAAAGAACACCAGTCAGATTGGATTAGGGCTTACCCTGATGACCTAATTGTACTTAATTACCTCCTTAAAGACCCTATCTCCAAGTACAGTCACATTCTAGGGTACTAGGGGTTGGGGCTTCAACATATGAATTCTAGGGGGAAGCATAATTCAGCTCATAAGGGTCACGGTTTGCTCCAGTCTCCTTCCTTTTCTCAGGGGCCCTGATGCTAACTTTAGGTCTCAAACTTCCAGCTCTGGCAGAGCTCCTCCCAGGTACCTCTTGGTCTTTGTAGGAAGGCAGTGAGTTCCTTCCTGGCGTGAGGGCCTGTGAGGGCTAGCTGAATGCTTAGCGCCCTGCACCCTGATGCTTTCCGCTTAGAGTTCAGCCCCTTGAGTGGACAGCCACACCAAAGGTTTAATAATTAGAGCTGCCCACTAAAGAATGCCCCCTCCTTTCTCCTAGACATCTTGGCCTGTGTAATTGCTCATCATTGCACAAATCCTGCAAGGAAGAAGTTCCTATTTTAATGGAGGCTACCGTAACAAATTGCTGTAGACTGGGGGCCTAAGCAACAGACATTTATTTCTCAGAGTTCTGCAAGGCTGCACGTCCTCGATAAGGGTGGCAGCAGGGCTCTGGTGAGGGGCCACTCCCTGGTTTACAGCTGGCCCTCTTCTCGCTGTGGCCTCACGTGGCAAAAAGAGAGTGAATTAGCTCTTTAGCCTCTTTTTATGAAGGACTCTAATCCCATTCATGAGGGCTGCACCCTCAGGACCTGTTGAAGGCCCCTGAGAAAATCAGTCACCATTTCTCTACTTACACAACACTTCTGACACCAAAGCGGGGCGTTTCTCTCACATCGACCAATTCTTGGAAACCAGCTGGGCGTCCTACAGTGAGTTCACTTCAGTCCTGACACCACCTGGAGTTAGCACAGCACTCACAGATTAAGGCTCACAAGACCATTTCTACTTGAGATGCCAGTTAGAAGTTCCGGCTTCCCATGCTTCTGACCAAGTGTCTATAAATCGGGGAGTTCCCAAAAGCACATCTTTGAGTTCAGCCATTTACTAGAGTGACTCACTCTAGTAAACTCAGGGAAACATTTTACTGATATTTATTCATTAATTATAAAGCACAGATGAATAGTCAGATGAAAGAAATGCATAGGGCAAGGTATTTGGGAAGGGGCATGGAACTGCCATGCCCTCTCTGCCCTCCAAACACCTCCCCGTGTTCAGCACTGGGAAGGTCTCCACAGAACTCCATCCTTTTGGGTTTTTATGGAGGCTTCACTACATAGGCATGATTGATTACATCATTGGCCACTGGCGATCCACTCAACCGTCAGTACCTCTTTCCTCCCCAGGGGTCAAGGGTTGGGAGAGGGGACAGAGCTTGAAGGTTCCAACTCTCTAATTACTTGGCTGGTTCCCCTGGCAACCAAACCCCATCCTGAGGGTATCCAGGAACCTCAGCCATAAATCATTTCATTAGCATATAAAAAGACACTGATGACTTCAGAGATTCAAAGGTTTTAGGAGCTGTGTGCCAGGAAATGGGAGGAAGACCAAATACATATTTCTTATTATAAATCACAATCTCATACCTCCCAAAGCCCCACCTCCAGATACCATCCCAGTTAGGACTAGGGTTTTAACCCATGAACTTCGTGGGGACACAAACGTCATCCTTTGTACCACCCCCATTGGAGAGCTGAGGCCCGAAGAGGCTGAGCATCCACTCCAAACTCACAGCCAGTAGCTAGTGGACCAGGATGGAAGCACTCAGATGCTCCATGCTGCCCCTCACCTGGGCCCAGGTGGAAGGACACCCATGACCCATTAGAACCAAAGCTGAGACTGAAGTTCTCGTCCTGAAAAGTCCCTGCCACTGACCCCTTCCTCAGGCTGGACAGCTGGCAGCCAGGTGGTGTGCAGGTTTGCCCTCATTGTGCCCCTGGAGCACAGTAGAGGCCTGCATCATGAACACTGGATGGTTCCCATGCCCTCACATCCAGTATTTACCCACAGGAACAAGCTTATCACCATCCTGCCAGGCGATGCTAGCTCTTATTGACTGACAAGTCGGCCAGAGTGCATGGAAGTGCAATGAAGTGAGGGAAGGTCACTCCGTGGGCGGGAAGTCAGACCACACTGGCTGGTTTTGCCCACCCAGAATGTGGGCTGCAGGCCTGGACACATGGGCATCACTGCACCCTGAGGCCCTGACGGTCAGAGAACCTGATCAGGGTGTGCCTGTCCTGTGACGTGCAGTGCCACAGGATCCCCGGGTCTCACCCTGCATCTGTTCTCTCCACAGCCCAGTACTTCGCCAGCACCATGATCATCGTGGGCCTCTCGGTGGTGGTGACGGTGATCGTGCTGCAGTACCACCACCACGACCCCGACGGGGGCAAGATGCCCAAGTGGGTACGTTCCTCCCACCCCCGATGGAGTCGGAGCCCCGCTGTAAAGGAGGCTCCTCCTAGGGTTTATTTTTAAAATCACACAAAAAACGGGCATTCCTAAAGAAATAGCTTTGGGTTTTTTGTTTGTTTTTTTGAGACGGAGTCTCACTATGTCACCCAGGCTGGAGTGCAGTGGTGTAATCTTGGCTCACTGCAACCTCCACCTCCTGGATTCAAGCAATTCTCCTGCCTCAGCCTCCCAAGTAGCTGGGACTACAGGCGCCTGCCACCACACCTGGCCAATTTTTTTTTGTATTTTTAGTAGAGATGGGGTTTCACTATGTTGGCCAGGCTGATGTCGAACTCCTGACCTCGTGATCTGCCCACCTCAGCCTCCCAAAGTGCTGGGATTACAGGTGTGAGCCATTGTTCCCAGCCAGAAATAGCTTTGTTTCTGTATTTCGTCACCTATTGACGTGTCTTTGTGTAGTGTGCAGTCATGGTGCACGTGTTCCCGGATGCCCCGTGGCACTGCTGTCTAATCTAACTGCAGAGTAGAGTAAGGCTCTCAAACTGGCTGCCCTGTGTGTTCTATCAATCAGCACGGTGTTTTGAGAAGCTAGTTTGTTTTTTGATGCATGCCGTGAAGCACTGTGCTGCAGTTGGAAGCAACAGATGAGACAGATGCGTAGCAACATGGTTGAGGCTTCACAACAGAATGAGGAGCAAAGAGTAAGAAACAGAATGAGCTGTGTACAAATATGTACGTTCAGTACATCTAGGGATATCATCCAACCAGAAGTCTATGAAACAAAGACTAATTGTCACCAGTGCAGAAGGGGGAAGGGATAAAAGGAAACGGATGAAAACAGAAAGGATGGCATCCCACAGCCTGTCAGCTTAGCCTGGGCCATACCACTCCTGCCCCAGCTGCTGGCACCGTGCCCGGCCACATCTGCGGATGCTCACCCACCCAGGGATCCTCTCCTGCACGGTGTCCAGAGCTCTGCATCCACCCTTGCCTGGCAGTCAGGAAACCTTGATGAGGGCCTAGGGAGGGCCTGAGCTTCTTCCCCTCTTCATGTGAGCTTTGTAAAGCTTCCCCGTCCTCCTGTCTAGAGAGCCTGGCCTAAGGATTTGGGGAGCTAAAAAGGCCCTCACATTCCAAAAGTTGTCTGTCTTTGGAGAGCACTTGTGTCCCAGTTCAGAAGGGAATCTAGGAATCACCAACAAGCTAAATGCAGCTGTAGGGGGTGAGATGCTGTCAGGCACCCTCCAGGAATAGGGGATTGCTGGGCCTCCTGAAACAGTCATTGTGGAGTTGTTACCTGAATGCTCACTTAGCAAAGACTGCTTCTTAAGAAATGCTTTACAAAATTACTGTTTCTTCTCAGAGTTTCACCCACATGGCCCATTCCCCTTATACACTATTTAGTAAAGACTTACCTGTGAGCCCACCACAGTGGTGTGTGGCTGTAGTCCCAGCTACCTGGGAGGCTGAGGTGGGAGGATCATGTGAGCCCAGGAGCTCCAGGCTCCAGTGAGCTATGGTGGTGTCATTGCCCTCCAGCCTGGGTGACAGAGCAAAACTCCATCTCCTAAAAAAAAAAAAAAAAAAAAAAAAAAAAAAAAAGACTCACTTGTAGCTCATTACACAAGCAGTAATGTGAGCTCAGCCTACATGGTGATGTCTCACACACAGACCACATCACTACATTCCCTGAGGCTTGTTTTGTGAAGGCCCCCCCTTAAAACACTGGGGTACATTTGCACACATTCACCTGTATTTTTGTCTGATTTCCTTATAACGCTGACCCACACTTAAGAAAATGCAAGGCCAGAGGTGAGAGGCCTGAGAGCTGGAGGCTTGTTGGTTTGCTGCTCTTTCTGTCTGTCCATCCATCAGTTTGAAGCAGGTAATACATTTACCTGTTTCTAAAGTCAAAATAAAATTAAAATTATACATAAGGAAATCCTGCTCCCATTCCTTCCCCTTTACCCTGCATCTACCGTCAATACTGATAACCGTTTTAATGAATTCCTTATTTTTCCTTCTAGTATTTATTTATGCAAATACAAAAATCTAAACATTCTCATTTCTTGTAAGTATTTTGACTGATGAGAAG
Organism: Homo sapiens; assembly: GCF_000001405.40. NCBI lineage: Eukaryota > Metazoa > Chordata > Mammalia > Primates > Hominidae > Homo > Homo sapiens. The sequence goes on along the minus strand of NT_187660.1, from coordinate 2,650,288 downwards.
ATAAGAGAATTAAGACATTGAGACACAAAACCATTTTTAACGACCTGGAGCACTCTACTGCTCTAGAACAATCTTAATTAAGAACGTATGCTAATTATTCACCTCTCAGCATAAAAGCTTATTAAAACCAATTGGCTGCAAATGAAAGATGAAGCTTATGCATTTCTCTTGCTTTATATAGCACTCTGCATTTTTCTTTCATTCCATGTGTATGTGAAACACAAACAGCCTCCGAGGGACTTTTATTATGATCTGTTGCTATGAAGAAGATACTGCCGGGTGCAGTGGCATTATGTGACATTTGCACAGCCAGAAACAAAACTGTAGCCTAACAGAAGAGGTCAAGAGCACAGTTTGAGGAGTGCCAAGAGGATAATTTTATCTTTTAAATGCTTTGGCTTTGAAAGTTAATGATTCAGGCCATGGAATTCAAAATGGACTTGGCAGAGTGTATCGTATGAGCTTGAGATGTGCACTGGGGGACGTGTAGACCCTGCCATGGAGGGAGAAGTGCCTGGTGCTGCTCGCTCCCTGTGTGCACTGCTGCCACTGGATGCAGGCACACTCACTGCCCTGCAGCCTCCCAGGAGAGCTGGCTCAGGCTTTCTGGTGCCTTCCCAGAGGGGTGGGGTTGTGCGAGTTTTGAAGAGAATCTTACAGACCCTTTGACAGATGAGACTGGGAAAGGCTAAACATGTGAAGTGACATAACCACTTACTTACTCATTGTACATCGTTGGGCCAGTTTATTAGCCTCTTTGAACCTCAGTTTGTTGGTCTGTAAAGTGAGGGGATTATACTCATTTCACCGGACCCTGAAAGGCCCAAGTGAGATGACTTGTCTCATGAGCCTTGTATGGACGGCCCAACTCACCCAAGGTTTCACCTGGGGCCATATGTCCCTGCTCCTTACTGATCATAAAAAACCCTCCAAGGTCAGCAGACCCAACCTTTCCAGGACACGCAGAGTGCCGCCTGCTTGTAAAGTACAATGGGAAACAAAGGGTTATTTTTATAGCTGCAATGAAACTGGTCTTGTGCTTCCCTGTTCTTGTCCCCAGACCTGTTTGTTGCAGTTATCTTTGATAAGATGTTATAAAAAGATGACCAAGAATGAAAGCTCTGCAGATACGAACTGCACAATTTACTATCTGTATATTTATTTCCTAAAGATAGGAAATAAACCTGTTAGGTTACTGATGGAATTTCCCCAAAATCATAAAACAAAATGTAAATGAAATCAGGATCTGGATAATTTCAGGGAAAAGGCCCACTTTTCATACACTTTACATGGATGGGCTTGCAAGAATGCTTCTTTACCTGGATTGAGGCTTCAGTTGTCTCTCTTCTTTCCATGAGAGGCAAAACCAGGATAAACTCCATGGTGATTTTTCTCCAGCTTCTTTCATGCACTCTAGGACACACTTTAGACCAGAAGTTAGCAAATTATGGCCTAGGTGGCCAAATCCAGTCCACCAAGTGTTTTTGTAAATAAGTTATTTTAGAAAACATGCCCATCCATTTGACGCCTTCAATGTGTGCTACATCAGCAGAAGTGAGTAGTTGCCTGGCCCTTTACAGAAAGTTTGCCAACTTCTGCCTTCAACTTTTCAAAGTACTCTCCCAGACATCATCTTATTCGGTCTTCATTGAAGCCTACTGAGTTAGGTTAGAGGTTCCGAAACTGCCTTGGTTCACAGCACGTTAGTATCTCAGGAAATTTTTCACAGAGCCCCTGGCCAAAAGAAATAATACCCAAGGCTCTCTTTTTAAATAGATCAAAACACTTTAATAAGTATTTATGCCTTAACAATGTAGCACCTATGGGGCACGGCACCGCCTCTCAAATCTTGGGATCAGATTGGAGACCACTAACCTAGTTTCTGTTTCACATGAAGTTCCTTGGTGTTTGCTTTTTATCAGGGTACTTTGAAAAACAGCTTTGCAAAGTGGTCACGTCATCACAAGAGATGTGGTAATCTGATGTTGGAAGCCTGAACTGCTTCAAGCTTCAAGTTTACCTGGTGTCTCATGGATATCCTGGGATTGCATTTGAAAATGTACAACCTCCCCCAGGCACTCTTTGCGAATTTGCAGTGGCCTTCCAGGGCACCTAACAGGTAGTGTGGGAGCCAGAGTTAGATCTGAAGGTCCCCGGGTTACAGATGAGGAAGGATCAGAGAGGGAAATTGACTTTCCCTCTTTACACAGCTCAGATAGCCTTCCCCTTCCACGAAGCTGTCTTCCCTGAGATTGCAGTGTGCCTGCCCCGGAGAACAATTTAGCTTGTTCCCAGGGTGCATCAGTTTTAGTCTTGCCTCACGTTGAACTCGACTGCTTGTCATACGCAAGCACTGCTTGCCTGCTAAAATCATCCGGGAGGCAGTGGAGGCTGCTACCCCCAGGACCAATGAAGCAGGGCTTGTATTGTAGGATCTTACTGCTGTTGGGATCAGCCCGTGTCCGCCTCAGGGCTGCTCTTAACGTTCTGTTGTCTCCCCAGACCAGAGTCATCCTTCTGAACTGGTGCGCGTGGTTCCTGCGAATGAAGAGGCCCGGGGAGGACAAGGTGCGCCCGGCCTGCCAGCACAAGCAGCGGCGCTGCAGCCTGGCCAGTGTGGAGATGAGCGCCGTGGCGCCGCCGCCCGCCAGCAACGGGAACCTGCTGTACATCGGCTTCCGCGGCCTGGACGGCGTGCACTGTGTCCCGACCCCCGACTCTGGGGTAGTGTGTGGCCGCATGGCCTGCTCCCCCACGCACGATGAGCACCTCCTGCACGGTGGGCAACCCCCCGAGGGGGACCCGGACTTGGCCAAGATCCTGGAGGAGGTCCGCTACATTGCCAACCGCTTCCGCTGCCAGGACGAAAGCGAGGCGGTCTGCAGCGAGTGGAAGTTCGCCGCCTGTGTGGTGGACCGCCTGTGCCTCATGGCCTTCTCGGTCTTCACCATCATCTGCACCATCGGCATCCTGATGTTGGCTCCCAACTTCGTGGAGGCCGTGTCCAAAGACTTTGCGTAACCACGCCTGGTTCTGTACATGTGGAAAACTCACAGATGGGCAAGGCCTTTGGCTTGGCGAGATTTGGGGGTGCTAATCCAGGACAGCATTACACGCCACAACTCCAGTGTTCCCTTCTGGCTGTCAGTCGTGTTGCTTACGGTTTCTTTGTTACTTTAGGTAGTAGAATCTCAGCACTTTGTTTCATATTCTCAGATGGGCTGATAGATATCCTTGGCACATCCGTACCATCGGTCAGCAGGGCCACTGAGTAGTCATTTTGCCCATTAGCCCACTGCCTGGAAAGCCCTTCGGAGAGCTCCCCATGGCTCCTCACCACCGAGACAGTTGGTTTTGCATGTCTGCATGAAGGTCTACCTGAAAATTCAACATTTGCTTTTTGCTTGTGTACAAACCCAGATTGAAGCTAAAATAAACCAGACTCACTAAATCCTTTCCAATAATTGACTGGTGGAAGGAAAACAAAAAACAAAAACTAAAAACCTCTTAGCTTTTCTGCAATTCAACTTTTTATTTTTATTTTTATTTCTATCAAAGACGGTAGAGAGAAACAGCTTGATGCTGTTTCTACATTAAAAAAAAAAAAAAAAAAAGACAGACTGTTGGTCTTACTAAGGATGTTTTTACCAGCCTGCCTGACTTCTGCAAACCTACCCTGTCAAGGAGATCAAAGGGACGCAGGTTTCTGTTTATTCTGAACAAGGGCCAGGCCCCGCGGAGTGTCTTTGGTGGATCCCAGATAACTCCTAGGTGCTGCTCTCAGACACTGAGGAGTTGAGCAAATCTGTTCTATTCTGCAGAACCCATAGGACAAATAAGAGTTCTACTAGAATTAACAGCCCAAAAGAATAGCTACAGCTAAGTGAAGCCACTTACGTGGGCTTTAAAAAAATAATGTGTTAGCTGATTCACATGCACTGGAGTTAATTAGTCTTAGAAATGTGTGCATCCATACAAATGCACAACATAAAGTGAACATATTCCTAGGCCCTTTCTGCCTGTGTCAGGGCCAGGAAGTAGAGGCTGGGAACTCTTCTGGTCCCCAGTATGGCAGGCGCCAGGGAGGGGATGGTGTGGCCCATCCCTTCTCTGGATACCTGGCCAGTGGCAGGCAGCAGGGAGGAGCTGGCCGACCCTCAGTGACTGACAAGCCAGCAATTCTGAGTTCTGGCCTTTGGGAGTCTGCCTGCTCCAAGCCAGTCCACCCCAGCTGCAGCCCCAAAAGCTGGCTCAAAGTCCTTGGGTGGATTCACTGGAGATGGGCAACTTAAAACAAGAGAAACTTTAATTTTTAAACCTAAGTGATGATACAGCTCTTCCCTTAGATTATCGCCCAGGCTGGAGTGCAGTGGCATGATCTCAGCTCACTGCAAGCTCCACCTCCCGGGTTCATGCCATTCTCCTGCCTCAGCCTCCCCCCGAGTAACTGGGAATACAGGCGCCCGCCACCATGCCTGGCTAATTTTTTGTATTTTTAGTAGAGATAGGGTTTCATCATGTTAGCCAGGATGGTCTCATTCTTATTCTTTAATGAGATCAGAGGGTAATTCACCAAGAAAGACCTCTCCTGTTCCATTGTGTCATCCAACAACTGCTCAGAGCTCAAAATTATAGAAGGCTTCTGAGCCCCTAGAGATTTTTAATTTGCTTCTAATCCCTGAGGTGGGAACATCATGAGGGAAGATTTGATTTTCAGAGTTAAATAAATTGTATGTGCTTTTCCAGCCATCTGGCTCACTCATTTCTGGGTAATGCACATGACTTTGTTTGCACTGGAGGAAGATGGAAGCTTGCGTGTGTGCGGTGTGTGTGTGTGTGTAAGTGTGAGGTACCTTGTGTGTGACAAGAGACCTCACTTACGAGAAAGTTGGTGGATCAGGACATTCCAGCCTCAGGCGGCTTGGAGCAGGATCATTCTTCAGCAGGCATTCCTTCCACATGCTATGGATGAACCATGCACAAGATTTTCGGTTTTTTTTTTTTTTCTGTTACAGTGTCTTTAGAAACAAGTAGAAGTGTTTTGATATATAAAAGGAATGCTTCATTTCTTATCATTATCCCAAAATTGATCCCTCCCACATTTTTGCTTTAAAAAGAAACCTTTTTGGTTTTGTATTTTATACAGGAACACAAAATGCAAACAAGTTGTGCATATTTTGGACTCTCAAATAACTACTCTGTCCTTTAATAAAGTAATAATAAGGAATAGATGTGCACATAGTTAGAAAAGTATGAGTGGTTAAAAACAACAGTCTCCCATACTGCCTGTTTTCTCTCTCAGAGGGGACCACTAATGAGCTTCTAAGGGCATTTCTAGAAAGGAAGAAAAGAAGATAAGAGGCCAAAGAAGGAGGGACGGGGGTTATGGAGAGAGACCTTCCCTTTCCAGCACTAACGCTCTGTGAAGGGCGCTGCACCTTGCATTCTTCATGTGGTGTTTTGTCTTAGAGGTCGTCCCATAATAACATATAAAGATCTACCTCATTCCTCCTAGTAGCTGCTTAGCATTCCATTATCTCAGCGGACTATCATTTATTTGAATAGCCTTTTATTGGTGAACATATGGATACTTCCAGTTTTTATTTTTATATACAAATCTATAATTGGCATACTTGTACATACATCTTGACATAGTTTTGTGACTAAAACGGTATAAATTCCAACTTAGAAATGGAATTGCTGGGTTTAAGGCTACATGTATTTAAAATTTTGATAGCTATTGCCAGATTATCTTCTAGAAACTGATCGAAGGATGTAACTCCATCAAGAGTACAATAAAAGGCCCAATTTCTCAGCTTTCTATAATAGCACTGGGTATTTTCAAACTTAATGTTTTTCCCAATATAATTGGTGAAACATGATATTTACGAATATTATTCTGATTTTGGTTTATTTTGTGTATAAAATGGGACATCTTTTAAAATTTTTTTGTAGTTTTAATTTTGATACATTTATATATTTTACCCAGTTCCTAATTGGGTTATTTGGCTTTTTCTTAATTTGCTCATGCACTTTGGGACATTTTTGTCTTATGTCTTTAAAATATTTTTATCATTTGTCTTTCGATGTTATTTATTGATTTCCTTATTTATTGGCATAGAGTTTAAATTTTTATGTTGTCAATTTGTGAGTATTTTTCTTTGTCGATCGTGGGATTTGTTTCCAGTTTTTAAAAGCCTTCCTCATTCTGAGATTATAAATAGACTTACTCGCATTTTCTTCTGAAACTTTATGGTTTTATTGGTTTACCTTCACATCTTCAGACTCCCTGGAATTCATTTGTTGCAGGACATGAGGGAAAAATCCATACTTTTTCCTCGAAATGGTGGTCAGCAGTATCAATAAATATGTAATAATGCATTTCTAAAATACAGTCATAGTGTTTTCCCCAGTTGTTCAAAATGCAGCCTTATTTGTAAACTAAATTTCTTTAAGTGTTTGGTTCTGTTTCTGTTCTATTTATCTCTATGAATGCCTTTCATTTCTAAAGCATTATTCATACTAATATCAGTATTTTCAAGTCAACACTCCCATCAACTCTGAATCTCTCTCTCATATGAATCTTTTTTCAATTAGAGTCACAATGAATTTACAGATTGAGTCTTCCTATTCAAAAGCATGAAATCTTGTGTTTAAGTCTAATTTTATGTAACTTAGTAGTGTTTTATGATTTTGTTCACTAAGGTGCTTTGAATTTATAGTTTATTTCTAGATGTTTTATCATTTGGCTATCATTTTCAATGGAATGATTTATTCCACTTTATTTTCTATTTTATCCCATTGTATAAGAAAGTAGTTGGTTTTTATGTATGAATGTTATAATCAACCACAAATTGTGATTCCTACTTGTTTCTAAGGTATACTTTTGACTTCTCCTTTCCAATGTGTCTCTTATTTCTTTCTTGTATCTAGTTGATTTGAGATCAGTGTTGAGTCACAGTGATTCAGGTGGCATGCTTATCTTGTTCGTGACATCAGTGGGACGTTTTAATGTCTCAGCGTTTAACTTGTATGAAGACATGTATTTTCCTTGCCATAATAAAAAAGTATCTGTGTATTCTCAAACTATTAAGACTCTCTGGGGAAAATGTAGATGTTAGATTTTTGTCAAAGCCTTCTCAGTGTCCAGAGGGATTATCAGAAGGTCTTTTCCTTTGCTCTAGTAGTATGTTTAATTATATTAATAGAATACTTAAGACCAAATCATTAGTGTATTCCTGAGATGTTCTTTACTTATTAGTATCATGACTTTGGTTATCAATATTTATAATTAAGATTCATCATTCTACATCTTGCTTTTATGTGTTTTTTGTCCAGATTTAACTTTATGCTGACTTAAAGGAAGAAATATTATAAAACAAAAACCTCTATATTCTACAATCATCTATTGGTTTTGGATTATTTTCTGCTTAAGTGTAGAAGAACTAGCTGGGGCTGTCTGGGCCTGCCGTGGTATATTTCTGGATTTTGCTCATCAGGCAAGTTAGGTCCTCGAGCCCTTCTAGAGTCCATTTTAATGACATTTTTAAAAATAAAATTAATTCCATCCACTTTTCAACATAGTTGCGTAGTTTTGTAATATATGCACTTCAGGTGTTTTCTTTCCTCTGTATTTGTGGCTTTTTCTCCTTTTTCCGTTTGTAATTGTGTGCATTTCTCCTTTCTCCCGTGCCTATTGATTTAGCTTGCCATGAGTTTTACCGGTTTATATTTTTAAGACATCGGACCCTTAGACTTTGCAGTCCGAGGACCTGTCTGCAGGGTCTTGGGGGTCCCTGTGTTGACCCAGCCCTCCCAGGTGACAGCAGTGGGCCAGCACAGCAGAAGCCACAGTTGTTGCAGGTGCTTCTCCAGCCAGTGCTGGGCCCAACACACGGTTCAGCCCTTCCTCTGGGCCCTGGGAGCCTGTGGGACAAACTAGTCGGGGCAGCATGGTGGGTTAGATGTAGCTGGTCATTGCACTCACGGGGACCCCAGTGAGTTGGAGAAAAGACTGACAGAAGCTTTAAGCAGAGCCCCCTGGAGGTGCACGCCTCAGGAAGGAACTCTTACATAATTTAACTTTTTCTCATTCCTTCATTTTTTATGTGGTACAAACCCTTCCCAACCTCCCTAGACCTTCCGTCTATCAGTGTTTCTGACCTCACCATGGATAGCTCCTTTTGTAATTACTGTTTACTTCATATGCGTTTGACCTTCTAATGCCATAGCTTGTCCTGAGTTGGGGAAGGGGTCTCAAAGTTATGGCCCCTGGGGATGCGGCCCACAGATTCTATCTTTCTCAAACTCTTTGTGACGAGACGCCCCCTGTGTTTGCACACAGCCCGCTTCGGGAATGCCACCTTTCTGCAGCGCTGCAGTTCCACACTCTTTCTTGTCTTCTCTCCACCGTCACGTGTAACATTTTGCACTGCTTTCTAAATTTCCTTTTTTTCTGCCAATGGCCTTCCTACCATTTCCTCTGCTGCTGTGTTAGAGTTCTGTGTGTTCACCTTTGATAAATACTTCCCATCAACAAATTCTGCAGGTATGTTTTCTAATTTTTAGTTTTCTGCTTTTATCTTTAATATTTTCATTCTATTTTACTTTTTAAAAATTATTGTATATTTTTAAATTTTCGTAAAATATACATAACATAAAATTTATCATTTTAACCAGTTTTAAGTGTACCATTCAGTGTCATTAAATACAGTCACATTGTTGTACAGTCTTCACAACCACATATTCCCAGAACTCTTTTCATCTTCCCAAATTGAAACCCTGTCTCTATCAAACATCAACCACTCTTGTTTTGGTCCTTTTTTTTTTTTTTTCTTTTTTTGAGACAGAGTCTCATTTTATCACCCAGGCTAGAGTACAGTGGTGCAATCTCTGCTCACTGCAACCTCTGCCTCCTGGGTCCAAACGATTCTCATGCCTCGGCCTCCAGAGTTGCTGGGATTACCAGAGCACACCACCAATCCCAGCTAATTTTATATATTTTTAGTAGAGATGGGGTTTCACCACGTTGGCCAGGCTGGTCTCGAACTCCTGGCCTCAAGTGATCTGCCTGCCTCCTCCTCCCAAAGTGCTGGAATTACAGGCGTGAGCCACCACACCTGGCCTCCTTTTGGTCTTTATAAATTTGGCTAGGTACCTGATACAAGTGGATTCATATAGTATTTGTCCTTTTGTGACTGACTTATTTCACATTACATGAAATAAGATATCCTCAGGATTCAGCCATGATCCTTTTACTTTTTTTTTTTTTTTTTTTTTGAGAGGAAGTCTCGCACTGTCACCCAGGCTGGAGTGCAATGGCGTCATCTTGGCTCACTGCAACCTCCACCTCCCGAGTTCAAGCAATTCTCCTGCCTTAGCCTCCTGAGTAGCTGGGATTACAGGCACCCACTACCACTCCCGGTTAATTTTTTTTTTTTTTTTTTTTTTGTATTTTTAGTAGAGGTTGCACCATGTTGGCCAGGCTGGTCTCAAACTCCTGACCTCAGTTGATCTACCCGCCTCAGCCTCCCAAAGTGCTGGGACTACCAGCGTGAGCCACCGTGCCCAGCCAGTTCTCTTCTACTTTTATTTTGTTGTTGTTGTTCTAAGTTATTCAATAGATGCCTAATTCATGTGTTTCCAATTATTCTTATTTAATCAGATAAGTATTTTTGGCTCTGCATTTTATTCTGATCAAAGCTTTAACAGCAGTCCATACGTCTTAATATGCAATGTTTTCATTTGTATTTTCTGGATATTCTATAAGTTGAATTGTTGTACCTTCTTCAAGCTGACTTTTTAAATAAAGGCTAGTGAAGTGAAGCAGCAGTGGAAATGGAAAAGGAGCAAAGAAACCTGTAACTGCTTGTAATCAATTCCTTGTACACCCCACTGCACTCAGACCAGCCCGAACTGAGCTTTGTTGAGTGTTTTAAAATTTCCACATTTTTTAACTTAAAAATTAATTTCTAGTTACATTACCTTATGCTTTAAGCAAAATGCCTTTTGTTCTATTTCTAATATTTATAATGTGCTGAGGTGTTTCTGAGGGGTTTGTATGATCAGTGCCTGTGAATGGGTCCCTCTCTGAGAACGACCTGGGCGGGTGTGTGGGAGTTCCACCCCTGGCTTTGCTCACTGGCCTGGCTGGGGCCACGCTCCCTGTCAGCAGCATTCCTCTTTCAATCATCCTTCCATTTACCACAGGATGTTTAACGATTTACCGGATTTTCATTCTATTTTCAATACTTAACCTTGAATTCACATTTGTCTGCTTTTAAAATCAGCCCCACTGATTTCTTATGCTGAGATGCCTCTCTCGTTCATTCTTACACTCACACAACACCTCCCGTCTCCACATGTGTGGGGAAAAATCCCACCCATTCTCCAGCACCAGCTGGGTGTCCTACCGTTCAGCTCAACTCTGACACTAACTGGAGTTAGAGCCAGCCCCACAGGGGAGGGGCTCAATTCCCAGGACTGCCCTGCTCCAGATGCCAGTTGTAAGTGGTGGGTCTGCAGGTCACCCACAGCTTCTGTCCAACTTGGCTATAAATCGGAGGTTCCCACGCCCCCCTTCTTAGGTCCAGTCATTTGGTGGAACAGCGCAGAGAACCCAGGGCAACACTACTATGTTTATCCACTTATTATAAAGAATACAGCCAAATGGGAGAGAAATACAGGAAAAGATATGGTGGGGGTGGGTATGGAGCTGCCATGGCCTCTCCAGGAGCACCACCACGTGTTCCCCAACCCTGAAGCTCCCGCACCTGTACTTAGGAATTTTTAAGGAGGCTTCATCATGTAGGCATGATTGATTATTGATTCAATCTCCAACTCCTCTTTCCTCCCTAGAGGATGGGGTGTGGGGCTGAAAGTTCCAAGCTTCTAACCATGGCTTGGTCTTTCTGGTGACCAGCCCTCATCTAGGATTCCACCAAGAGTCGTTCATTAGAACAAAAGATGCTCCTATCACCCAGGAAATTCCAAGGGATTGGAAGCTCTGTACCAGGAACCCAGTCAAAGATGCTCCCAACCAATATTAGAACAAAAGATGCTCCCAGTACCCCCATCACTCAGGAAATTACAAGGGTATTAGGAGCTCTGTGTCAGAAACTGGAGACACAGACCAATATGTATTTCTTATTATTTTATACTCAATTTTATGTTTAACCTTTTTGAGGCACTTTGTTTTAGGTTTATTTATCTTGGATCTGCACTTATATTTTTAATACATATTGCTGATATATTTGGTTTAATATTTTTTTCAATATCTGTAATTAATATTTCTTTTGCATTCCCTTTTGGATTTTTTTATTTCCCCCCTCCTTCTGATTATGTGCAATCCTTTTGTTAAAATGAAAGATTTATTGCTTTTATGTGTTTAAGTGGTTACCTATATAATTTTACATAATTCAACCTATAGTTCATGATTTATCAACCTGACAGTTTCTATTAATTCTCCACTTCTCACTTCAAACCCCAATATATTATTAGTTATCTTTTTGTTTTTAGGTTTTCTGCAGGTTCCTTATACAACACTCTGTGATATGCTTTAATATTTATCAATTCAGAAGAGTATCTGTTGACTACTATTGAGAGAAAATTGAAAGATGTTTAATAGGATGGGCAATTCATTCATTTTGTGGTGATCTTCCCTTTTACCTAATTTTCATAGTGCAATTATCTTTGTTATTTTTACAAATTCATGAGTTATAACATTTACTTTCTGAAATTAATTTCCTACCATCACATACATGGTATATTTATTTATGCAAAATGAATTTTCCTTCTTTTTCCTCATTTTGGCTTGAATATGCAATGATGTGTTTTATTCCTCTTATTCCCTTTGGAGATCTGAAATTCTTCCTCTATGATGGTAGCTTTGTTATTTTTGGCATTGTCTATTCTGTTTCCTGCTATTTACAGTTCAGGTAGGTTTTTTTTTTTTTCTTCCCGTTCTGAAATGAGTTTTTGCTCTTCAATTTGTTTCCAAAACTCTGCAATTTACCTTTCATTTTGCTTTTCTATCTTTTAGCTCTTTTTTATTGAAATCGATTTCTTACTAACTTCTTACACAACATTTTGGAGAACTTTCTTGCATGGATTCAGTTATATATTTTGCTGCAGAATGAAATCTTTGTCTTTCTTTACAGACCATGGTCCACCCTGTGTTCACTGTTCCCCTGCAGTGCATTTGCAGGAATGCCTTGCCATTTATTTCACTCTTACTTTTGCTTAATTTGGGCAGCTCCATGTGGATCTTTAAATTCCTCTGAAAAAGCAGGTCTCAGCCCCTTTCAGACTCTGTGCTCCCCCTTCTTCCTGCTTTCCTGGCCTGGGGTTCTGAGAGGAAGGCCAGCCCCTAGGATGGACAGCCTGGGCGTTTTTGTCTTTACTTTGTTGCTGTTGATGTTGGTCTGTTGGTGCTCCAATACATCTTAGGCATTACCCTGGAAGGAGATCTATATCATTATTTATTGCTCTAATTCATGAAATTCTGGGTCTTTGGGGTGAGTGAACTCTTATTCAGCTTTCTCAGTTAGCCGCGTACTCCCGGTGAAATTTCCCAACCTCTCTCCTTACACCCTTCAACCTCCAGTCAGGACAGATAAAATGTCCATGGATTTGGCTGTTAGGGCTGGTAGTTGGAGGGCTGGTGGGAGTAGGAATTTGGTTATAGTCACATCCCCTTTCCTTCCTGCCCATAGGGAAGACACCTGAAGACCTCCTGCCTGTGACTTTCCTGCATCTGCTGAGATCCTTAGTGGGAGGCGGGACTTCTGCACTCATGGGCTCTCTTAAAACTTTTTCCCTCCAACTTACAACTTCCCTTCTCAATGAGCCTCACTCGAGACTGGCAGCGTAGGGTGGGGAGAGGGATCCGCTATTTGGGTTGGAGGGACACGCGGGGTGGGTCGCACTGATTCAGAGTCTGTCCTTTGCAGGCCCACACCACCTTCTTCTCTGTGTCCTCCTGGCTGCAGCGCTTTGAAGAGTGTGGCAGGAGGCTCCATCATTCTGTGTTGCTGCTGCTGTTTGCTATTGTTGCTTTTTTGGGCAGCGATATCTCTGATCCTGCCTTCCTCCACTCGCAACGCGTTGATAGTCACTGACCACATATTCAGGGCAATGGGTAACAATGGAGAGAGAGTGTGTTATGTCTCAGCACCAAGGCTGCTGGTAAATTATATTCCCAGTAATTTTAGAAGATTGTGGCAGATGCTTTTCACTTCATGTTGAAGCTATTCATCTTTACATTGAAGGACCTTATGAAGCTACAGAGTTTAATCTTTTTCCAACTATATTTGCCCCCTTTTCTTTCTGTGGTAAATGAAAACGGCCAAGAATTCGCCATTTAGTATCTTTGTATTAATATGAATAGTGTAATTGTTTTTCAAACACATTATTTTAAGCTGTCATTTAAGATAAAGATAGTCTTGGTGAAATCAATATGTCAGGGTTAAAGTGAGTATGTTTTTCTCCTACACATTTTGGTAATTACCATACAGTCACCCCCATCTGTGGCGTTACTTTCTTTTCTTTTTTTTTAGACAGAGTCTTGCTCCGTCACCCAGGCTGGAGTGCAGTGGCGCGATCTCGGCTCACTGCAAGCTCTGCCTCCCAAGTTCACGCCATTCTCCTGCCTCAGCCTCCCAAGTAGCTGGGACTACAGGCGCCTGCTACCACGCCCAGCTAATTTTTATATTTTTAGTAGAGCTGGGGTTTCACCATGTTGGCCAGGCTGGTCTCGAACTCCTGACCTCAGATGATCTGCCCAGCTCAGCCTCCCAAAGTGCTGGGATTACAGGCGTGAGCCACCACACATGTCCTGTGGTGTTTCTTTCTGTGGCTTCAGTTATCTGTGGTCAACCACAGTCAGAAAATAGGCGAAGACAATAAGATGTTTTGTGACAGAGACCACATTCACATAACTTTCATTACAGCATATGGTTATGATTGTCCTATTTTATTGCTAGTAAGTGCTGTTAATTTCTTACTGTGCCTAATTTATACATTAAATTTTATCATAGGTATGTATATATCAGAGAAAAAACATATGTAGGGTTCACTACTACCCAAGGTTTCAAGCATCTACTGTGGGTCTTGGAACATATCCCTGTGGATAAGAAGGCACTACATTACAATATAGACTTCTGTTGTACTTTTCAAACATCATAATGCTCAAGAAATTACCATCCACTTGGAATTAGAATTTGCTGCAGTCCCAGCCATACTTCAGTATGCCCCCTGTGCCCTGGTCAACCTTGTTGGTTCTCTGGCTCCCGTGTGACCATATTAAACCCCGCCAGCATCCTCATTGCCAAGCCCCAGGTGGTGTCTGGAGAGGGACGTGGGCTTAGTCACTTAAAAACACAGTGCCTCAAATCCTTTGTGGAAAAGACAAGTTCATGCTATTCAATTAGATTCAGAATTTCCAAATATACAGAAGCTCAGAGCTCGTCTATGGCATCAGGTTCCAAGCTTTTTTTTTTTTAAAGGTTAGTTCAAGTACAAAAGATAAGAGTATTTGTTCCAGAGACAGGTCTGGGGGACTTTGGTGTCTGGCCTTAAAGAGAAATTGTGAAGGAGTCATTTTGAAAATGGTGTTGGTGTGTACTGGGGCCTCAGCCAAAGAGACTTGGGCTCAGGAGGCAGTGGGTCAGCCAGGCAGATGGGGGCTCATCCGCGTGTCTGTGACTGGGGGAGACAGGGACCCTGCCATCAGGAGGGAGCAGGAGTGGCAGCAGTGGGGGCCAGCAGTAGGTGTTTGTTCCAGGTTCCCTGAGCTCTCCTGAGATTCTTCCAGACTCCTGGAAATAACTGGGCAGAGGAGAGCCAAAGCCAACTGGCTGAGGTCAACCCACAGCTGCAATTCAGATTCACATGGATGTGATCCCATTGAACTGCAGGCTGAGATTCAGTCCATTCACCTGAGACATGTGAGACCCCGTTGTGGTCTGAATTAAGATTCTTCAAATTTATATGTTGAAGCCCAACCACCGTACCTCAGACTGTGATCTTATTTGGAGAGGGCCTTTAAAGAGGTAATTGAGTTAAAATCAGGCCATGAGGGTGAACCTTAATCCATTCTGACTGGTGTCCTTATAAGAAGATGAGGTTAGGATACAGACACAGTCAGAGGGGTGATCGTCTGAGGCACAGGGAAGACAGCCATCTACAAGCCGAAGAGAGAGGCTGCAGGAGAAGCCAGCCTTGCCCACCTTGATCTTGGACTTCCAGCCTCCAGCACTGTGAGGAAATGCACGTCTGTGTTTAAGCCCCCAGGCTGTGGTTCTTTGTTGTGGCAGCCCCAGCCTCCAAGGCAGGCATCTGTCAGGTGCTGTCCCCTCTGCCAGACACAGGGGGTGCAGTCATGAGAAAGCTTATCTTAGCTGGAAGGAGCTCGTTCTTAGGAAGGGAATTAGGTAAAAAGAGAGTAAGGGCCACACAGGGAGGGATCCCAGCCTTAGACAATCATGGGAGACTTCCTAGAGTTGGTGGCGCCTCAGGTAAAATCAGATGAGGGGATTGAGGCCCACCCCAGCGACTTGCCCAGCCTCACACAAATAGCTGTTTGAACTGAGACTAGGAACTCAACATCCTGAGGCTGCTTTCGTTAACCTCAAACTTACTTTGTCCATTCTTCTTTGTAAATGGCAGGGAATGGAGAATGGCACCCTGTGTTTTGGTGTCTGCAGTGGAAGGGGGTGTAGACCCCTCTGGCTGGCTTGATTCAAAGTATCGGTTCCGTCACTGGTATGTGCTGTCCTCTGTTGCTATGAAAATTTATGGCTAAAACCATCTTGCTTTGAAAGGTTAACTTTTTTTTTTTTTGAATTGGAGTTTGGCTCTTGTTGTCCAGGCTGGAGTGCAATGGCGCGATCTCGGCTCACTGCAGCCTCTGCCTCCTGGGTTCCAGCGACTCTCCTGCCTCAGCCTCCAAAGCAGCTGGGATTATAGGCATGAGCCACCACACCCAACAACTCTTTAATACCATGATTCCTGGGACACTAGTGGTCCCTAAAACTGCTTTTACTTGGGGCATGGGCAGGGCATGGGCTGAGAAGGAACATCCCCCGGGCCTTGCAGTCACAGTTTCCCATGGGATGTTTTAGCGTGGTTAAGCGCTGTTTAGCGTGTTAAGGCACTGCAGCAAGAATAAGCATGCTGGGTCCTGATTCTGAAAACCTCTCTTTAAGGCACTCAGGCCTTGCGGTTCTGTTTTCTCTACACTCTCTGTGGTGCCTCTAGTACCGTGATTAAAAACAGTGGCCCCACAAACACGACCTCACCTTCAAATCCAACTCTGCCCCCTGCCGACTGACCTCCAGCACACTGCTCACGTTATCCAAACTCGGGTGTCCCCACGTTAAAGGAGTGACTATAGTACTACCTGCCAAGACACTGTCGCAAGGACAGCCCAGAACACAAGACGCACTCGAAAATGTCAGCTAAGTTTATTTTCCGCAGGATCAAACCTCACTCCTCCCACATAGGAGATGCCATCTTCTTGTTTTAAAGGCTTTATGACAAACAGGCATTCCTTTGAAGTTTAACAAATTCCTCCTGCCACCATGACAATGACGTCTAGCAACACATTCTCTGGTGAGAAAAAGGAAAGTTTAGAAAGACATTGTCAGTTGTCTCTTCCTAAGTGATATTTACCAGGACCCAAATACCAAAAAGCACAGCTCAGAAACACAGGGGCTAGGCCGGGCACAGTGGCTCACGCCTGTAATCCCATCACTTTGGGAGGCTGAGGCGGGCAGATCACCTGAGGTCAGGAGTCCGAGACCAGCCTGGACAACACAGAAAAACCCCATCTCTACTAAAAATACAAAAATTAGCCAGGCATTGTGGTGCATCCCTGTAATCCCAGCTACTTGGGAGGCTGAGGCAGGAGAATCACTTGAACCCAAGAGGCGGAGGTTGCTGTGAGCCAAGATTGTGCCATTGCACTCCAGCCTGGGCAACAGAGCGAGACCATGTCTCAAAAAATAAATAAATAAATAAATAAAAATAAATAAATAAATACAGGGGCTTTGGCAGTGGGTCCAGGAGGCATCTGGTGAGGTCATTAGGGAGGGGTCATTACACATGGAAAGCAGCAGAGACCGTTTACTGAGTACATATTTGTTGAATGCTTTTAGGACATGAGATGAGAAGGGGGAGAAATACTCACGATGTGGAGCTGGAGGTGCGTGGGCAGCCGGTGAACAGTAATGGAACATTGACACAAGCCAGGTGGGACGAGTGTGGTGGGATGGCCTGCGAGAGGGGAGCAGAGGGGACAGGGCTGGGCAAGTACCCAGAGGCAGCCGCCTGGTGCACCTTGAGAGGTATGCATGAGAGGAACACCAGAGAGGGCCAGGGTGGGCAGGGTGGCGGTGGGCAGGAGGAGTGAGGGTGGGAGAAGGCACTGTCTGGGATGGGAGATGGGGGTCTTCGGGATTCCCTAGTGCTTTCCCTAAGAGCAGTAGGGGCGACTGAAGGCTCTGGGCCAGAGAGTGGTATAATTCAGTTGTTTTTAGATTCTGGAAAAAGAATTGGGAGCTACAGCATATTCTTTCCACTTCTGCCCTAAACTTTGTTGAGTCCCATATGCTGGGAGGCTGACCACGTGTGGCAGTGGGAGCTGGATCTCCCTCCAGTCTTAAGGTGAGATGTAGGATGTGATTTATAGGTCAGATATGAGATGGAAAATGGCAGCCGACAGGACATGGCTGATGAGGGAATAACCTGCTCAAAGCCTGGGACAGAAGGACTAGGAGGAAGAAATGTTGAAAGAGGGTTTCAAGGCATTTTCCAGGAGAGTATGATCTAAAGCATCTTCTCTATCTCCCCAGGTGAATGTTTGCTAGCGCTGCAGAGCCCCTCAGTCACTCAATCGGTGCAGACGGGTGGCAGAAACCACTGGAGTCATGTGAATGGGGACACTTTCCTATGAACAGCGGTTACACAGGCAAAGGCACCCGCCCCTAAAAGAAGTCAAAGACTTTTTTTCTGGAACCAAGATGGCCGAATAGGAACAGCTCCGGTCTACAGCTCCCAGCGTGAGCGACGCAGAAGACAGGTGATTTCTGCATTTCCATCTGAGGTACCGGGTTCATCTCACTAGGGAGTGCCAGACAGTGGGCGCAGGACAGTGGGTGCAGTGCGCTGTGCGCGAGCCGAAGCAGGGCGAGGCATTGCCTCACTCAGGAAGCACAAGGGGTCAAGGAGTTCCCTTTCCTAGTCAAAGAAAGGGGTGACAGACAGCACCTGGAAAATCGGGTCACTCCCACCCGAATACTGCGCTTTTCCGACGGGCTTAAAAAACGGCACACCAGGAGATTATATCCTGCACCTGGCTTGGAGGGTCCTACGCCCACAGAGTCTCGCTGATTGCTAGCACAGCAGTCTGAGATCAAACTGCAAGGCGGCAGCGAGGCTAGGGGAGGGGCGCCCGCCATTGCCCAGGCTCGCTTAGGTAAACAAAGCAGCCAGGAAGCTCCAATTGGGTGGAGCCCACCACAGCTCAAGGAGGCCTGCCTGCCTGCCTCTGTAGGCTACACCTCTGGGGGCAGGGCACAGACAAACAAAAAGACAGCAGTAACCTCTGCAGACTTAAATGTCCCTGTCTGACAGCTTTGAGGACAGCAGTGGTTCTCCCAGCACACAGCTGGAGATCTGAGAACGGGCAGACTGCCTCCTCAAGTGGGTCCCTGACCCCTGACCCCCGAGCAGCCTAACTGGGAGGCACCCCCAAGTAGGGGCAGACTGACACCTCACACGGCCGGGTACTCCTCTGAGACAAAACTTCCAGAGGAACGATCAGACAGCAGCATTCGCGGTTCACGAAAACCACTGTTCTGCAGACACCGCTGCTGATACCCAGGCAAACAGGGTCTGGAGTGGACCTCTAGCAAACTCCAACAGACCTGCAGCTGAGGGTCCTGTCTGTTAGAAGGAAAGCTAACAAACAGAAAGGACATCCACACCAAAACCCATCTGTACATCACCATCATCAAAGACCAAAAGTAGATAAAACCACAAAGATGGGGAAAAAACAGAGCAGAAAAACGGGAAACTCTAAAAAGCAGAGCACCTCTCCTCCTCCAAAGGATCGCAGTTCCTCACCAGCAATGGAACAAAGCTGGACAGAGAATGACTTTGACGAGTTGGGAGAAGAAAGCTTCAGACGATCAAACTACGAGCTACAGGAGGAAATTCAAACCGAAGGCAAAGAAGTTAAAAACTTTGAAAAAAATTTAGACGAATGTATAACTAGAATAACCAATACAGAGAACCAATACAGAACCAATACATCTGCTTAAAGGAGCAGATGGAGCTGAAAGCCAAGACTCGAGAATTACGTGAAGAATGCAGAAGCCTCAGGAGCCGATGCAATCAACTGGAAGAAAGGGTATCAGCGATGGAAGATGAAATGAATGAAATGAAGCGAGAAGGGAAGTTTAGAGAAAAAAGAATAAAAAGAAATGAACAAAGCCTCCAAGAAATATGGGACTATGTGAAAAGACCAAATCTACGTCTGATTGGTGTACCTGAAAGTGACGGGGAGAATGGAACCAAGTTGGAAAACACTCTGCAGGATATTATCCAGGAGAACTTCCCCAATCTAGCAAGGCAGGCCAACGTTCAGATTCAGGAAATACAGAGAACACCACAAAGATACTCCTCGAGAAGAGCACCTCCAAGACACATAATTGTCAGATTCACCAAAGTTGAAATGAAGGAAAAAATGTTAAGGGCAGCCAGAGAGAAAGGTCGGGTTACCCACAAAGCGAAGCCCATCAGACTAACAGCGGATCTCTCGGCAGAAACTGCAAGCCAGAAGAGAGTGCGGGCCAATATTCAACATTCTCAAAGAAAAGAATTTTCAACCCAGAATTTCATATCCAGCCAAACTAAGCTTCATAAGTGAAGGAGAAATAAAATCCTTTACAGACAAGCAAATGCTGAGAGATTTTGTCACCACCAGGCCTGCCCTAAAAGAGCTCCTGAAGGAAGCACTAAACATGGAAAGGAACAACTGGTACCAGCCGCTGCAAAATCATGCCAAAATGTAAAGACCATCGAGACTAGGAAGAAACTGCATCAACTAACGAGCAAAATAACCAGCTAACATAATGACAGGATCAAATTCACACATAACAATATTAACTTTAAATGTAAATGGACTAAATGCTCCAATTAAAAGACACAGACTGGCAAATTGGATAAAGAGTCAAGATCCATCAGTGTGTTGTATTCAGGAAACCCACCTCACATGCAGAGACACACATAGGCTCAAAATAAAAGGATGGAGGAAGATCTACCAAGCAAGTGGAAAACAAAAAAAGGCAGGGGTTGCAATCCTAGTCTCTGATAAAACAGACTTTAAACCAACAAAGATCAAAAGAGACAAAGAAGGCCATTACACAATGGTAAAGGGATCAATTCAACAAGAAGAGCTAACTATCCTAAATATATATGCACCCAATACAGGAGCACCCAGATTCATAAAGCAAGTCCTGAGTGACGTACAAAGAGACTTAGACTCCCACACATTAATAATGGGAGACTTTAACACCCCACTGTCAACATTAGACAGATCAACGAGACAGAAAGTCAACAAGCATACCCAGGAATTCAACTCAGCTCTCCACCAAGCAGACCTAATAGACATCTACAAAACTCTCCACCCCAAATCAACAGAATATACATTTTTTTCAGCACCACACCACACCTATTCCAAAATTGACCACATATTTGGAAGTAAAGCTCTCTTCAGCAAATGTAAAAGAACAGAAATTATAACAAACTGTCTCTCAGAGCACAGTGCAATCAAACTAGAACTCAGGATTAAGAATCTCACTCAAAACCGCTCAACTACATGGAAACTGAACAACCTGCTCCTGAATGACTACTGGGTACATAACGAAATGAAGGCAGAAATAAAGATGTTCTTTGAAACCAACGAGAACAAAGACACAACATACCAGAATCTCTGCGACGCATTCAAAGCAGTGTGTACAGGGAAATTTATAGCACTAAATGCCCACAAGAGAAAGCAGGAAAGATCCAAAATTGACACTCTAACATCACAATTAAAAGAACTAGAAAAGCAAGAGCAAACACATTCAAAAGCTAGCAGAAGGCAAGAAATAACTAAAATCAGAGCAGAACTGAAGGAAATAGAGACACAAAAAACCCTTCAAAACATTAATGAATCCAGGAGCTGGTTTTTTGAAAGAATCAACAAAATTGATAGACCGCTAGCAAGACTAATAAAGAAAAAAAGAGAGAATCAAATAGACGCAATAAAAAATGATAAAGGGGATATCACCACCGATCCCACAGAAATACAAACTACCATCAGAGAATACTACAAGCACCTCTACGCAATTAAACTAGAAAATCTAGAAGAAATGGATAAATTCCTCGACACATACACTCTCCCAAGACTAAACCAGGAAGAAGTTGAATCTCTGAATAGACCAATAACAGGAGCTGAAATTGTGGCAATAATCAATAGCTTACCAACCAAAAAGAGTCCAGGACCAGATGGATTCACAGCCGAATTCTACCAGAGGTACAAGGATGAACTGATACCATTCCTTCTGAAACTATTCCAATCAATAGAAAAAGAGGGAATCCTCCCTAACTCATTTTATGAGGCCAGCATCATCCTGATACCAAAGCCGGGCAGAGACACAACCAAAAAAGAGAATTTTAGACCAATATCCCTGATGAACATCGATGCAAAAATCCTCAATAAAATACTGGCAAACGGAATCCAGCAGCACATCAAAAAGCTTATCCACCATGATCAAGTGGGCTTCATCCCTGGGATGCAAGGCTGGTTCAATATACGCAAATCAATAAATGTAATCCAGCATATAAACAGAACCAAAGACAAAAACCACATGATTATCTCAATAGATGCAGAAAAGGCCTTTGACAAAATTCAACAACCCTTCATGCTAAAAACTCTCAATAAATTAGGTATTGATGGGACATATCTCAAAATAATAAGAGCTATCTATGACAAACCCACAGCCAATATCATACTGAATGGGCAAAAACTGGAAGCATTCCCTTTGAAAACTGGCACAAGACAGGGATGCCCTCTCTCACCACTCCTATTCAACATAGTGTTGGAAGTTCTGGCCAGGGCAATTAGGCAGGAGAAGGAAATAAAGGGTATTCAATTAGGAAAAGAGGAAGTCAAATTGTCCCTGTTTGCAGACGACATGATTGTATATCTAGATAACCCCATTGTCTCAGCCAAAAATCTCCTTAAGCTGATAAGCAACTTCAACAAAGTCTCAGGATACAAAATCAATGTACAAAAATCACAAGCATTCTTATACACCAATAACAGACAAACAGAGAGCCAAATCATGAGTGAACTCCCATTCGCAATTGCTTCAAAGAGAATAAAATACCTAGGAATCCACCTTACAAGGGACGTGAAGGACCTCTTCAAGGAGAACTACAAACCACTGCTCAATGAAATGAAAGAGGATACAAACAAATGGAAGAACATTCCATGCTCATGGGTAGGAAGAATCAATATCGTGAAAATGGCCACACTGCCCAAGGTAATTTATAGATTCAATGCCATCCCCATCAAGCTACCAATGACTTTCTTCACAGAATTGGAAAAAACTACTTTAAAGTTCATATGGAACCAAAAAAGAGCCTGCATCGCCAGGTCAATCCTAAGCCAAAAGAACAAAGCTGGAGGCATCACGCTACCTGACTTCAAACTATACTACAAGGCTACAGTAACCAAAACAGCATGGTACTGGTACCAAAACAGAGATATAGATCAATGGAACAGAACAGAGCCCTCAGAAATAACGCCGCATATCTACAACTATCTGATCTTTGACAAACCTGAGAAAAACAAGCAATGGGGAAAGGATTCCCTATTTAATAAATGGTGCTGGGAAAACTGGCTAGCCATATGTAGAAAGCTGAAACTGGATCCCTTCCTTATACCTTATACAAAAATCAATTCAAGATGCATTAAAGACTTAAACGTTAGACCTAAACCCATAAAAACCCTAGAAGAAAACCTAGGCATTACCATTCAGGACATAGGCACAGGCAAGGACTTCATGTCTAAAACACCAAAAGCAATGGCAACAAAAGCCAAAATAGACAAATGGGATCTAATTAAACTAAAGAGCTTCTGCACAGCAAAAGAAACTACCATTAGAGTGAACAGGCAACCCACAATATGGGAGAAAATTTTCGCAACCTACTCATCTGACAAAGGGCTAATATCCAGAATCTACAATGAACTCCAACAAATTTACAAGAAAAAAACAACCCCATCAAAAAGTGGGCAAAGGACATGAACAGACAGTCTCAAAAGAAGACATTTATGCAGCCAAAAAACACATGAAAAAATGCTCACCATCACTGGCCATCAGAGAAATGCAAATCAAAACCACAATGAGATACCATCTCACACCAGTTAGAATGGCAATCATTAAAAAGTCAGGAAACAACAGGTGCTGGAGAGGATGTGGAGAAATAGGAACACTTTTACACTGTTGGTGGGACTGTAAACCAGTTCAGCCATTGTGGAAGTCAGTGTGGTGATTCCTCAGAGATCTAGAACTAGAAATACCATTTGACCCAGCAATCCCATTACTGGGTATATACCCAAAGGACTATAAATCATGCTGCTATAAAGACACACGCACACATATGTTTATTGTGGCACTATTCACAATAGCAAAGACTTGGAACCAAGCCAAATGTCCAACAATGATAGACTGGATTAAGAAAATGTGGCACATATACACCATGGAATACTATGCAGCCATAAAAAATGATGAGTTCATGTCCTTTGTAGGGACATGGATGAAATTGGAAATCATCATTCTCAGTAAACTATCGCAAGGACAAAAAACCAAACACTGCATATTCTCACTCATAGGTGGGAATTGAACAATAACACATGGACACAGGAAGGGGAACATCACACTCTGGGGACTGTTGTGGGGTGGGGGGAGGGGGGAGGGATAGCATTGGGAGATATACCTAATGCTAGATGACGAGTTAGTGGGTGCAGCACACCAGCATGTCACGTGTATACATATGTAACTAACCTGCACATTGTCACATGTACCCTAAAACTTAAAGTATAAAAAAAAAAAAAAAAAAGAAGTCAAAGAGGGCTATCAGGTGTAACAGGCAACCATGTCAAGTGATTGCCAGCCCTGGGGCAGTGAGGAAAGGGCTGAGATTTTCCATTGTTTGATTTATTTCGAGAGAACCTGTCATTGCTGAAGCATTTTTAATGGCAGATACTTTAGAGCCCTTGTCAGATAATTCCAACATCTGATAGTTGGGTCTTGGCAGCAGCTGATCGTGGTGCTCATGCTGGTGGTGATCTCTGCACTCTTGGAAGGATGGTGAGTTTTCAGTTGTTTGGTGGACGTTCTGCCTGTCATGTTAGGTGACCTGGGTCCCCTGTGACTCTTTTGCTTTAGAAGGCAGTGACCTGTTTAGGTTTGGCACATGGGTCCTGGCCCATCTTGCAGGCTGTGGTTCTACTGGCATCTAATTTCCAGAGTCGCTGCTGTGTTGTTCTCTCCTGCTTGGTTTCTCGGGGGTCCTTGTGGCTCTCAGGATCCCTCCTGATGCAGGCTGAGGGGCAGACGGAGTTTCCCCAGGCTCTGCCCTGAGTGTCTCCCAGTGGGGCCCAAGGCTCAGGCTGTCTGAAGAAGAGGCTTGGATCCCCTGCAGGTGCCCACCAACCAGATATTTCTGGGTGGGGAGGAGGGGCTGTCAGTACACAAGGAGGGGAGCCACCCTGGGGCCACTTATGCGGACAGGGCTTCAGGTCCCTCCTCCGTCAGGTGGCGTCAGGCTGGCCTGGTATTGCCAGAGGGCCCTGTTCCATCAGAGCGGGAGCAAGCCTAGCTGGCTGCCATGGGTGCTAGGCTGGGGTCACCTTCTGTTGGTCTTGGGGCCATAAAGCACCCTGTTGCTGTGCCTTCCTTCTCCCCCTGGGGTCCCAAAACCAGCCCGCCTTCCTCTGAACACCTTTCGGAGTTCTGGTTGCCTCTGAGCCTGGTTTCTGGTTGTGCTTTGAGCAGCAGGGAGGGGCCTGCCCATCTAATTGGGACCAGCAGTGAGAGGGGGTTTCTGTGTCCCTGAGGAGAAGGATGCAGTGTGAGGGGAAGGTGGGCTGTCTGGAAATGCTTGTGGAATGAAGGAAGTGTTCAGGTACTGGAGAGATGCAGGTGCGGCTTGTGGATAGAGGCTGCCTAACTTAGGGAACTACCTCGCTGTAGGTGTGTTTGGGGAAAGTGAGTTTCCTGGATACTGATGGGGACAGACACAATCAGCCTCTTGTGGTCTCCCAGGATTTGGCTCAGTGGCTACAACACATCATTGCACACTTGAATACGGCGAGACCTGAATGCCTTTAGCCCAAGACCCTTTTATTACCTTTCCTTTATGCATCCTATAATTTGAACTATTGTCTCCACCAAATTATTCCTTCCCAGCATTTCTGGAGAAAGAAATGTAATGAAATATTATTCAGTAAAATCCCACAGTAAACAAGAACACACAGTGCTAACTTAGTCCTGGTGTTCATCAGTTATTATTGCTCTAAGAAGACAAAGGTGGCCCCTAATATGCAGGAGCTGGCCCGGTGCCCACAGCTGGGCCTTGGTCTCTCCTGATGAACATAAACAGTTCACTGAACAGGAACGGTCAGGGAAGCCACTTGGTGAGTGTGACGGAATAAGACAAGAACAAGACTGGCCAGGCGCGGTGGTTCACACCTGTAATCCCAGCACTTTGGGAGGCCGAGGCGGGTGGATCACAAGGTCAGGCGATCGAGACCATCCTAGCTAACATGGTGAAACCCCGTCTCTACTAAAATTACAAAAAAATTAGTCGGGCGCGGTGGCAGGTGCCTGTAGTCCCAGCTACTTGGGAGGCTGAGGCAGGAGAATGGCGTGAACCTGGGAGGTGGAGCTTGCAGTGAGCCGAGATCATGCTACTGCACTCCAGCTTGGGTGACAGAGCGAGACTCTGTCTCAAAAAAAAAAAAAAAAAAAAAGAACAAGACCATTATGTCATTAGGTCTGAACACAGACAAGGCAAGAACATGGTTCAAACCATAAAAGTGACTTAATATCCCCCTCTCCCAGCTCATGCTAGTGAGTGCTGCTGCTTTATAGTTAAAAGCCTGCTGCCTGGCTCTGGTCTGCCTTCTTCCAGGTAAGATTAACCCATGCATCGCATAGCATCCCCTTCTTCCAAACACCAACCAAATCTGGAGCAAAGCCCCACTTCCTTGAACGCTCTCCCCAGATCACCCAACATGCCCCAGTTCTGTAATGAGTCCTGGCAAACCCCCTCTGCCTGAGACACCCCACAGTTCCCGCTGGTGTGCCCTGCGTGTAGTCTCTCTCCCTCCAACAAATAGTAAATCCAACTCGTTCAACTATAGGCCTGATCCTGAGGTCTTTGGCTGGAGGACGTTTTCACTTATAGGATTCATAGGCTAATTTCCAGAGCTCTTTTGAAATTGGTAAAAGAGTTTACATTTTCCACCTTACCTGGCCACCAGGCTCCTGATGGCATAATGTCAGGATTAAACCTTAGGATTTAAAGTCTATGATTCTGGAACACTCAGGATTTTAACTTTCCAGCTCAGGACATCCTTGCATTTTTTTATGGTGTCTGGTTAAGACTAGCAGTGACTTCATGAAGGTGGAAATCATGCATTCTTCATTCATTAATCTGATGATTTCACTACTGACAAATGAAAATTACCCAGGCCTTTCAACTTCCCTTCCCAGCTCTCCTGCTGTTTGACCAAAAGACACACATTCTACTGATTTTCAATGACTATTTATCTGCACTGAAAGAACATTTTTCAGAAAACAGAAAGAGACATTATAATGGGTATTTACCACTGGTATGTTCATAGAACAGCCCCAAAATTGTTAACTTCACATGCATATTAGCATAAAACAAAATAATAAATAGGTAAAATTTACTTTAAATTTCTGTTTACAGATTTTTAACAAAATGGCACGGAAAGGGGCTTCCAAGCCAGAAAGCCTTGGCACATCAGGTGAGCCTTTGACACACTGCCTGAGCAGCCTACGGGCTGTCCCATCTGGAACTGGTGCTAGAGTTAGGGAAGCTTCAGGAAGAGACCGTGGGATCTACGCAGCTGTTCTGTTTTTCCTTCCTGAGAGTGTGAGGCCGGGAGGAGACATCATCTGAACGTGCACTTCCTTTCTTTCTTTCTTTTTGAGACAGAGTCTCACTCTGTCACCCAGGCTGGAGCATAGTGGCGTGATCTCGGCTCACTGCAACCTCTGCCTCCCAGGTTCAAATGATTCTCCTGCCTCAGCCTCCTGAGTAGCTGGGATTTCAGGTGCCCACCACCACGCCCAGCAAATTTTTTGTACTTTTAGTACAGATGGGGTTTCACCATGTTGGCCAGGCTGGTCTCAAACTCCTGACCTCAGGTGATCTGCCCACCTCAGTCTCCCAAAGGTGTGAGCCACCACGCCCAGCCTGATTGTGCACTTTCTACAAGTGCAAGACCCGGCCCTCCTGGACTTCATGGTTGTGGTCTGTGCTCTTTGTATATCACAAATTTGAAGGCCTTTAGCCTAAGACCCTTTTATTACCTTTCCTTTATGCATCTTATAATTTGAAATATCATCTCCACCAAATTATTGTGTAATTATATAATTGCCACTTTAACTACTTCACACGTCAATAAATTTAAAAAGCCTTTAAGTGTGTATTTTTGATATGATAAAATTGTGATAGGGTTCTGGAAACTGTGTTCTTCAGATTTGGTGGAGGGGCTTGGGAAAAGGTAGGGCAATAGGTATTTTTTAAAAAGAAAGAAACTAAAAAACTTAAGTTGTTTATTTGAAATTCAAAATTGTCACTGCGTATCCAGTGTTATCTGCCCACCTGAGAGGAGGTAGAGTGGGAAGGTCATCACAAAAGAACCCGAAAAGCTGGGCAGGGGAAAGGGGTGTTCTGCATTAAGGAAGGCTTGCTCTGTAATAGGATCCAAAGTGTGTGATTCCTGACTGCCCTGCAAGTGGCTTGGAGGCTTTGGGCATCTCTCTTGGAAAATAGAAACTTCATGGATGGCTAAAAGAGACATGATAACAGTGTACATGGCAGAAGATCCTCTGCTGATGGGTTCTAGAGAGTCACTGATTCCTTAGGAAGATCTAGTTACAGGCAAGAGCCTTGAATAATCATGAGTCTGGGCCAGTCAAAGGAGGCAAATGCCCCACCTGGGAAAGGTGGCTCTCTCTAATCCAGGTGGTGTTCTGGAAGAAAAGGGAAATAAAAGGCCTGTGTCCTGCTTCTCCACCCGGAGGACTCTGCTCAGCCCTTAGGTCTTCTGAAGGGCTCTCCTGGAAGCCTACTGCAGCTGCAGGCCTGCAGCACCAGTTGCGGATAAGGGAAGATGGAGGTTGACAGAGGGGCCTGCCTCCTCTTACTTTCCCTGCCCTGGCCTGAGTCCTGTGGTTCGTGACTGTGCTGTCTTTAGTGGGAGCTTGCCAAGCCCAGCAGTGTCCTGGTGTGGATGAGAAATTACACACTCATCCTATTCTTAGCTCAGGGGCCTCTGTGCATTGAACTGGTTGCATCAGCTTCATTTTTACTGCAAAACCACCCTTTACGATAGGTCGGAAGTATGATTCTGGCAGACAAAGTGAGGACAAGAGGACAAATGGGGCCAAAAGGAAGCAAGGTTGGGATAGTGGGTGGAGTGACTTCTAGGGATTGGGAGGAAAGTCCCTACCCTTCCCTCCATGGGTCTCCTGACCTGAGCAGGCTCTGGGAGGACAGGGCTGCTCGAGCCACCCTGAGAACCTCCCAGGCTGAGAGGATTCCAGGACGCCCACTCTGGAGATACTGAGACCAGCTCTGGGGAACACGGTGCCAGCTTGAGTGCACCCTGGGCCTGCAGCATGGAGAAGAATTTAGCATCCCAAGCCCCCACCCCTGAGATGCTTCAGGTGGGGCAAAGTGGCTGCAGCAGCCTAAACTTTAGGTTGTCAGAGTGATACGGAGCTGCACAAGGCCAGGCACTGAGTGAGTGCCCTGAAAGTGCTGGTGGGGGAAATATGTGAGTTCAAACTACCCTTGAAATTTCAGATACTTGTCATCTGTAAATTATGAAAACGTGCTCCTTACTTTCTTAGCAATAGTGTTGCTTTTACATATACGTGCATTCCTCTCCTGTGGCTACTGTAAAAGTTACCACGAACTCGGTGGCTTCAAACAGTGGGAATGTATAGTTCTGGTGGTCAGAAGTCTAAACTGAGTCTTATGGGAACAAAACCGAGGTGTCTGCAGGGCAGGGCTGGTTCTAACTGAGGCTCTAGGGAGAATCGCTTCCTTGCCTTTTCAGCTTCCAGAGCCGCCTGCGTCCCGTGGCTCCTGGCCCCTTCCTTGCATCACATCACCTTCCCCCCGACTGTGTCATCACACTGCCTTTCCCTACTGTCATCAAGTCCCCTGTGCCTTTCTCTTATAGGAAAATTTATGATTACATTTAGGGCCCGCCTGGATGGCCCAAGATAATCTCCCCAACTCAAAGTTCTTAATCACATCTGCAGAATCCCTTTTGCCTTCCAAGTCACCATATCACAGGTTCCAGGGACCAGATGGTGGAGGTCCTGGGGGGCCACTATTCAGTGGACCACACTGCCCTTTTCTCAGATTGAACTGGTGGCCTTGTCTGTCCCTCTTCCCCGACAGGTAAAGGGATTCAGGGTCTCTGCTCTTCACGACGTCATCCATAGAGAGTCTCTCTCATATACATCTAAGGTGATCTTCAAAATAACCCACGAACCAGGGATCATTTACAAACGGGAAATTGGGAAGAAAACTAACATTTACAGAGTTAAATAATTCAAATTTTAGTTAAACACTGCTATATACAGCCCCATTATTGCTTCATTTGACCCTCCTGCCATCTGGGAAGTATCTGTTTTTACTCCTATTTTGAAAGTAGAAAACCTGAAATAGTGAGGTCATGTAACTGATCTAACACTGCAGGTCTTGGAAATTAGAAAACCTGAAATTAGTGAGGTCATGTAATTGCTCTAAGACAGCAGAGCCAGAAGTAAAGGCACTGAAGTTTAAAGCAGACCTGTGATTTCCAACCCTTAGCTCTTCCCTGTCCCATTTTCCCCTGTCCATCACTCCCTCTGCACAGTCCTGCAATGGTCTGAGAATGGTGGCCAGTGCTGCAGGAGACCCATGGGTGTGCCTTTGGGGTGTGCATTGACAGTTTTCTTTGAATGCTTCTAGAACCACAAAATATCAGGGCAGAAAGGCATCTCAGAGAAAACCTACCCCAAATAACTTCTCAAACTTCAATGCACAGAACTATCTGGCTGCTTATAAAAAAACAAGAGTCTGTAAGCCCCATTCCCAGAAATTTTAATTTAATAGGTCTGCACTTGAGGCCCAGGCAGGTTTTTTTTGTTTGTTTGTTTGTTTTTTGTTTTTTTTTTTTTGAGATGGAATCTTGCTCCATTGCCCAGGCTGGAGTACAGTGGTGCGATCTCAGCTCACTGAAACCTCTGCCTCTAGGTTCAAGTGATTCTCCCACCTCAGCCCCCCGAGTAGCTGGGACTGTACAGGTGCATGCTACCATACCCGGCTAACTTTTTGTATTTTTAATACAGACGGGGTTTCACTGTGTTAGCCAGGATGGTCTCGATCTCCTGACCTCGTGATTCACCCTCCCAAAGTGCTGGGATTACAGGTATGAGTTATCCGCCTGGCGCATCTACATTTTTAACATGCCCCAAAGCTAGTTTTGAAACAATTTAACAGGAAAGAAAGGGTGAGAGGGGTGCATTTGTCCTTTCTCACACTGCTGTAAACATATTACCTGAGACTGGGTAATTTATAAACGAAAGGGGTTTAATTGACTCACCGTTCCACATGGCTGGGGAGGCCTCAGGAAACTTACAATTATGCAGAAGGCAAAGGGGAAGTAAGCACCTTCTTCACAAGGCAGCAAGAGAGAGAGAGCACAGGGGAAACTGCCATTTTTAAAATCAGATCTCATGAGAACTCACTCACTATCACAAGAACAGCATTGGAAGTGATCCAATCACCTCCCTCCCTCGACACGTGGGGATTACAATTTGAGATGAGATTTGGGTGAGGACACAGAGTCAAACCATATCAAGGGGTAATACATTTTCTCTAGAATGTAGCATTAGCCTTTCTTTTTGAGGAACATGTTTGTGTGTTATGGAAGTTAATCACGGTGGGCCACATCATTGGAAAACAGCAAATACTGCTTTCTGGTTTTTGGCCGATTAGGTCAGGTGAAGAAGTTTGGCAATCTGGCTCTGATTTGTGTGAGAGATACCAGTGAAAGGTGGATTTCATATTGTGAGATGAAACATCTGGAGAGGACTAGAGTCTAACTTGTGCATCAGCTGGAAAGAAAGACTGAGGGGTCATGGGAACTTGCACATTACGATCCATGTAACTGCACTTGCCAGAATGTAGGATCAATCTGCTGCTGAAGAATATCCTAAATCAGAGAGTAGATAGGAACCAGAGGCCGTAAACTCACCAGAGATGTTAGTGCGGCCTTGAGGTTAACTGCTGCTTGGAACACAGAGACGTGATGCACTGAAACTAAATCTGGGCTGAGGGAAAGCATGTCCACACCAGGTGCCCAGACATCTGGTTGGCTTTGGCTGATTTGTCCTGCAGGCACCTGCCTTGTCTGGATTTGCACACTTTCCAAGTTGCCCATTACCCTGTGCATTTCCCAAGCTGCCTTCCCTGGCTCTGATGTACGATGAACCTGCTTGAGTGGCATATTTATCATAGTGCAATCAAGAGGCATGAGCCATGATTGATGACATATCATAAATGGGAATATGCATATCATCACACTGGGATCTGACTTAGCAGTTCATTTGGCCTTACTATAAGCTGATTTCTTGAAAGAGCTCAGATTCCTGGCTCAGAATGCCTTTGATAGAAGAGTGTGTTCTCAATGGAAGGGAAGCAATAGTTATAATTTTTTCTCAGTGGACCAGTTCTCAAGTGAAGGCAGAATTTTAACCAGTGTTCAGCGTCTTCCATTAAAATCCCCAGCTCTCCATTTTTCAGTGTGAAAAAATCCAGGCCAGGGTTTCTGCAGACAGTAATTTTTGATGGCAGGGTCAGCAAATTGGACTAAGTGTATGTACTGTGATCTCCATAAAAGGGAATTACTGAATTTTCTGTCCACTTAGCAGCGTCTTTTGTTAATGATGGGCAAGAAGCTTGTATTATTTATGGAGCACTTTGACATCTCAGCAGTTTATGGAGTATATATGAAGAATGGGAGCACTTTATCTTCTAATAAAATGTTGCATAACAACTTTAGTACTGAACTTTTTTAAAGAAGGAATCATGGATTATCCTGCAGCCAAGTATTAACAGAAAGGACATACTGTGATCTCACATTCAAACTACTTCAAAGAAAAGGAGATTTATTTTGCCCATTACAATTTTCTCCCAGAGCAAATAACCATTTTTATTAAAATGCTGTAAGTTCATCCAGGTAGGATTTGGGTGAAGATAATTTGGGACAAGCCACTGTGTACTGGTAATGAAAACAGAAATGAATTCAAGCTTCTAATGGAAAAGTGACAAGCAAATAAATTAATCTCCAGGTTATTCAATTTTAGAAAGTGATATAAGATGTAAGATATAACTAAAAACTGAAAAGGAAAGTTAAAACAGTCTCCAGGTTTCCATATGGATGATTTGTAATTAAAATGATACTGGAGGGGAGTCCAGGACACATCTGAATATCGAGCTTTGCCCACAACCTTTCTGATTGCTGTTTCTTAGGTGTTTACTGCAGTGCTTCTTCTCCATTTCTGCATAAGTGTGGACAAAATTCACATGTGCCTATTACTAGTATAAAGGGCACACACGGCCAGGCGTGGTGGCTCACGCCTGTAATCCCAGCACTTTTGGAGGCTGAGGAGGGGGGATCAGGAGATCGAGACCATCCTGGCTAACACGGTGAAACTCTGTCTCTACTAAAAAAAAAAAAAAAAAAAAAAAAAAAATTAGCCCGGCATGGTGGCAGGCACCTGTAGTCCTAGCTACTCAAGAGGCTGAGGCAGGAGAATGGCGTGAACCCGGGAGGCAGAGCTTGCAGTGAGCCAAGATCCCGCCATCGCACTCCAGCCTGGGCGACACAGTGAGACTCTGTCTCAAAAAATATAAATAAATAAAATAAAATAATAAAGGGCACACACTGTGCTTGCTGCCTGAGACTGGCCAAGGGGTCTCTTAGTTTTGTCTGTTACTTAAATTATCAACTCCACCTAACTACAGGAAACACAGAAATGGTGTGTTGCAGTCCGGACACTGTGAGCAGCATGAAATTCTATCTCGGTGTCTAGGAAATGGGGTAGGGAAGGGCCAGTCCAGGGCACAGGTAAGAATAGACTTTTGCCTCTGAGCTCTCCCACCTTTCTCTTTCTCCTTATGAGTTGCTCTTTACCCTAGGATTTCCAGACACTCATGCTATTCTTTAGTCCTAAAAATTCCTCCTCAAAGTCTTGCTTTTCTCAAAATGCCTTATGCCCCATAGTTACCATGTGAGCTTCCTCCCACGTCCTTGGTCCCGCTTCCCTCCTGTGGGCAGCTTAGTCAGTGTGCCCTTCCCTCCACACGCCCAGAGGGCTGGCTCCTGCAGGCAGCACCTTTGCAATGGCCTCCAAAACAGACTTGAGACAAGCGCATAAAAGGGAGGAGGAAGCAGCGCTCCTGTAGGTCTCCTGGCTCTTGCTCCAGCAGGATGGCACAGGAAGACACATGAGGTCTTTTTTCTTAACTCAGATGTTCAGATCAGAACTCTTGTCTGGAGCCAATGAGCTGAGCCCCTGGGGAGCCAGGACTGATCCTGGTTTTAAGGCAGTTAATGTTCCCTATTCTTGCCTCCAGGTGTTTTTGAAATCCTCCCTACCCAGATAGGCACAAAAATAGATTATGTGTCTGGCTGCAAAGAAAAGCTATGCACATTCCTAAAAGCAAAAATGATACAAGCCATATTTCCTTCCATAAAACAAATAAACTAAAAATAAAGAATGAAAGGATAGCAAAAAAGAAAATAATTTATCAATAGATGCAGTTTTCAACAGATTACATAGAAATAGCAACAGAGAGAATCAGTGAGGTAGACATTAGCACTGAGAAATCACTCAGATTACAGCAGATATATAAAAAATGGTGACTGGGAATGATCATTTAGGAGGAATTAATGATAGAATGCACAATCTGTAAGAGTTCTAGGAGAGAAAGAATGGAGAGGAGGTATTTGGAGCTAACAGCTGAAAATTTTCCATAATTGAAAAATGTAATCAAATCAAAGAAAAAACAACCTAAAGAAAGTAGAAGCAATATAATAAGATTTAAACAAAATGATTTAGCAGCTAAAATTCACAGATTTCATCACTAAAATAAAAAGACAGTTCTTTGCAATGAAAAGAGCATTTAAAAATATTTTGTAATATAATATAAATACAAATATAATTTTAAAAGCAAGCTGGTATAAATATATAAATATATTTAAAATATAAGATATTAAATTAATATATTTCAATGTCTAGATTAAATGGACAGTTTTTGAGAACACTATAAATTATCATTTTTAACTTAATAAGAAACAAAATTCAAACAGTCAAAAGCATCTAAACCAAATTTAAAAGATAATAAAAAGAAAAAAATCTATCCATAATAATGAAACCAAGTTCAGGGATTTTCTTGAGTTAATAAATTTTATGAAACTTTAGCTCATAGATTAGATTATCCCTGTGTGATACAGACTTTGCTGTAGCATCAAACAATATGGGAAGGCTGCTACCTTATTCTGTGAGGCTAGTATAAAACTAACACCACAACTAGACAAAGCTGACACAAAACTAAATGAGATCAGCCAATCTCACTAACACAGAGAGCTGCAGAAATTAAACCCCAAAAAATCTTAGCGAATTTCACAGAATAATGATTTTTAAAAATGTGTGTGTCTTGTAAAATCAAGACTTAGATATGCAAACATGATTCAATAGTTTCAAAATCTATTAATTCAATTCTGTATGTCTTCAGATTAAAAGAGGAAAACAAGATCATCTCAATCAATATCAAGAAAGCATTTGCTAAAACCAACATCCTGATTACATTTCTGATAAAAATGTAAACAAAGCAAAACAGTGAAGTTAGAAATAAAAGAAAACTTTCTTAATTTTGTATAAGAGAGATCTAGAAAACTGGAGCAAACATAATAGCTAATGGCAAAATATCATAAATATTCATGTTAAAATTTTACACAAGAAAAGGACACCTACTAGCACCACTTTTATGCAAACAGTGAATAAGAAATCTTAGCAGTAAATACAGAAACATTGTACAGACAGCATGAAGAAAAGACAAAACTGCCATTTTAAAAAGTTTTATCTGATAATCTACCCCAAAATTTCACAGAATTAACTGATAAACTATATTAACTAGTAAGGTGGTCTGATATAAAATAAACATTTAAAAATACTTACTAACAATAACCAATTAGAAAACATGATAGAAAGAAACAAATGCCATTACCAATTGTTTAAATGCACACAAAACCCCAAAGAAGAACTTTTATTATCTAAATGGAACCTCTTCTAGCATTACAGAGACCCCAATATCTAACAACTCCCTTAGCAACGTGACGTTCCAGGTGGTTCCAGGCAGGTGTGGAGGCTCTGGGTGCACAGGTGAGCAGCGACTCTGCCATCTTTTATACCCTGCTTCCAAGGCTATCATGGAGTTGCAATCCTGGTTAGCCAGAGAGGAGGAAAGCATGGAAGAGTGTGTATGTAAGGTTGTTATGGGGTGGCCTGGAAGTGGCATTCATGTATTTCAGGGCTCATCTGTGGCATCACACCTTAAGGTCACTGGTTTGATACTGATTAGGGTAGAATCAGCTGTAGTAACAGACTCAAACGTGTAACAACTCCATCCAAGAGCAGTTCATGTTTCACTCATCCAAAAGCCCAGGGCAGCAGTCCAGAGGGGGAGGTTGGGACTCTGCTCCACTGCATCATTCAGGGACACAGGGGTTCTGTCACCTTCCACAGGTTTCTCCCAAGATCACCCTGGGAGTTGTCATCCAAGGCAGGAAGGAAAGAGAGCTTAGAGAAAGTGTGGGATGGTTTTAAGGTCCTGGCTTGGAAGTAACATCCATCACTTCTGCTCAAATTCCACTAACTACAACCTCAGTCATATGACCCCAACTAATTGCAAGGGAAGCTGGGAAGGGAATCTAACTGCTTGCACAAAGAAAAGGGTTGATTAAATTTTGAAGAGTTGCCAGCAAATTCTACCATAAACCTGACAAAGAGTATACAAGTCTGATGTGAATAAAATTGTAAACTTTGTTGAAGAATGTTAAAAAAAAAAAATAAGAGGAGACATACCCTATACCTACACTGAAAGATACAGTCATGGAAAATGCAAATTATCTCCAGGTTAATCTATACATCTCATGAAAAACTGGATCCCTTCCTTACCCCTTATACAAAAATTAATTCAAGATGGATTAAAGACTTAAATGTCAGACCTAAAACCATAAAAACCCTAGAAGAAAACCTAGGCAATACCATTCAGGACATAGGCATGGGCAAGGACTTCATGTCTAAAACACCAAAAGCAATGGCAACAAAAGCCAAAATTGACAAATGGGATCTAATTAAACTAAAGAGCTTCTGCACAGCAAAAGAAAGTACCGTCAGAGCGAATACGCAACCTACAGAATGGGAGAAAATTTTTGCAATCTCCTCATCTGACAAAGGGCTAATATCCAGAATCTACAATGAACTCCAACAAATTTACAAAAAAAACCAAACAAACCACCCCATCAAAAAGTGGGCAAAGGATATGAACAGACACTTCTCAAAAGAAGACATTTATGCAGCCAAAAGACACATGAAAAAATGCTCACCATCACTGGCCATCAGAGAAATGCAAATCAAAACCACAATGAGGTACCATCTCACACCAGTTAGAATGGCGATCATTAAAAAGTCAGGAAACAACAGGTGCTGGAGAGGCTGTGGAGAAATAGGAACACTTTTACACTGTTGGTGGGACTGTAAACCAGTTCAACCATTGTGGAAGTCAGTGTGGCGATTCCTCAGAGATCTAGAACTAGAAATACCATTTGACCCAGCCATCCCATTACTGGGTATATACCCAAAGGATTATAAATCATGCTGCTATAAAGACACATGCACACATATGTTTATTGCAGCACTATTCACAATAGCAAAGACTTGGAACCAATCCAAATGTCCAACAATGATAGACTGGATTAAGAAAATGTGGCACATATACACCAGGGAATACTACGCAGCCATAAAAAATGATGATTTCATGTCCTTTGTAGGGACATGGATGAAGCTGGAAACTATCATTCTCAGCAAACTATTACAAGGACAAAAAACCAAACACCACATGTTCTCACTCACAGGTGGGAATTGAACAATGAGAACACATGGACACAGGAAGGGGAACATCACACACCGGGGCCTGTTGTGGGGTAGGGGTAGGGGGGAGGGATAGCATTTGGAGGTATACCTAATGTTAAATGACGAGTTACTGGGTGCAGCACACCAACATGGCACATGTATACATGTGTAACTAACCTGCACATTGTGCACATGTACCCTAAAACGTAAAGTATAATAAAAAATAAAAATAATAATAAACCCCCCCAAAAAAAGAAAATTTTCAATTTAACTGAAAGTTTTATGAACTTGATAAAAGGTTTTTAAAATTCATATGGCAGATGTTTTAGTCAGTTTTGTGCTGCTATAACTGAATATCTGAGACTAGGTAATTAATACAGGACAGAAATTTATCTCTGACCGTTCTACAGCCTAAGTCCAACTGAGGTGCTGGCTGGCTTAACTATCGGGTAACGGCTATTCTCTGCTTCCAAGGTGGTGCCTTGGATGCTGCATCTTCCAGAAGGGACAAATGCTGTGTCCTCATATAGCAGAAGAAAAGTGTATTATTAGTCCGTTTTCATGCTGCTGACAAAGGCATATCCGAGACTGGGCAATTTACAAAAGAAAGGGGGTTATTCGACTTACAGTTTCACATGGCTGGGGAGGCCTCACAATTACAGCAGAAAGTGAAATGCATGTCTCACATGGCAGCAGACAAGAGAAGAGAGCTTTTGCAGGGAGACTCCCATTTTTAAAACCATCAGATCTCGTGAGACTTATTCACTATCACGAGAACAGCACGGAAAAGATCTGCCTCCATGAGTCAATTACCTCCACCGGTTCCCTTTCACAATATATGGGAATTCGAGATGAGATTCAGGTGGGGACACAGCCAAACCATATCAGGAAGGAAGGGTGAAATGGGGCCAGACTTTCTCCTTCAAGCCCTTTTATAATGATATCAATTTGAAGAAACCTAAACATCTCTCAAAATGCCCCATGTCCCAACACTGTTGTATTGGGCATTACGTTTACAACATATGAATTTTGGGGGACATATTCAGACCACAGCAGTGGAGAATGTCTAATTCATTTTTACAAAGAGAACGATAAGATGGCAAATTTACTTGTATTTCATTCCATTTTGTGTTCCCATAAAGGAATACCTAGGGCTGGGTAATTTATAAAGAAAAGCAGTTTCTTTGGCTCATGGTTCTGTAGGCTGTACAAGAAGCATGGTGTCAGCATTTGCTTCTGGTGAGGGCTTCAGGCTGCTTCCACCACCAGTGGAAGGTGAAGGGGAGCAGGTTTATGTTGTGGTGAGAGAGAGAGCGAGAGAGGGTGAGAGAGAGAGCGAGAGAGAGGGTGAGAGAGGGTGAGAGAGAGGGCGAGAGAGCGAGAGAGAGAGCGAGAGAGAGGGTGAGAGAGAGAGCAGAGCGAGAGAGAGGGCGAGAGAGAGGGCGAGAGAGAGAGCGAGAGGGAGGGTGAGAGAGAGAGTGAGAGAGGGTGAGAGAGAGGGTGAGAGAGAGAGTGAGAGAGGGTGAGAGAGAGGGTGAGAGAGGGTGAGAGAGAGAGCGAGAGAGAGGGTGAGAGAGAGGGCGAGAGAGAGGGTGAGAGAGGGAAGGGGAGCTCAGGCTCTTTTAATCAACCAACTCTCTCATGAACTATTAGAAAAAGATCTCACTCACTGCCAAGCAGATATCACCAAGCCATTTACAAGGGATCTGCCCTCGTGACCCAAGCACCTTCCACTAGCCTCCACCTCCAACGCTGGAGATCAAATTCAGCGTGAGATCTGGAGGGGACAAATATCCAACTATACCAGCTTTTTCTTATCACTATTGATCTGTTGTATTTAAAACATTGTAGTATTGTACCAAAGTAGAAAAATAAAACAGATAAACAGGCTCGAGGTTTTAGAAATATATCCTTAATATTACTCATCCTTAAAAAAGGAAGGAAATCCTGTCACGTGCTACAACATGGATGAATCTTGAAGCCACTAGGCTAAGTGAAAGAGCTGGTCATAAAAAGAATGCTGCATGATTTTACTTATATGAGATACATAGAGTAGTCAAATTCATGGAGACAGAAAGTACACTGGCAGTTTCCAGGCTTTCCAGGATTTTCACCCTTTTGAGGGTGAAATGATGAGTTATTTTTTAATGGGTACATGTTCAGTTTTGCAAATTAAAGAATTTCTAGAGATAGATGGTGGTCACAATTGCACAACAATGTGAATGTACTTAATACTACTAAACGGTACATTAAAAACAATTAAGATGTAAATTTTATGTGTTTTTGCTATAAAATTTTTAAAACTCTTTAAAAATTAATATACTCTTCTGTTAATGAGATAGTAGCTTATGACAAAGATAATGGTGTTTAAAGTCAATAGTAAATGAATAGCTCATTCAATAAATAATTTGGAGATAATTAGATATCTATAGGAAAAATTTTTTCTTACATTATAAAAAATGTTCAGATATAAAATGGTACTGTAAACTTATTAGGAGAAAACATTATAGAGTGTTTTCATAATAGTGCAATGGTATAAATGCCAGATAAAAGTTAAGATTGTAAATTTAGTAAAAGAAAATATACGGAGTGGTTTCATTATATTGAAGTGAAGTACAAGTATTTCTAGGCAATGTGCAAAAATCAAAAGTCCTACATAAATCTAATGAAACGTTTGTCTTCATAAAAACCTAAAATCTTCTTTAGTGAAAAAGCAAAACACTGTAAAGTCAATGGGCAAGTGGTAGATTGGTAGATAATATTTGTAACATATTTAATCAATACGGATGAATATCAAGAATATATAAAGAGATCCTAAAATTGATAAGAAAGAAAAACATTTTAATAGAAAAATTTAGACCATGAACATACTCTCTCGGAAGAGTCAAACATAGTAAGCATATGAAAATGTGTTAAACTTACTCAAAAATCAAGAAATAGTATGTTACAACCATGAGACTTTTTCCTCATCTATTAGGCTGGGATTAATTTAGAAGAGGCAGGGTAATCAATGTTCTCATTCATCATTGGTGGGAGTGCAAATGTGTAGCCTTTCAGAAAAAGTGGCAGTAATTCTCAAAATTTAAATATGTACATATTTTGATTCATAAACTTTACAGCAGGAATCTATCTTAAATATGATGCCCAAGTGTGAAAAGGCATATATACATAAAAATGTTCATTTCAGCATTGTTGATTTAAGGAGAGATTGGGAAGTTAGATATTCATCGACAGGGGAATGAATAAATAAGTTTTGCTATAACCATACTGCAGAATACTCTGCAGCCATTAAAAAGAATAAGTTTGGCTTATAGGTACTAACCTTGGAGGATCCCTAAGACATGCAGTTTAACAAAACAATGCATATAGAACGATCAATTGTGTAATTGTATAGTAACGTAATGGAAAAGATTCATGCTGTATTGGTTGGGTATGGCCACAATTCTGTTGTGTAACAAACTCACTGGTCTTGAGGAAAATAACTTACTCGTATGAATCTCTGGGTCATGGAGCAGCTCTACCCTGACACTGAAGCAGTGCTCTGGTCTGCTGCACCTGATTCTCAACCTCCTGAGTCAGCAGGCTGGCCAGGATATGTACTTCTCACAGCGGTGGCAGAGGCGCAAGGGCCTGGACAGAAACATTTCAGACCTCTTAAAGTCTTGAAAGGAAGAAAGAAATATTTTTCCATTGCATTTAAGCAGTAGTGCATTTTAGCTAATTTCTACAATTACCATTGATGTAGTAGATGGAGAAATCTATTAAGTCCTTAAATTCTAATAACCTTGATGCCACAAGCCACATTAACAATATTAAGATTACTCCTTTGAAATGAACAAGTTAACCAGCTTTGCCCTTGTAGAGCTCACAAAGACCACAGATTTTATCCAGCCAATACCACTCAGTCAAAGCATTGGAGTTTTAAACGTAGACAGGTTCCCAACACAGCCACAGTCCAGCAGGTGAGGGGTTTGCTGGCTCTCTGGGACACTTCCAGGACAGATGTGTACTGTCCTACAAAACAGCTCATGCAATTCAAAGAAATCGAGATGGAGCTGATGTCAAAAGCACACTAAGTACTTAATAATGAGTTCGTATGGTTGTATAGTTAATAATTACTGTTAGGAAATCTACAATGGCTAAAATACACCCTTACATTTATCCAGTAAGTAGTGTTTAGATACCTATCTTTTTGAAGTCTAAAAATAAGCATGAACGCTAATATCATTTGGGCTCCTTCTTCAAAGCTGTTTCCCCTTGACTCTTTTATGAGTAAAAAAATATGCATAAAGTACAGAAAATGTGAGCCGTTTATGAACATCTGATGTGAGATGTTAGGGTTGACTTGGTATGTCCTTTGTCTTGAATGCAATGCTGAGTGGGAAACGGGATTCCTATAATCCAAGGCGTGCAGTGGTATTATGATTCAATTATCACCTCAGTTGCAGGGGAAGAAAGGCCTATTGCAGCAAGTACCTTGGGTGCTGTATCTGACCTTCACGGTGGTGGTGACAGCAAGGCTTGCGTCATGTTCAGAGAATCAGACAGCTTCTCCAGTGACACTAAAACCAAAACAAAACATCTTTGTTTTACTTACAAGCAGCAAGGCAGATAGAGCTGTATAAAATAGATGCAGAATTTAATGGAGTAGGTACAAAATTACAGTGTAAGTTCAATCCTCAGACTCGCCAATACATTTGTGTAAAAGTTAGGCTTTGATTGTAGCAGGGGGCTCTCCAAGACTTGGAATTGGGTTATCTGTGTGGATTCAAGAAAAGCTGGGAAATTTACACCCCAAGTCTCTCTAAGCCATCCTTGCTGAAGGAAGCAGCCTCCTCTCCCTGCCTGTAGAATCTTCCCTTATTTGAAGACCTTTTAATAACTTCACATGCTTGAGCTCCCTGGTAAGGTGATATCTAAAACTCTCAGGGCTCACTCCCATCACCCATTAGTGCATGAGACCCATAATTAGGGTCACAAATGTCAAGTATGTTCCACAGGGAGAAAAGCAAAGTCCAATCCAGAAGGACATGGTTTATAGGAGAGAGAGAAAAAAAAGAGAGAGGGAAGAAAAATGATAAAAAGGGCAATACTCACCAATTCAAAGTACCAGAAACATGGGTAAATGTAGTGCATGAATCCTAAGAACATTACACCACAGAGCACAGAATTCAACACTGAATAAGGCTGACCCCATC
Source organism: Homo sapiens (assembly GCF_000001405.40). NCBI lineage: Eukaryota > Metazoa > Chordata > Mammalia > Primates > Hominidae > Homo > Homo sapiens. Next base: position 2,607,519 of record NT_187660.1, on the reverse strand, counting down.
CATGTGAGAGCACTTACAGAGATTCTAGCTGAATGTGCTGATTTGGGCACCATGGAGCAGCTCTCACAGTTTGCATGGATGGTGGAGTGAATTTGAACTTAATGATGGCTCACATCTGAAGAGGCCAGACTCTCCTGCTCTCTGTGATGGACTTGTTCAGGGAAATCTCTGCATCCCAGAGAACATCTTCTTCCACCATACCCAGGACACCATCTTGGTTGAATCTGGTGAGCAAGCACAGCAAGAACCCTAAATGTCTTAATGAGACACATGTGTGGCAAAGAGTGAACAATAAACCCCATGAAATCTCGAGGCCCATGCCTTGGGGAGGTTTCTCATGGCCCTGTGGTCTGAAGCATGTTTGGGCATTTCTTCCAAAGTGAAACAGAAGTTGTTATTTCATCTATTACCTACCCCTAAAAAATGGGCACGGTGTTGAGAAAATGTCTTTGGAGGCAACAAATACCACATTTGAGAGTGCTGTCCCAACCCATTTATTGAGTAACCAACAAAGCTCCAAGGTAAGTGACTGGGGCCATATGGACACACATAAAAGCATAATTGAAGGCCAGGTGTGGTGGCTTACAACTGTAATCCCAGCACTTTGGGAGGCCGAGGCAGGCGGATCACAAGGTCAGGAGTTCGAGACCAGCCTGGCCAATATAGTGAAACCCCATCTCTAGTAAAAATACACAAATTAATCAGGCCTGATGGCGGGCACCTGTAGTCCCAGCTACTCGGGAGGCTGAGGCAGGAGAATTGCTTGAACACAAGAGGCAGAGGTTGCAGTGAGCTGAGATCTCACCACTGCATTCCAGCTTGGGTGACAGAGCGAGACTCCGTCTCAAAATAAATAAATAAATAAATAAATAAATAAATAAATAAAAGCATAATTGAATATCTGTTTTCAGGAGCTTCTGGCAAGCCCAAATGAGAATCGCAATGCAAATATATAGGGCTTTGGAGAAAAGCCATGTTCTACTCTGCATATAATTATTATTTTAAGAATCAACTCTTATCTTGCTATGCTACTGAGCTTTGTCAAGACAAAATGAGAACTTCATGACCACTGTTCATCATGAATTGGCTATGCACCGACACACTAGGCCATAAGGTGGGAGGAGAATAAGATTCGGCAAGTCCAGAAACAGGTTTCATGAGCAGGTGACTGCTAAGGACTCCGATTCCATCTTTTCCTTCTTCTCCATCTTTTCTTCCCATAATTTACACTTAGGACCTCATTGGGAGTTGCCTACGGCAGCTGGTTTGCAGATGGTTCTGTTATGCTGGCACCAGCCATAAGTGGATCGCTGCCAATGCTACTGTCTCACTCAAGGATAGTGCTGAAGAACAAAGGGAAAAGGATAGCTTCCCAGTGGACAAAACTTGTAGCAGTAAAATTTAGTTTTTCATTTTATCTGCGTAACAGATGGCCAGAAGTACAGATCTACACAAATTCATGTGTGGTTCTCTGAGTAGATGGTCAGAGACTGGGAAAGAATGGCATTGGATAACTAGTGACAGACTGAAGAAGAGATGTGTAAATGGACTTCTCAGAAGGGACACAGGGTGGGGCATACCTGTGTCCCACGTGAATGTTCCCTGAAGGTCATCTGCTACACAGGAGACTTTCAGGAATCAGGGGGATGTGATGACACATTCAGTGGGTGTGCTGGAAGGCTCCGGGGTGTTTGCTCAATGGGTCTGGGTATAAAGTGGCTAAGGAAGTGGTGATAGAAGCCACTCAAGGGTTCAGCAGCATTAACTTCCCGGGGGAACCACTCAGCCACATGATAGGGCAAGCAGATTGTAACACTGACCTCCACCAATTTCTGCCTTGTCCTGATATAATGGCACAATGGCCTGAGAATACAGTTACAGCGCCCATAAAGTGACAGCATTCTGGAAGTAGTATATGCTTTGAAGCAGCAATCAATCAACAGAATACAGGAGTCTGGAAATCAAAGAGGCATAATTGGAAATGGCTCTTCTCATATTTCTTCTGCAGGATTTTTGCTTCTCCCTCCAGAATCTTGTGCTTTGCTGGTTTGGAGATTCTAGTTCCTAAGACAGAAGTGCTTCTGCTGGAGAAAATAAGGCTGTATCTGTTGAATGGGATACTGAGGCTTTATTCTGTCATTTGAGGCTTCTTATTCCACTATAAAGAATAGAGTAACTGTCCTGGCTGATCCCTAAGCAGAAATTGGGTTTCTGCTCACAAGGGAGGTAGGAAGAACCATGTCCCCCTAAAAACCCAGGGGATGCTCTTGAGTGCTTCTTGGCTCTGCCACACATAATAGAAAATGTTAGTGGACAATTTTGTGGGCTAGATTGTGTCCCCCGAAAAAGCTATGCTAAAGTCCTAACCCCCAATACCTGTGAACGTGATGTTATTTGGGAGTACAGTCTTTGCAAATGATATCAAGGGTAGATGAGCTGGATAAGGGTGGGCTCTAGTCCATGTGACTATCGTCCTTATAAGAAACAGAGAAGGCCGGGCGCGGTGGCTCACGCCTGTAATCCCAGCACTTTGGGATACCGAGGCGGGCGGATCACGAGGTCAGGAGATCGAGACCATCCTGGCTAACACGGTGAAACCCCGTCTCTATTAAAAATACAAAAAATTAGCCAGGCATGGTGGCGGGCACCTGTAGTCCCAGCTACTCGGGAGGCTGAGGCAGAAGAATGGTGTGGACCCAGGAGGCAGAGCTTGAAGTGAGCCAAGATCGCACCACTGCACTCCACCCTGGGAGACAGTGAGACTCCGTCTTAAAAAAAAAAAAAAGGAAACAGAGAAGAGACACAGACACACACAGAAAGAGTGCCATGTGACAATGGAGGCAGATACTGGAATGATGAAGCAACAAGCCAAAAAATTACCAGGACGTGCCAGCAGCATCAGAGCTAGGAGAGGGGCCTAGGGAGGCTTTTCTTTCAGAACCTCCAGAAGGAATGCATTCTGCTGACATCTTGATTTTGGACTTCCAGCCTCTAGAACTGTGACAAAATCAATTTGTTTTTTGAGCCACCACTCAGTTTGTGGTAATTTATTTTGTCAGCCTTTGGAAATAGAAATGGACAATAATAGCAACCTCACAAAGGCAGGACTGCTAAGGACTCACACCCTTTGGGAATTAAGGTTTGGGTCACCCGACAAGAAAAAGGATCCCCAACTAGTTGAGTTAAATATTAGCTACGATACTGTGGCCAGAAATGAAGACTGTAGCAGCTGTCCATATTTTCTTCTTATAAATATGTGTGTGCACACATGTGTGCATATATGTGCAAGTGTGGGCATGCATGTTGTAAACTAAAAATAAAATCCAAGCTGGGCACAGTGGCTCGCACCTGTAATCCCAACACTTTGGGAGGCCGAGGCAGGTGGATCACCTGAGGTCAGGAGTTTGAGACCAGCCTAACCAACATGGGGAAATCTCATTTCTACTAAAAATACTAAAAAGTACTAAAAAAAAAAAAAAAAAAAAAGCTAGGTGTTGTGGCTCACACCTGTAGTCCCAGCAACTTGGGAGGCTGAGGCATGAGGATTGCTTGAACTGGGGAGGCGAAGGTTGCAGTGAGCCGAGATCATGCCACTGCACTCCAGCCTAGGTGACAGAGCGAAACTCTGTCTAAATAAACAAATATAAAATCCAGACTCTCCCACCTATTGAACAGACCCCATTGTGGCCAAGGAGAGCCCAGAGAAACCTGAAAACTGAGTTCCTGGCCATGACAGGATGGGACATCAGACATGCCTTGTTATGCCCCTTCCCTTTTACGGTTTAGTCACAACAGCCAGCATTAATGTTAAAATAGAGACTGTAAGAATGACAGAACAGACTCTTTGTGGCCATAAGATACCAAATTATAAACAGGACCTACCATGCCAAGCAAGAGGTAAGTCACACACCCCTACACTGAAAGGATAAACTATGTTCTCACAGCTTTTTCTTTTTCTCTAGCAGCTAAACAAGCCCCAGCCTCAACGTAAGCAATATTAAAACAATCACAATCCATCCAGCTCACAGACAGACACTCACTCACTAAACTCCTGTTCCACCAGCCATAGTTACAGCTTCGATCAGACAAGAGACTGATTTCAGTAACTTTCTCCTGATAAGAGCCCACCAATCATGGACTGGTTCTGGCTGGTTTACAGAGGTTGCACACTTAAGTGCCTTTGTCTCCTGATAAAACCTGTTGACATATAGGGCTAAACTGTAACAAATTTAAATGGTAACTCTCCACCCCAAGGTGAATATGGGTTGTATGTTACATGCATGTTTGTTCACTAGGCATGTGTCAGGACCACCTTCATGAATATTCACAGCTCCTCCTGTAACTTGTTGAATATGTGTGTTTAGTCAACCTATTCAGAATGAAGCTTCTACAACTCAACCCCTTCTCCTTCAAAGTGCCTGTCTCCGGGCTTCAGCCAGAGGCATGCTTCCCAGCCTGCAGGTTGGCCACCTTGCAGGATGTAACCCTTTATAAGAAAAAAGTCTCCTTTCCGTTTCTAAATTTAAAAATTGTGGATTTTTTTTTTCAGTTAACAATATCCATTTAAACTTTTCAAATAGATGGTTTGCAAATGTTTGGCATGGGAAAATGCAGGCATATTTCATGAGTAGTTGTCAGAAATTAGGATCAATTTTACGAGGTGACTATCCAACAGGGACCAAGGAAGGAATCTCTGCCATTTTCATAGAGCCACTGATTGGCCCACTCATTGAAAATGCTGAGCAAGACCTCACCCTCACTCGCCCGGTCCTGAACCAGCCTGGCAGAGTTCTTGTCCCACTCAGAGATAGCGTTCTACATCCTATCTGAGTGACAGGATCAGCCCTGCCCTTATCAGCCCTCCGTAGATTCCATAATGAGGCTCCTACGAGTCTCTCTCATCTTCTCATTATCTCAACTACGATCCCTCTCCCTTTTATAGCACAAACTCCTCCAGTCCTGTGACATCTGTGATCATCAGGAACTTTTATTTTACCCATGGCTTTTTCCTCCTACACTGCTTCCCTCCACTTATCCAGAAACCCATCAATCTCTAAATGCTCTGCTCATGTATAATATCTTCCCTAAACTTCTGCACATCTCTAACCCATTAATATCACATAGTTTATGCTTAGTTCCTCCTCATTCATTTTATGAGATTTTGTTTAGCCCTAAAGATTTTTTCCATCTGGCTTGAAATTCTTACTTCTTTTTTTTAAATTTTTTGCCAAATTCAATCTTTAAAATAGGGGAACGATCCTCTTTCCTTCAAGAGATTTTGATGTCAGAAAGCACTGACTCACGCAAAGGTCCACATTTTCAGATTCACTGGCAAGCTGGTTGGTGAGGACAAGCTTTTGACTGAATCAAAGCTCAGTGGTTTTAAAGTGGAGTTGGGCAGAGCCTAGGCTTTTTGTGAGGGTGCTTAGGTGTCACTATGAAGGCCAGACGAGGGAGAGGGTGAGTGTGAGTTGAGTGAGTGAGACCGGAGTTTCAGCCAAAACAGCTATACTTTTGTCTATGTATATGCATATGTCTATATGTGTATATGTATGTATGTGTATGTGTACATGTATATGATATGCGTGGATACATGCTCATGTATATGCACTTGTGCATGTATTTGCATATGTATTTGTATATGCATTTGTATGTGTATGTGTATATGCATGTATATTTATATTAAATAGTGGGTAACTTTTCATTTCCCAGCAGGTTCAGATGCTTTAGAAACATAGTTTGAGATTCACTGCTTTAGGACCACATACTCATGATGAAAGACAAAAACGAAAAATAAACAGAGTCAGGGAGATTAAATCTATAACCAAAGACAACATGAGTATTTAATGTCAGCTACTCAAGCTCCAGTTTCCCCCTTCTGGTGAAAGGCTTGTTCCCTGGGGTCTTCTCTCTCAAAGGTCAGCGGCAGGAACTCCTTGGGGACTGGATGAGTAACTGGCATCTTTCAGTCCTGGGGTTGGGCTGTGCCTGTGGCTCTGAAACTCAGAAACTCCTCAGCCTGTGACCTCATGGGCTGGATCTGGCCCTGGCTCTGCCACTCAGACTCCGTGACATCTCCTCAATCCCTTCCCGCTGCAGCAGAGTGGCTACTGTGCTGCTCTCCAGCCAGCCTGGGGACTACTGTCTCTTAGGGCTTCACTGTAGGATGCACCTTTTATTCTCTGGATAGTTTTTATGACTTTGTTTGTTATTTACAGGCCAAGTTCAGTGGCCCCTGTAAACACAGTCACAATCTGCAACCGTGCTCTTAATTATGATCTTATTAAGAAATAGATTCCCACACAACTGGCACAAGGATGCCAGAAGCCAATATTTCTAATTCATAAATGTTTAGACTTATTTTCTCTCACCAAAATGTGCCTCTGAAAGCCTCAAGAGAAGAGGAAATAAAGAAATAAAAGTGAAAAAAGCAACCAGCAATAAGGATGATTCTGTTACTTCAACTATGCCTAAGACAGCCTGACCTTTAGCTGGAAATGGCCAGTCCCTTCTGGACTGTTAGGCAGAGAACTAAAAGTCAGGGGCTTCATGAAGAGGGTGGAGATGAAGTGAGGCTCGCCAAGGCCTGCCTGCCGTCCCATCGCTCTGAGGTGATGGGAGGTTCTATCCTGTTTCAGAAATTAGCACACTGAGCCTTTGGAACCCTGTAGGTCTCTCCTAGATTGCAGCCTGTCAGATGGTGTCCCTCAAGTGGCCCTACCTTCTTAATGTGAAGAGCAGCACTCAGGCAATATGACTTCCTCCAGCTTCAAAGGCAAACAAAACTTCAAAGGCTGATGCAGCCTTTCTTTTTCTTTACAGCAGATCACTAACAGAGCCTTTTGTACATTGCAAACATTTGTAAATATATATTAATATTTGTTCTAGTCCTGACCTGAACAGAACTTTTTGCATGATGAAATGCATAAACCTCATCCTAGAAATAAATGAGCATTCTGGATAAATATTTTAGCATTTTTATGAAGTTTTTTTTTTTTTTTTTTTTTTTTTCGAGACAGAGTTTCACTTTATTGCTCAGGCTGGAGGGCAGTGGTGTGATCTCAGCTCACTGCCACCTTCACCTCCCAGGCTCACCCGATTCTCCTGCCTCAGCTTCCCAAGTAGCTGGGATTACAGGTGCCCACCACCACGCCCGGCTAACTTTTGTATTTTTAGTAGAGACAGGGTCTTGCCATGTTGGCCAGGCTGGTCTTGAACTCCTGACCTCAAGTGATCTGCCCACCTCGGCCTCCCAAAATGCTGGGATTACAGGCATAAGCCACCGCATCAGGACTTTATAAAGTTTTATTGTTTTGTTTTGTTTTTTTGAGACGGACTCTCGCTCTGTCACCCAGGCTGGAGTGCAGTGGCACGATCTCGGCTCATGGCAAGCTCTGCCTCCCAGGTTCACGCCATTCTCCTGCCTCAGCCTTCCAAGTAGCTGGGACTGCAGGTGCCTGCCACCATGCCCAGCTAATTTTTTTGTATTTTTTAGTAGTGACAGGGTTTCATCGTGTTAGCCAGGATGGTCTCAACATCCTGACCTCGTGATCCACCCACCTTGGCCTCCCAAAGTGCTGGGATTACAGGTGTGAGCCATCATGCCCGGCCCATAAAGTATTTCAATGGGCTAAGAATTCTTCCAAACCTCAGCTGAACACCTGCTCTGCTGATTCCTGACAACTCCAGCTGGGTCCCCAGGACTAGACAAAGATTTCAAGCTTCCTTTAGCAGCTATGTTGCTCTTTGCACCCATGCCTGCAACTCTTTAATCTTTTTTTTTCTGTAAAGTTTTCTAATGTCAGTCTTTGAATTAGCTTTCTAGATATCTGGAAGATCCCTTGCACCATGAATAGCTAAAGTTAAAAGAAATGTATAACATAGTTGAAAAGGAATGGAAGGCGTAGTAGATGTAGATTGAATTTTCCCTGATGTTTATAATTATTTGCAATTACTCATGTCATTTTCATCCTTTTACAAGATCATGGCCCTGTTTCATAGGGGAGAAAGCTAAGGGTAAGAAGGTAAAGGGATCTGTCCAAAAGCTGACAACTAACCCACTAAAGGCTCAAGGTCTTACTTAGACTCCATTTATTTTCTAAACCAAATGTTTCTGCTCTTTCCCTCACATCACAAGGGCATGCAGAAGGATGCTTATAAATCACCACTGACTGCTGGGGTGGAAAGGAGAAACGAGTGCACAGACCAACATGCAGATTCACCTGCAAACACTGTACACACCTGTCCTGGAACTCTCTCCTTGCTCTGGAGCCAAGGATAATACAGAGAGGACAAACACTGAGGTTTTAGTTCCAGGCACCTCTGTGCCTGGAGACAGGCAGCACCTTAAAAACACATGATGAGGCAATTTGAATGTGAAACATCAGGGTGCTTTCCCTAAAGCATCCTTCATGTTCCATCAGCAATTGTTCTGTGGGTGTAATCAGTTTATGTTTTCTTCTGCTCTTTCCACAGTCTCTCCAGATATGTCTTCCTCCCTCTGTAAGGGAACATGAGAAGCGTTGCCAGTTTAAAAAAAAATTGTTAATAAACATACAACTTGCATGTGCTTGCTTGAGATGCCCATTACTGAAGAATTGGCTCTAGAAATTCTAGAATAGGAGCACTGATACAATTATGAAACTGATCCTCCCAAGCAAAATACTCTAACTTTTTGTTAACAGAAGAAAAAGGCTTTGAGCCAGCTTTCAAAATCTTTTCAGTTTGTGCCTTTGAACTTTATGGTGAGGGTGGGGAAGAGCAAAATCTACTAGTCAAGCAGAGACCTTGTCTGCTTTCCTTCCACAGTCTCAGAAACTGGGTAGAAATTAACTGCCTTTAAAGACAAGAGGCAATTGCAATTCCATGAGCACCAGCCTTACATCCCCATCATTTGTGTGCTGAGAAAGGTGACAGCAGCCTTCAGGTTCAATGGAATCATTTTGTTTCCTGGTGGAAGTATTCCTCCCTTTGGAACTAAGACCCCTAGCCCAGCAGAGTATAAAGTCATGGGAACAGGAAGCAAACATTCCGCTAGTGGTCACCAGGGGTAATGGTGAGTTGTGTCACTCCCATATCTACCCCTTGATTCTTGGACCTATGCATTTGGCCATGGGAGAAACAGAACCATATATTAGACACTGATTTAAAGCATATTCAGCCTTTTGGAGAACTTTGTCCCAGCCATGCAAGGTATTGCCATCTAGCTGACTCTGTGACTGAGTCTTCAAAGAGCCATTCCACTATCTTACCAAGCCTGCTTTTGTAGCATGGTGGGGAACATAGAAAGGCCAATGAATTCCATGAGCATGAGCCCGTTGCTGCACTTTGTTTGTTGTGAAGTGAGTTCCTTGATCAGCAACAATGCTGTGTGGAATAACATAACAGTGACTAATGCATTCTGTAAGTCCACAGATTGTAGTCTTAGTAGAAGCATTGCATGCAAGGAAGGAAAATACATATTCAGGGTAAGTGCCTTGTCTAGTAGAAACAAAACCCTGCTTTTCCCATAATGGAAGCAATAGAATGTAATCAACCTGCCCCAGGTTACTGACTGATCATCTCGAAGAATGATCCTGTATCAAGTAATCAGTGCTGTTTCTTCTGCTGACTGATTGAGCATTCAACAGTGGCCATAGTCAGGTCAACCTTGGTGAGTGGAAGTCCGTGTTGCTAAGCCCATGCATAATCCCCATCTTTGCCACAATGGCAAAGAGCCCATTGGACTATGACAAATGTGGATGGGGAAAGAAACTGACTGTATCCACAGAATGAGTCATTCTATCCATTTTATTACTAAAATCTTGGTAAGCATTCACATGGGACACAGATATCTTCATGTTTTTCTCTCATTCAAAGAGGTCTACTCTCATACCTCTTCTCCATACTTCGTTTTCACCAATACTCCTATATTGTTCCTTCTAAGGACATGACCATTAAGCCAAACCATTTGCCACAGCTCATAAATCAGTATAGAATCTCATTGCTGGCCATTTCTCATTGTAAATAAAGTGAACAACCAGGTGTGCTGCTTGAAGTTTTGCCCATGGAGAGGATTTTTTCTTTATCAGTGTTCTTCAGGAATGATCCAGAGAGGGTCGCAGTGCTGCAGCTGTCCACTTTTCGGTAGTGTCTGCATATGCTGCAGAACTATCTGTAAACCAGGCTTGAGATTCTTTTCCTCTACAATTGATCATAGGGAACTCTCCATGAGGCCATAGGTTCAGGCTTCTACGGAAGGCATGGACATTTGTGTCATTTCTTCATGTAACTTAACTGTGCCATTAGGGCCTGCTCAAGCTCAATCTTACATATACTACTTCCATTTGACGATAGATTGTTACTGTGCACATCTACCTCTTGAGTTGGTGGGTAAGAAAATACCCAGCTCATAATGGCCAACTCAGCTTGCATGGTAATTTGATGGACCAGGATTAGGTGTTCAGGCTCTAAAAGGGCCCAGGAATAGGCCAAAAGCTGTTCCTCAGAAAGACAGTAGTTATTCACAGGGGATGGCAGATCCTTTCTCCAGAGTCCTATGTCTGCACTGCGATTCACTTAAAAGGGCCTGCCAAAGGCTCCACACAGCACTTCTCCCTGCCACTGACACTTCAAGTACCATTGGATCTGATGGCTCATGTGGCTCAAGGGGCACAGCAGCTGCACAGTAATGTAGGCCTTTTGCAGAACCTTCTCTTTTCTAGGCTCCACTCAAAACTCGCAGCTTTTTAGTTCACTTTGTAAATGGGTTGGACCTGAATGAGGAATACGTTGCCTCCAAAATACTAAGAGGCCTCTAGGCCTTGAGCCTCTTTCTTGGTTATAGGAGGGACGGGATGTTGCAACTCTCTTTCACCTTACAAGGGATATTTTGACACACCCCACAGCACTAGGCCCCTAGAAACTTCACTGAGGTAGAATGCCCTTGCATTTTAGTTGGATTTATTTCCTACCCTCTGACATGCAAATGTCTTACCAATAAGTTCAGAGTGGTTGCTACTTCACACTCACTAGGTTAAATCAGTATAATGTCATTAAGATAATGGACCAGCGTGGTATCTGGTGGAAGGAAAAGGCCTCAAGTTCTGTATGAACTGAATTTATGACACAGGGCTGGAGAGCTGATATACCCTTGGGATAGGACACTCAATTTGTATTGTTGGCCTTGCAGGTTGAAAGCAAACTGCTTCTAATGGCCTTTCGAAACAGATACAGAAAAAAAAAGGCATTTGCCAGATCTCAGATACCAGGTACCAGGGGATGTGTTAATTTGCTTAAGTAATGAAACCACATCTGCTAAAGCAGCTACAATTAAAGTTAATACTTGATTAAGCTCATGAATCCACTGTCATTCTCTAAGGTCCATCTGTCTTCTGCACAGTCCAAATAGCACAATTGAATGTGGATATGGTAGCAACTGCCACGCCTGCATCTTTCAAAGTCCTTGAGAGTAGCACTAACCTCTGTAATCTCTCCAAGAATGCAGTATGGCTTTTGGTTTACATTGTTTAGGTACAGGCAGTTCCTATGATAATGGCCCTCACTCCACAGGTCAGAGAACCAATGTGGGGATTCTGATAGTTGCTGAATATGTCCATTCCAATTATGCACTCTGGAACTGGGAAATAACCACAGGATGGGTTCAGAGATTACCTGAATCTACTATAAGATGAGCTAAAACTCCACTGATCACCTGATCTGCATAACCCCTACTCTGACTGTTGAGTCACAGTGGTGTTCAGTGCCACCAGGAATTAGTGTCAATTCAGAGCCAGTGTCCAGCAGTCACCAAAATGTCTGATTATTTACTTTTCCCTAATGCTTAGTCATCTTGTTAAAAGGCCATAAGCTCCTCTGGGGAAGGCTGAGAAAGAGATTAACATTATAAATTTTTGGCAGTGTCATGGGTTTCTTCCTCAAGGGGACTTGGCTTTTATCCCTTACAGGAAGAATAAAGGCCTTACTTTGCCTCTGATAATTGATTGAGGGATCATGATTCTCTGTTTTTCAGTATTAGAGTTAGACTTTTATTCACTTGACCTACAACTTTTTCTGCTTATACAGATCAAGTAAGAATTTAGTTGGCTTCCTATCTATTTCACTTCTAGGAGCACCACGATCAACTAGCCAATGCCATAGGTCTCCACGAGTGAGACTATTCTAGTGGCTGCTGTGACATTGCTGTCCACTGTGTCAGCTAGGCCCACCTGGATTTTGGTGGCTGAATGCTGGTACTTGGCTCCTGCCAACCTGGGATCCAGTTACTCCCATTACATTTAGTTTTCCCAATTCAGTGACTCTAGTTTCCACTAAAAATCTTGCCTATAGAGAACAAACACATCAAGGATGCTGAGGCTCTCCTCAAAAATTTATTTCTCACCATTTTGGTGAAAGGTATGTCTTTTGAAGCCTCCCAGGGCATATAAGTAGGTCTTAAATGGAAAATCCACTCTAACATCCCAATGTCTTTAAGCCTTTAATCCCTTCTTCGGCATTAAACCAAGGCACACCTGGCATTTATATTTGAACTCCCTTGCTGTGGGCCACCTTTTGATCCCTTTTTGGGTCCACCAACCAAACTGTTAGAGTCCTTTCTGACTCCCCAAGCTACAATATTAAATGCAGAGTCTCTGCTTAGTGGGCCCATATCAATAAACTTACCCTGATCTAACTTTCTCTCATTAGCCCACACACTTACTATTCATTTCTGCACATATAGCCTGGATTTTTGTCTGTATAAATAAGAAAACACAACTAATTCCCTTGGAGTGTGTCACGCCTCTTCATGGGTCACACTTTCTACCTCGCCTTTAGAGTCCTGTTGTGATGTGAGTGTAGTTATGGGGTGGGTCCTGAAAAAAATCAGCTGTGTTTTGCATGGCAACTACCTCAGGGGGCCCATTGCAGTCACCTCAGGCTATACAGTGTTAATTGCCCCAAATAGGTTCAGAGCAGCCATTCCTACTGGGCTGGAGAGTTGTTTCTACTGGCAAAGAAGATTCATCAGAATGTAGGGGCTTAACGATCCCAGCTTCATCAGAGTCTTGCCCCACATACCCATTCCAACTTTCAGGATGCTCTCAGGGCAGCTATTAACTTAAGACAAAGCAGGCTTCCAAAGAAAAAAAAATAGCAGGGATAAAGCAGAGACTTACACAAAGATTGATGAGGCTAATTCTCCAACAAGATGTAAGTTGAACTGAACTGAAACATCAATCAACTGAATCTAATTAACTTTTATAGAATAATTCATTGAACGACAGCAGAATATACATTCTTCTCAAGCTCACATTGAAACACTCACAAAGGCCACATGTTTGGCCATAAAACACACCTTAACATATTTAACGTATTTGTTTAAATAAAAATTAAATATAAAATATAAACTCAGATGACAATAGAATTAAAATAGAAATTAACAACAGAAATATACCACAAAAATCCTAAAATGCTTATAAATTAACCTCAAATAACACATGGGTGAAGAAGGAGCCTCAAGAAAAATTTTTACAAAATATTTTGACCTAACTGAAAATGAGAATTCAAATTATCAAAATATGTAGAATGCAATGAAAATAATACTTAGAGAAAAATTTATAGCATTAAATGCATATATTACAAAGGAAGAAGATTTAAAATCAATAATCTAAGCTTCCACATTTGGGAATTATGAATAGAAAAAAAAATTTAAGCCTAAAGCAAACAAATAAGCAAAATTAGAGCAGAAGTCGATGAACATAAAAAATGGAAAATAAGAGAAAATAAAATCAGAAGCTAGTTCTTTAAAGAGATCAATATAATTGATAAACTTCTAGTCAGACTGAGAAAAATACAGAGAAGACCAAAATTATTAATATCAGAAATTTAAGATATGTCATCAGCAGGAATCCCTTCAATGTGAAAAGATAGTAAAATAATATGATGAATAACTCCGTGACCCCGAATTTGATAACTTATATGAAATGGGCCAATTACTTGCAAAATGCAAACTACCAAACTCATCAAAGACGAAATAGATAATCATTACAGGTCAATATGTATAAAAAATAAATCAGGAGTTAATAACCTTCCAAGAATGTCAGCAGAAGGATCAGATAGTTTCACTGGTGCATTGTATCACACATTTAAGACAGAAAATACAATAATTCTCTACAATCTCTTCTGGAAAATAGAAGCAGAGGGAACACTTTCTAATGCATTCTATGAGGCCAGCACTTCTCTGATACTAAAATCAGATAAATCATTATTAGTAAGAGTAAGAAAAACTATAGACTAATATCTCTCAGGAACAAATACACAAATCCTCAAAAAATATTTGTAACTTGAATCCAACAAGGTATAAAAGAATTGTATTCCACAACCAATTTATTTCAGATATGCAAAGCTGGTTCAACACTGGAAAACAATGCTATCTACCACATCAACAGGTAAAAAAATAAAATTTATATGACCATATCTGATATGGTTTGGATTTGTGTCCCTACTCAAATCACATGTCAAATTTGAGGAGGGGCCTGGTGGGAGGTGATTGGATCATGGGGGAAGATTTCCCCCATGCTTTTTTTGTTGTCAGAGTGAGTTCTCATGAGATCTGATGGTCTACGGGTATGTGGCACTTTCCCCTTTGCTCTCTCTCTCCCGTCACCACAGTAAGATGTGCTTTCTTCCCCTTTGCCTTCTGCTATGATTATAAGTTTCCTGAGGCCTCCCTACCATGCTTCCTGTTAAGCCTGCAGAACTGTGAGTCAATTAAACTTCTTTTCTTCATAAATTACCCAGTCTCAGGTAGTTCTTTATAGCAGTGTGAGAACAGACTAATACAGAAAATTGGTACGGGAGTGGGGCATTGTTATAAAGATACCTGAAAATGTGGAAGCGGCTTTGGAACTGGGTAAAGAGCAGAGGTTGGAACAGTTTGAAGGGCTCAGAAGAAGAAAGGAAGACGTGGGAAGGTTTGGAACTTCCTAGAGACTTGTTGAATGGTTTTGACCAAAATGCTGATAATGATATGAACAACGAAGTCCAGGTGGAGGTGGTCTCACATGGAGATGAAGAACTTGTTGGGAATTGGAGTAAAGGTCACTGTTGCTATGCTTTAGCAAAGAGACTGGTGGTATTTTGCCCCTTCCCTAGAGACCTGTGGAACTTTGAACTTGAGAGAGATGATTTAGGGTATCTGGTGGAAGAAATTTCTAAGCAGCAAAGCATTCAAGAGGTGACCTGGCTGTTTCTAAACATGTACAGTCATATGCATGAACAAAGAGATTATTTGAAACTGGAACTTACATTTAAAAGGGAAACAGCACAAAAGTTTGTAAAATTTGCAGACTGACCATGTGATAGAAAAGAAAAACCCATTTTCTGGGGAGAAATTCAAGCCTGCTGCAGAAATTTGCATATGTAAAGAGGAGCCAAATGTTAATAGCCAAGAATGGAGTCTCCAAGGCATTTCAGAGACCTTTACAGCACCCCCTCCCATCACAGGCCTGGAGGCCTAGAAGGGAAAAATGATTTAGTGGGCCAGGCCCAGGGCCTAGCTTCTCTGTGCAGCCTTGGGACATGGAACCCTGCATCCCAGCCACTCCAGCACCAGCCATGCCTAAAAGGGGCCAAGGCGCAACTCAGGCAGTGGCTTCAGAAGGTGCAAACCCCAAGCCTTGGCAGCTTCCATATGGTGTTGAGCCTGCATGTGTGCCAAAGACAAGAATTGAGGTCTGAGAACATCTGCCTCGATTTCAGAGGACGTATGGAAACACCTGGTGTGCAGGCAGAATTCTGCTGCAGGGGTGGAGCCCTCATGGAGAATCTCCACTGGGGCAGTGCAGAGGGGAAATGTGGGGTTGGAGCCCTTACACAAAGTCCCCACTGAGGCACTGCCTAGTGGAGTTGTGAGAATAGGGCCACCATCCTCCAGATCCAAGAATGATAGCTCTACCAACAGCTTGCACTGTGCACCTATAAAAACCAAAGGCCCTCAACACCAGCCCATGAAAGCAGCCACAGAGGCTGTACCCTGCACAGCTCCTCCCCAGGGGTGGAACTGCCCAAGGCTTGGAGAACCCACCCCTTACGTCAGTGTACCCTGGATGTGAGACATGGAGTCCAAGGAGATTATTTTGGAGTTTCAAGATTTAATGACTGCCCTGCTGGGTTTTGGACTTGCATAAGGCCTGTAGCCCCTTTGTTTTGGCTAATATCTCCCATTTGGAATGGGAGCATTTACCCAATGCCTGTACCCTCATTGTATCTTGGAAGTAACTAATTATTTTATTTTATTTTTACAGGCTCATAGGTGGAAAGGACTTACCTTGTCTCAGATGAGACTTTGGACTTCGGACTTTTGAGTTAATGTTGAAATGAGTTAATACTGGGGGACTGTTGAGAAGGGATAATTGTATTTTGAAATGTGAAAAGGACATGAGATTTGGGAGGGGCCAGGGGCAGAATAATAGGGTTTGGATTTGTGTCCCTGCCCAAATCTCATGTCGAATTGGAGGAGGGGCCTGATGGTGATGGGATCATGGGGTCGCCCTGGTAAGACGTGCCTGCTTCCCCTTCTCCTTCTGCCATGTTTTTAAGTTTCCTGAGGCCTCCCAGCCATGCTTTCTGTTAGGTCTGCAGAACTGTGAGTCAACGAAATCTCTTTTCTTCATAAATTACCCAGTCTAAGGTAGTTCTTTATAGCAGTGTGTGAATGAACTAATACAATATCTATTGATGCAGAAAAAGCACTAGACAAAGTCCAGTACCCATCCTTGATATAAACTTTCAGCAAATAGGAATAGAGGATAACAGCTTCAACTTGACAAGGAACATCTGCAAAAAACCTACAGCTAACAGCATACTACTTCGTGGTAAGAAACTGGAAGCTTTCCCCCTAAGTTCAGGGACAAGGCAGGGAGATCTTTTCCCTCCACTCCCATTTAACATTATACTATAAGTCATAGCTAATACAATAAGACAAGAAAGGAAGTAAAAATTGTGTAGGTACAGAGGGAAGAAATAAATCTGTCTTTATTGATTGTGTTAGTTTCTTATTGCTGATGTAGCAAATTATGACAAAGTCCATGGTTTAAAATGATACATCCTTATTCTATTACATTTCTGGAGGCTAAAAGTCCAAAATTAGTCATATAGGGTGTCATGACTTGAATGTGTACCCCAAAGTTCATGTGTTGGAAACTTATTCCCCAATGCAACAATGCTGAGGTGGGAACTTTAGGAGGTGATTAGGTCATGAGGGTTCTTCCCTTATGAATGAATTAGTGCCATTATTGTGGCAGTGGGTTAGTTATTGTGGGAGTGGGTTCCTGATGAAATGATGAGTTTGGCTTCCCTCTTAGCTCTCTCACCATCTCTCACCTTTTGCCTTCTGCCATGGGTGACATAGCCAGAAGGCCCTTACCAGATACTGTCACCTTGATATTGTACTTCCAAGTCTCCAGAACTGTGAGAAATATAATTTCTTTTCTTTATAAATTACTCAGTTTGTGGTATTTTGTTATAGCAACCCAAAACAGACTAAGACATAGGACTAAAATCAAGGTGTTATTGGGGTTGGTCACTTGCAGAGTGGAGTCTGTTCCTTGCTTCTTTCTGCTTCTGGTGGCTGCTTGCATCCCCTGAAGTGTGGCCGCATCACTCCAATCACCATTTCTCTCATCACATTGCCTTCTCCTACCCATAATCAAAGCTACTTCTGCATCCCTTTTATAAGGACACTTGCAATTATATTTCAGGCACTCTGGACAATCTCAGACAATCTCCCCATCTTTTAACCACATGTGCAATATCCCTTTTGCCACGTAACATAATATTCACTGGTTCCAAATATTAGGACTTGGTTAGCTTTGGTAATTATTATTCAGTCTATTGCATACACAGATGACATGATTATTTATGTATAAAATCCTAAGAAATGGTCAAAACAAAGTCCTGGTATTGATGTGATTACAGCAAGATCACAGGATAAAAGGCCAATATTCAACAGTCATTTGTTTTCCATACACCAACTATGGACATTTGAAATTCAAAATTATACTCACAAAAACATTTACAATGGCACCAAAAATGACATTCTTAGGTAAACAGCTAACATAATATGTACAAAATCTATATGCAGGAAACTACTAAACTCTGATGACAGGAATCAAAGAATATTTAAATACATTGAGAGATTTATTTAGACAAAAGAGCCTTTGGGATCCAGGTGGGAGGTTGTGAAACCCTGGTCTGGCTTAAAACCTAGGAGGTTGAGGAAAGGGGAGGCCTGCATCTAGGTGGCAGGCTTGCTGACTGTTGGTGCAGGCAATAGGTCTGGAATCAGCCTCATCTCCTTGTGGGCTCGGCTATAAGCCTGTTTGGCCTTGATCCTGCTACCACAGTCATCTGCCAAAGGACTGGGGTGGAGTCACGGGCACTGCTCCCTCTGGTGATGGGCTCGCTGACCTCAGCCTGGGCAGTGAACTCTGAAGCAGTCCTGTAACTCAGCCATAGACCCTCTCAATTGTGTTTTGAGAGCATTCTTGCCCAAGCACAGTCTTGCCAGGAGATACAGCTATCTGTGCATTCAGAGAAGGTCTACCAATCTCAGACCCACAGAAGGTCCTGTAATAGTTTTGTAACTTGGCTCTAGGCCTTCTCATCTGTGAGCTGAGAGCAGTTTTTCCCACTCAAAGACCCCCCAGGAGGCATGCTCAATCTTTCACACCCAGGGAGGCAGGCTTGTTTACCTTGATACCACAGTAGACTCCAAAATGGCCCTGTAACTCTTCTCCAGTCACTCTTACCTGTGCAGTCATGCCTGCCCAGGGACTTACCCAGTGACCCAGGAGGAGCTATCCCAAGGACCTAGAAGGATCCGCACCGGTATACACACCTGGTAACAACCAACTATGGACCCTGAGTAGACAGACACTTGTCCCATCACCAGCCCTACTGACCAAAGTCATGGAGGTATAATCCATGCCAGCTTGAGCACCTGGGAAGAGGCCCACTAAACATGGTCCCCACTGTGGGCCCAGCAGCAGTTGTAACTCAGCTCTGACTCCACTTGACTGCAATCTCAGAAGTAATCCCATTAGCCTAGGGACCCAACAGAAGGTCTTGACCTTCTGTCTAACAGCAGTAGCATACTTACTCTTCTCCAGAGCACATGGAACATTCTTTAAGATAGATCATATGCTGGGATATAAGACAATTCTTAGCAAATTTAAGAGTGTTGAAATCATATCAAGTATCTTTTCTGACCACAGTTGTATGAAATTAGAATCAATAACACAAGAGATTTTGGGAAATTCACAAATATGTACAAATTAAACAGCATACTCCTGAAATCAATGGCTCAAATAAGAAATCAAAAGAGAAATTTTAAAGTATCTTGAGACAAGTAAAAATAGAAACACAACATACCAAAACGTATGGGATGCAGGAAACACAGTTTTAAGAACAAACGTTATAGCAATAAATGCCTATATTAAGAAATAAGAATAATCTCAAATATACAAGCTACTTAGCCCAAAAAAAACCAGAAAAGCAGCACAAACTCAGTCCAAAGTCAGAAAATTAAAAAATATATATTAGAATAAAAAGAAATAAAATAGAGACTAGAAACACAATAGGAAATATCAACAAAACTAAAGTCGCGTTTTTGAAAAGATAAGCAAAGTTGAGAAAACTGTAGTTAGAGTAACCAAGAACAAAAAAGATGGCTCACAATAAAGAAAACGTAACGAAAGAGGAGGCATTACCACTGATACCACAGAAATACAAAGGATCATAAGAGACCACTATGAACAACTATACACCAACAAATTGAATAACCTAGAAGAAATGAATAAATTCCTAGAAATGTACAACCTGCAAAAAGTTAATCATGAAGAAAGAGAAAATATGAACAGAACAATAATGAGAAAGGAGATTAAACCTGTAATCTAAAACCTCAAAGAAAAGAAAATCTCAGGACTAGATGGCTTCAAGGTGAATTCTATCAAATATTTGAAGAAGAATTCATGGCAATTCTCCTCAAAATCTTCCAAAAAGTTGAAGAGTGGGAAGGACTTCCAAACTAATTTTATCAGGCCAGCATTATCTTTATACCAAAGCTAACTAAGAACACTACAAGAAAAGAACATTACAGGACAAAATCACTGATGAACATAGATGCAAAACTCCTCAACAAAATGTTAGCAAACCAAATTCAACAACACATTTAAAGGATCATACACTATAATCAAGTAGGATTTATCCTGGGATGCAAGGATGTTTCATAATGTGCAAAACAATAATTGCGATATACCACATTAACAGAATAAAGGATAACAATCATATGATCACCTCCATAGATTCAATAAAAGCATTTTACAAAATTCAACATAAATTCATGATACAAACTTCACAAATTACATATGGAAGAACTGTGCCTCAATACAAGAAAGGCCGTATATGACCATCCCACAGCTAACATCATACTCAGTGATGATAGCTGAAAGCTTTTCTTTTAAACTCAGGTACAAGAAAAAGATGCCCACTCTTGCCACTTCTGTTCAACATAGTACTGGAAGTCTTAGCCACAGCAATTAAGAGAGAAAAGTAAGTAAAAGGAACCCAAATTGGAAAGAAAGACATTAAATTATCTCGGTTTGAAGATGACATGATCTTAAATATTGAAAACTCTAAAGACTCCATGAAAAAACTGTTAGAACTAATAACTAAATTCAGTAAAGTTTCAGGATACAAAATCAACATACAAAAGTCAGTGGGTTTTCTATACATCAACAACCAACTATCCAAAAAATTAAGAAAACAGTCCCATTTACAATAGCATCAAAAACGATAAAATAGTTAGAAATGCATTTAATCATGCATGTGAAATATCTAGATATGTATGCTGAAATGTATAAAACACTGATGAAAGAAATTAAAGGAGACACACATAACTGGAAAGATAGCTCATGTTCACTAATTGAAAGAATTAACATCGCAAATAGATCCATACTACCCAAAGTGATATACAGATTTGATGTAATCCCTATCAAAAATCCAATGACATTTTTCACAGAAATAGAAGAAACAATCTTAAAATTTGTACAGAATCACAAAAGACTCTGAATAGGCAAAGCAATTTTGAGAAAGAGCAACAAAGCTGTTAAGAATTATACTTCCTGATTTCAAACTATATTGCCAAGGTACAGTAAATAAAAACAGTATGATACTAGCATAAAAACAGGCTCTTAGAACAGAATAGAGAGCCCCAAATTAAATGCCTTTGAGAAGAGTCCTAAGAATACACGATGGGTAAAGGATACTCTCTTTAATAAATGATGGGAAAACTCCATAACCACATGCAAAAGAATAAAATTGAACCATTATTTTATACCAAATGCAAAAGTTAACTTGAAATAGGATTAACAACTTATATGGGCCAGGCGCAGTGGCTCATGCCTGTAATCCCAGCATCTTGGGAGGCCGAGGCAGGTGGATAACCTGAGGTTGGGAGTTCGAGACTAGCCTGACCAACATGGTGAAACCCCATCTCTACTAAAAGAAAAAAAAAAATTAGCCAGGCGTGGTGGTGCATGCCTGTAATGCCTGTAATCCCAGCTACTCAGGAGGCTAAGGCAGGAGAATCACTTGAACCTAGGAGGCAGAGGTTGTGGTGAGCTGAGATCACACCATGGCACTCCAGCCTGGGCAACAAGAGGGAAACTTCATCTCAAAAAAAAAAAAAGAAAACTTACATGTAAGACTTGAAACCGTGAAATTCCTAGAAGAAAAAAGAGAGAAAAAGTTTCTGTACATTGGCCTTGGCAATATTTTTTGGATATAACACCAAAAGCACATAGCATGAAAGCAAAAATAAATAAATGGGAATACATCACACTAAAAATCTTGTGCACAGCAAAGAAAACAATCAACAAAACAAAAAGCCAAGCTACAGAATGGGAGCACATATTTAAAAACTATATATCTGATAATGGGTTAATATTCAAAATACTGAATACACATACAACTCAATAGCAAATTAATAATAATGATGATGATGATGATAGTAACGTATTGAAAAATGGGCAAATGCCCTGAACAGACATTTTTTCAAAGAAGACATACAACTGTCCAACGGGTGTATGAAAAGCTGCTCAACATCATGAATCATCAGGGAAATGCAAATCAGAACCACAGTGAGACTGAGACATCACCTCACACCTGTAAGGATGGCTA
Organism: Homo sapiens; assembly: GCF_000001405.40. NCBI lineage: Eukaryota > Metazoa > Chordata > Mammalia > Primates > Hominidae > Homo > Homo sapiens. The sequence goes on along the minus strand of NT_187660.1, from coordinate 2,585,301 downwards.
TTATCCAAACGACAAGAACTAACAGGTGTTGGTGCGGATGTGGAGAAAAGAGAATCCTTGTACACTGTCAGTGGGTATATAAATTGATATAGTCAATTTATATAGAAAACATTGTTAGTTCTGCAAACTATTAAAAATAGAACTACTATATAATCCAACAATCCTATACCTAGGTACATATCCAAAGAAAAGGAAAAGGATAGTGAAAGGAAATAAAATATCTTGAAGTGCTATCTACACCCTCATGTTTATTGCAGCATTATTTACAATAGGGAAGACATGGAATAACCTGTGTCCATTGACAGATGAGTGGATCAAGAAACTATTGTCTATATACACATATATATGATGTGTATATATACATATATATATGATGTATATATACACACATATATACAATGTGTATATATACATATATATGATGTATATATACACATATATATGATGTATGTATATACATATATATGATGCATGTATATACATATATATGATGCATATATACACACATATATACAATGAAATATTATCCAGCCATAATAAAAGAAGAAAATCCTGCCATTTGTGACAACATAAGTGAATCTGGAAGACATTATGCTATGTGGAATAAGCCAGATACAGAAAGGCAAATACTGTATGATCTGACATATATGAATCTAAAAAGTGCAACTCATAGAAGCAAGGAGTGGAACAGTGCATGCCAGTGTCTGAGGGGTGGGAAAAATGGGGAGATGTTGATTTAAGGGTACACACTTTCAGTTATAAGATAAATAATTGCTGAGTATCTAATGTACCACATGATAATTATAGTTAATAATATTATTTACTAGAAATTTGCTAAGAAAAAGTATCTTAAGTGTTATCACAACACACACACACACAAAGGGTAACTCTGTGGTGATGGATAGGTTGATTAATTTGATGGTGGTAACCATTACACAATGAACGTGTATAGTATATGCACATCACATTGTACATCTTGAATGTATATTATTTTTATTTGTCAGTTATAGTTCAATATAGCTGAAAGAAAGAAAAAAAGTAACTCAAAATGAATCATAAACCTAAATGTAAATAGCAACACTTTGAAACTTTTAGAGGAAAATAGAGAAAATGTAGGTAACCTTGGGTTTGGCAATGAGTTTTTCAACACAACATCAAAAACATGGTGGATGAAAGAAAAATAGGTAAGTTAAACTGTATTAAAATTAAAAGCTTATGCTCTGCCAAAGACATTGCAAGATAATAAAAAAATAAGCCTCAGACTTGGAGAAAATATTTGCAAAACATATGTCTGATAAAGAACTTATATCTGAAGCTTACAAAGAACTTTTACAGTTAAACAATAAGAAAGCAAACAACTCAATTAAAATGAAGTTAAAAGATCTGAACAGAAAACTCAGCAAAGAAAATATACAAATGGCAACCTAAAATAATTTTTGAAATCATTTCCCAATTGGGAATTGCAAATTGAAACCACATACAGGTAGACATGCATTAGAGTAGATAAAATCTGCAAAAATTGCACCACCGCATGCTGGAGAGGATTCAGTATGGAGGAACTCTCTTTTGCTGCTGGTGTGAATGAAAAATGGTGCAGTCATTGGAAGATAGTTAGGCAGTTTCTTGCAAAGCTAAACATAGTCTTACTATGTGATTTAGCAATCAAGTTCCTAGTAAGAATTGATTTGAAAACTTATATTCACACCAAAAGCTGCATGAAAGTGTGTTTTAGCAGCTTCATTCATAAACTCCAAAACTGAAAGCAACCGAGGTAAACAAAGTAGAGAGCATCCACACAAGTGACTGTTACTCAGCCATAAAAAGAAATGAGCTATCAAGCCATGAAAAGACATGGTTAAATTTTAAATGCATATTACTAAGTGAAAGAAGCCAATTTGAAAAGGCTACATAGCATATGATTCCAGCTATATGAGGTTCAAAGAAATGCAAAACTATGGAGTCAGTAAAAATAGTTGTTGCCAGAGGGGATGGGAGGGGTAAATAGGTAAAGCGCAGGATTTCTATTTTTTATTTTTGTTGGTACATAGTAGGTATATATATTTATGAGGCGTATGAGATGTTTTGATACAGGCATGCAATAAATAACAATTGCATCATGGGGAATGGGGTATCCATCCCCTCAAGCATTTATCCTTTGTGTTACACACAATCCAATTATACTATTTTAGTTATTTTAAAATATACAATTGAATTATTGATTATAGTCACCCTGTTGTGCCATCGGATGCTAGGCTTTATTCATTTATTCTATTTTTTGTACCCATTAACTTTCACCACATCCCCTCCACCCCCCACCCCACTCCCCTTCCCAGCCTCTGGTAACCATCCTTCTACTCTCTATCTCCATGTGTTTTGATTTTTAGATCCCACAAATAAGTGAAAACATGTGATGCTTGTCTTTCTGAAAGCATACGTTTTTTGAGTGCTGAAACTATCCTAGTGGGCTTAAATCCCCACTCCTTAAGCACGAGGTGCTTCGTTCCAAAGAGTACGGTGTGGAAAGTGGGAAAAAAAGAGCAACTTTACGTGAAGAAGCCTGACAAAGACTCCCTGAGCCAGGTGACCAAGGTCCACATCAGCAGTGGTGGGCCATGCTGGCACCTGCCTAATCAGAGAAAGAATTCACATCAATTCCATTCGAGGGACATCTTACCAAGTATGACCATTACTCCTCAAATTTATCAGTGTCATCAAAAACAAGAAAACTCAGAGAATCTGTCACCACCAAGAGAGCCTAAGGAGCCGTGAGAGGTAAGTGCAGTGTGGAGTTATGAACAGACACCTGGAACAGAAAAAGAAGTTCTACAAAAAATAAGGAAATCTGGGCCAGGGGCTGTGGCTCACGCCTGTAATCCCAGCACTTTGGGAGGTCGAGGCGGGCAGATCATCTGAGGTTGGGAGTTCGAGACCAGCCTGACCAACCTGGAGAAACTCCGTCTCTACTAAAAATACAAAATTAGCCGGGCGTGGTGGCGCATGCCTGTAATCCCAGCTACTCAGAAGGCTGAGGCAGGAGAATCGCTTGAACCCGGGAGGCAGAGGTTGCAGTGAGCCAAGATCGTGCCATTGCACTCCAGCCTGGGCAACAAGAGCGAAACTTTGTCTCTAAATAAATAAATGGAAATCTGAATAAACTGTGGTATTTACTTAATAACAATCATATATCACTATTGATCCATTAACTTTAAGAATGTAAGATGTTAATAATAGGGGGAAAAGGTTATGCTGGCATATGCAAGATCTCTGTAGCTTCGCAATTTTTCTGTAAATTTAACACCATTCTAAACAATAAAGTATTTTTTAAAACACTGCTTTATGCTATTTCTATCTCACCTAAAACAGATCCAAAGTCAAATCACACATAAGTACATCTCATTGGCAGAGCTAAGTCATGCCTGTAATCCAGGGAGCTTAGCAAATGTAGTTTCTGGCTTTCTGGTCTCTGCAGTCCAGGGAGACACAAGGGAAGAAGATTGGAAATGAGCCAGTCCACAAAATTGCCTATCAGTTGTCATATCAAAACTCATTTAACCATTGTCTTTTAGTAGCTATTTAAGCTCTATCCAATTTTTTCTCTGTTACCAACAGTGCATCTAAGTAAATGTTTCTAGAAGGTAAATCAGAGGTCACAGGATTTGTATATTTTAATAGATATCCCCTGAAAAACCACCAATATATATTCCCATGCAAACCACTGCCAACACAGGTAGTTAATACTGGTTCATAATTTTATGAATCCATTGGGTAAAAATATTCCGTATCATTGCTGCTTCAGTTAATGTTTCTCTGATTACAAATGAGGTGACTGTTCTGACCACTTGCATCCACCCTGCGGGACTGGACAGATAAGCTCATAGCGGTTTGTTGCTTACATATGCTCAAGGCCTCGGGGAGGAGGACATTGCATTTTACACAGGGCCATAAGGGACTTGCACATGGGAACACAGAGAGCCTGCAGGGACTCTAGTGAAAAGGAGGCAGGCTTTGAACTAACAAGATGCTGAGGTGCCTCCAGGCCCCATGTGAGGATATGACTAGCTTTTTTGAATAATTTCATGAGCTGGCAGGGAAGCGAAGCCCATTAGAGTGAGGATCAGGTTAAGTGAAGCTAGTCCAGCTAATGGGGAACTGGCCAGGCAAGGAGCCTTTCCCACTGGCGGGGGTACACGTCTGGTGTGAGCATAAGGACTTAGGATTAGACCCTTGGGGCCTTGTGAGGGTCGAAGGCGTTAAGGTGGGAAATGAAATTTCAGGCCTTACGATACAGTGACCATTTTTTCATAGATTTATCGACTAATTGTATCTCTTTTTCTTTTAATTGTCTGCTTTGTTTTCTAACTAATTTTATTTATGTTATTTCTGGGAACATTTTGAAAAAAAATACTAGTTTTTAACTCTCTTTTTTTGGTTACACATATTAAAAACACTTTTGCCCAGTCTGTTGCTTTTTGCATTAAAAATGCCCTTTGACAACTTTAAATCTGATTTTGACACTGTGCTGCTTAGAGCACTTCACTGACTTTTGAAGCAAATTCTAAAAGTTTTCACCTGGCCGGGTGCCCTGCGTGAGCGGCCTCACTGGCTCTCACTTACACTCCCGCTGTCCCCACTTCTCGCCGGTTCCTTCCAGCCTCCTCTGCTTCTTCGCATCCCTGCCTCTTCCACCTCTGGGCCTCCTGCTGGAGATTCTCTTCTCTTGGTGCATTCCTGTGAGAGACTGATGGGCATTGAGGGGTGAGCAGTAGCAGTTGTAAAATTGATCAAAGATGGTCGTATACCCATTGTGGGGTTTATCACATTTCTTGTATTGTTCTTCACTGAGTTTCCAACAGCCATTTTATTGATTAATGCTAAAATGGAAACATATATCTATGGTTCAAAATTTAAAATATTTAAGAATCTGTAGTAAAAACAAAAACAAAAACACAGTGTTCTTCCCCCAGGGCTGGCGGCGGGGACAGTGAGAGGGTTAGAAGCGCCTGCTGAGAGCCGAGCTGTCCTTGTCTATCTTGCCCTCTCCTGGCCATTGTTTTGCTAAAAGCATTTTTAAGTTCCCTGGTTCTCTTTAATACGTAGTTTATGAGATTTTCCCAGGTCTATTTGTCAAGACCTCATGATATCATCTGTCTTGTTTTTCCTTTGTTGTCGCTTCATATGGATTTTTTATTTCTGCAGTGTTCTTCCTCCTTTCCATGTCCTAATGGACTCTGACAGCTCTGTTCACATCCTCTCCCACTGTCACACGGCCTCTTACTTGAATATCCTGACTCTTCCGTGACAGTTCTCGTTTCAGGTGCAGAAAATGCTGCCTGCTGCATAGAATCTTTGTGCAGAATGAAGCACTGTTGGTGAGAATCCCTCTCTGTGTCCTTGAAAACTGTCTTTCGTGATATCTGCCCCGATGTGCCTCTGTCTTTCCTTTTTTCCCTCCATCAGGTATTTGATGGATGCTGCCAATTGATTGTTTGATGGCAGTTGTTCTCCATGGGCCCAGGCCGTTCTTCTCAATATGACTCATCTTGGAGAAGGGACAGTCAGTAGCCCCATTGGCTGAGCTAGTACTGCCGAGGGGTGGGATGGGAGTGTGGCGGGATGCGGGATAGGGAAAGCCTATCTACGGCTTTCACGTGGGTGTGTTCTTGAGTGCCCTCCAACAAACCTGCTCTTTCTTCGCCCTGGGGACACTCCTTCACCTTCCCCAGACTTAGACTCTTAAGCCCTTCCAGCTTCTCCACTTTCCCGCTGTGTGCCTCTGGCCCTCTTCCATCAGGGAAAGCAGCTGGGGCCGGAACATACAAGTGAACACGGAACCTGCCCTTTTAAGAGCACGTGTATCCTGGCCCAAGGTCTCAGGTGGCAGAGATCAACTTTTTATTGGCTCTCGAGCTCCAGTCAAGATGTTTTGAGAATGTAGCCATTTTCTTGTTATATATAAATTGGATTTTTTGCCCTCTATTTTTTATTGTTGATTTGTGTGCATATACATGAGTGTATAAATATGTGTGTATATACACATATGTGTATACATTCATATACATATACACAAACAAATCAACAACAAAAAATATATATGCACATGTGTGCATATATATATATTTTATATATATATATATACACACACATACCTAGTAATACATATATATTTGTGGGTTTTGAGAGATGAGATTAAGGAAAATCATCTTTTTTTTTTTTTTTTTTTTTGAGACAGAGTCTCGCTGTCGCCCAGGCTGGAGTGCAGTGGCGCAATCTCGGCTCACTGCAGTCTCCGCCCCCTGGGGTTCACGCCATTCTCCTGCCTCAGCCTCCCAGGTAGCTGGGACTACAGGCGCCCGCCACCTCGCCCGGCTAATTTTTTGTATTTTTAGTAGAGACGGGGTTTCACCGTGTTAGCCAGGATGGTCTCGATCTCCTGACCTCGTGATCCGCCCGCCTCGGCCTCCCAAAGTGCTGGGATTACAGGCGTGAGCCACCGCGCCCGGCCGGAAAATCATCTTTAAACAGAAATCAATTTATACTTTTTCTGAGTAAATTTCTATCCTCATCTTTGAATTTCCCTTACATAATAATGTAGCTGACATAAGATTAAAATGAATCAAAACCACTAAAGTAGTTTTACATACTTTCAAAAAGAGGATGTAGAGCTTTAATATCATCATTTTTTGGAAGAACCTAGGGTCCTTAGCTCAGCATTTATTATCTGTTAGGAACCTGATGAAACCCACTGAGACCTTTCAAATTGGTTCTTCCCCATGTTTTTCTGAGGCTATCTAAATGGGCAAGGAGATAATACAGATAGAAGGAAGTTGCTGTATTGGGAAGGAAACAGGAATTGGAGGCCAGGAAAGGAGCTTAGCTACAGCAGAGACAAGAGGATGATCAAATTCGGTGTTTTTCTATGACCAAGTTAAGAATTGCATTGATGATCTGCAACACTTTTTTTTTTCTTTTTCTGTTTTAACACAACAATGTGGACGGAGAATCTTTTCTGTCATGATTATAATCGTTAATATAATTGCTGTGACTATTCAACCTTCAGAAAGCTGGTTTCCATCCAGCCCTGGCTCTGGGGCTCACAGGCTCTGTTGCCACATAAGGAAGCAGCACTGGGCAAGTTCCTGGACCACTTGCACCAGCACCATAGGGAGCATGAATCCACTGGTGATTTGTGGTTGTTCATTTATTTCGTATAATGAGAACAAACTCCCTGCCACATTTAAATAAAAGCCTAATTACATCTCCATTGCTACAGATGCTATTACTACCTTTCTGACTGGCTATAAAAGTTAATGAGTTTTTTATTGCTTTGCAGAGTTTCAAAATAAAATGCAAAGTTTAGAGATAGATGCTATATAAGGTGAGGTCCACTCTGCTTTGCTCTTTTTGAGGGAACCTAGAACCTTAATTTAATGCTTTTCATTTTAGAATATGGCCTGCTTTGCATTATTTCCCAATTTTTTGGACATAAGTATGGCACAGGGATTAAATATAACTAAGCACCATTGAAGAAAATTGCATCAAATCAGCTGAAGATAAGTGAAGAATGTTTTTATGAGCTACACGTTTTTGAAAGAGATACACAAGGCTGACAACCTAATAAAAGTTTAATAATGTGTGCTCACCCATTTGCTGTGCTTTCAAGGTCCTCTGCAACACTGATGTGCTTGGGAACTTCCAGGATGGATTTCCAACTGTTAGTCACCAACTAGCAGAGGTTAGTTGTATTGTGCTGCCAGTCTCATATATGTAAACCTGAATTTGTTTTTATTCCTTCCTGCATTGCTTGATTTTTAAAAATTCAGTTACTCTAGGAAAAGAAAAGCCAAAATAAGCCAGAAATTTATATTTTTTATTCATATTTCAAGAATCATTCTAAAAGCAAGTGATAAAGTTAACTAATTTCTCTCTGCATTTAGTACAGTTACTTTATCTTCCCAAAGAGGAAACCAAGGCCTGGAATCAATGCCATGTAGGCACGTGCAGGTCTGTGTGCTACACTGTGGTGGCACCGCACAGGGCACCTGGAAGCATGGATTTGAGCCTGGTCTGCACAGAAGCCTGCTTTTCAAGAGTTAAACGAGGCAAAATAACTTGGCACAATGCATTTCACATGCAGTGCTTACTGAATACCCTCCATGAAAAAGCTGGCACTATGCCAGGGATGGAAGTTCAGGGGCAAAGACATTGTCCCATCTTCCAGGGACTCTCCCTCCACAGCTGGGGCTTAGGAATCATAATGCAACCAGCAAGTCAACTTCCAGGATTAAGGCTAGAAGAGACACCTAAGTTGAGGAACCACCTGGAGGTCTTCCTGGAGGCTAAGGAGTTGGCTAAGGTTGTAGGCTGAGCTAGTAGTGGTGGGCAGGTGAGTATGGAGGAGCCGAGGCTGCAGGCTGGTGAGCCCCGTTAGCAGAGGCTGCAGGGCCAGCACTGCTGACTATGGATCTGGTGCCAGACCTTGTCTGGGTGGCAGCTGGACCAATGGGCAGGGAGCAGGTGGGGCATGCGTTCTTCGGGCTTCAATCATGTGCCTCAGGGAATGGGGAGACATGGAGGATTTCAAGTGGAGGAATAGTGTATTAGATTTCCTTTTCATAACAGTCACCCTAACTGCCATTTGTACAAGTGTTGATATGTTTCAAAACTAAATGCTGGATACCTATGAGGAGTAAGCCAGACCAGACTTTACAAACTTCAAGACTCAGGAGAGGCAGGAAGAGAAAGTGGTAGTTGATAAGGAACAAACTGGAGATGAGAAATAGGAGTGTGTAGGTCACCCCTCTGCCCCGTTTTTGTCAGGGACAGTGCACCTATCAAGTACCAACCACATTCTGGATCCAACACCCTTTCATTTTGCAATCAGGGATGGGTCAGAGTGTGTTTCCTTGGTCATCTCCATGTTTACCTCCCCACCACCACCTGTGCTTAGACTCAACTGTGCAGAACTGGTAGAAAGATGAACTTATCCTCAGTGAGAAATCCCGGAGCTCACACCTTAAAGCTGCACTCTTGCCAACCCCACACCTACCACCAGAACCTGGAGACCTTCCTTCAAGTGCAACAGTGATTTATTACTCGAATGTTTACTGAAGATGCACACAGACAGGTTCTAAACCATGCTCCTGCTTCGAGGCTATTCTTCCCAATAAAAATGCAGGGTTTTCTCTTGACCTTCCTGAGTGATTGGATCAAAAGACATTTTATATCATTGCCAGAAAATCTGGATTCAAAAACTGTTGAGTGTGTGGGTTGGGGTCAGTGCCTTTCCTTTCTTTTTTAAAAATTATTTTTAAGTTGTGAATACACATAAAAACTCATCATCTTAGTCATTTCTAAGTATATAGTCCAGTGGCATTAAATGCATTCACCTTTTTGTGCAACTATCACCACCAACCATCTATAAAACTTTCATCTTCTTAAAATGAAATTTTGTACCTATTAAATGCAAACATGCTATCCCCAACTCCTTATCCCCTGGCAACCACCATTCTATTTTCTGTCTCCATGAGACTGAGCACTCCAGACACCTCATGTAAGTGGAATCACACAGTGTCTGTTCTTTTGTGCCTGGCTTATTTCACTCAGCATAATGTCCTCGAGGTTCATCCATGTTCTGGCGTATAGAAGATGTCCTTCCTTTCCGAGGTTGGGTAATGTTTCATTATACACATGGACCACATTTTGCTTATCCATTCATCCACACAAGGACACCTGGGTGACTTCACTTTTTGGCTATTGTGAATAACGCCACTATGAACATGGAGTCCCCTGTATTTCTAATCATAGGTATTGGTCTTCGGTTTGGGGACTCATGAAATTCCACTCCTACTTCTCTGTTCTTCTACTGCTCCTCCACATCTTTGTTCTTACCATGAGTGGTATTTTGTTTCTAATAAATGAAAAAGTATGATAGATATGATACTTCATTTAATGAAATGATCAACACAAACCTCGGGCAAATCACTTAATTTCTTCACAATGTGGCCTTCTCATCTGTAAAACAGTAATGTCATTCTTTACCTCTTTGGCTTATGAGGAAGATAAAATGAGACCATGTCTGTAAAGAGCTTAGCACTTAGACTGTCACGTAGCATCTGCCCAGCAAGTTGAGGTTGGTACTTGGTTCCCCACAGTGGGGAGCAGGGATTGAGGCAGAACTCATTCATGTGGGCATAGGGAACAGATAGAGCCACAAGCTCAGAGCCAGAGGGACTGTGAGGGCAGGTGCACCCTTAAAGATCTTTAGGAGAAAGATTTCCAGCCTTTGTCACTGGGCACTGGAGTTCCCTGATAAATTCAATTGGCAACCAGTAGGGTTTTCAGGGTAGTAGTGCAAGACAGAACCCCCCAAGCCTGGTAAACAAGGGCTCACAATTCTTCAGCTCCTCTGGCCCTGTTACCCTTCCTGGGATGGTTTGAGTAACACAGCCCCAGAAGGGGAATCCACCCTGTGATGGGCTGAATTGCATCCCCCTCACTTTCATGTTAAATCCTAATCCCTAATACCTCAGAGCATGATCTCATCTGGAGGCAGGATTTCAAGTGAGGTCATTAGGATGGACCCTAACCCAATGACTGGTGTCCTTATAAAAAGGGAAATTAATAAGGTCATTAGGGTGGGCCTTAATCCAATATGACCTGGTGTCCTTATAAAAAGGGGAAATTTGGACACAGAGATGCACATACATACAGGGAAGATGATCTGAAGAGACAGAGGGAGAAGGCAGCTGTACTAGTCTGTTTTGTGTTGCTATAAAGGAATACCTGAGACTAGGTAATTTACAAATAAAAGAGGTTTATTTTGGCTCATTGTTCTGCACACTGTACAAGAAACATAGTGCTGGCATCTGCCTCTGGTGAGCCCTCAGGAAGCTTTTACTCATGGTGGAAGGTGAAGGGGGAGCAGGCATGTCACATGGTGAGTGAAAGAGTAAGAGAGAGAGGGAGGAGGCACCAGGCTCCTTTAAACAACCAGCTCCTGCATGAACTCACAGAGAAAGAACTCACTCATCACCACAGGGAGGGCACCAAGCCATTCCATGAGGGATCCGCCCCCATGACCCAAACACCTCCCTCCAGGCCCCACCTCCAACATTGGGGATCACATTTCAACATGGGATTTGGAGGGAAAAAATAACAAAACTATAGCTCAGCCATCTACAAGCCAAGGAGAGAGGCCAGGAACAGATCTTTCCCTCACAGCCCTCAGAAGAACCAACCCTGCCACCACCTTGATTTTGGACTTCCTGCTTCCAGAACTGTGAGACCATACATTTCTGTTGGTCAAGCCACACTCACTATACAGTATTTTGTTATGACAGCCCCAGGAAACTAATGCACACCTCTACAACCCTTTCAGGGACAATGGAAGATGCTGGTGAGAGCCCCTCCAAGCCAGTGGAACCCAAGGAAGCAGAGTGACTGACAAAACAAACTTCTGGCCTTCAAGGACAATTATAAAGTCTGTATAAGCTTCTAAAGTGTGGCTACATTGCATATTAGTAAATATCCTTTTTTTGGCCAAAGTATTTTATTTTACTATTATACTATATGTAATTTGCAAATCGTTTCACAAGAAATTTTTAAAGCAAAGTTATAAAAATGTATATAAAAAAGTACAGAGTTGACAGGAAAATTACTTTTTTTAATAGTTCAAATAAAATCTTTTTGTTTTTCTTATGCTGGCTGAAAATTGTATAATCTATTCTTCCATAGATAGTTGCAATATTACATTTTAATGAGCAGTCTCATAGTTAATTCATTTATTAAAAACAGGTTCACCCTTTGGATGATGAGAATCAATTGCTCGATTTTAAAGAGAACGATAATAAAATTTGTCATATACGACATGAAGTCATAAATAGCTCTTCAAAATTCAGATGTGTTCAGCCTTGTTTCTCTATTAAATTCTTCACAGTTCTAAGTTAAGGAAGTGTCTTTTACTTTAGCCCGACTTCAGAGCTAAAGTCTGGTTTAACTTCAGAGATCCAGAAGTTGTGGCTGTGAGGCATTTTATGGCAGCAGCTGGTCTGATGACAGTGGCTGCTCCCTGGCTATGCTTTTCAACCCCCATAATCACAGAGAGGCATTTTGCTTAAATCTTCAGGTTTTTGCTGTAGCATTGTCATAAAATATTCTCTAGCTTTGTCCACATGCAGCCCATGGAGGTCTGAGACATTTGGTGACAACAGGGAGGCGTGATGAGCTTTGCACGTCTACTTATGGGGACTGACCTGGTGGGCATGCCCTCCACTTCTGTAGGTGCATGAGGGCATCTCCTCTGCAACCATCCAATGCCTAGAAATGGTCCACTTTTTTTTTTTTTTTTTAAGACAGAGTCTTGCTCTGTTGCCAAGGCTAGAGGGCAGTGGCGCAATCTTGGCTCACTGCAACCTCTGTCCCTAGGTTCAGGCGATTCTCCTGCCTCAGCCTCCTAAGTAGCTGGGACTACAGGTGCCCACCACCACGCCCCACTAATTTTTGTATTTTTAGTGGAGACAGGGTTTCACTATGTTGGCCAGGCTAATCGCAAACTCCTGACCTCAGGTGATCCGCCTGCTTCGGCCTCCCAAAGTGCTGGGATTACAGGCATGAGCCACCACGACCGGGCCCACTTCGTATGTCTTGAGTCTCTTTCTTTGCCTTTTCTCTTTAGCCTTCCATTCAGCAGAAGTGACATTTGCATTTTCATGAAAAACTCCTGTGCTATAACTTTTTGTAAACGATTCCTTTCAAGAACACAGTTTTAAAATTGCACTGTATGTTCTAAGAAATAACTGTGGTCCTTGAAAGTGTACACCTCCAAATTTTGGTTAATGGCGAGGAGTAACTTGGAGAGCTGCTGCTTCTTCAGTCTGATGACACATTCTATTACAAAGATAAGTGACTTCCTTCTTAAGTCGTGATTTTTCCTGTAAGGCAATTTCTTCTGTTAGCTATTTCTGTGAGTGACACTTTTTTTTTTTTTTTTTGAGGCGGAGTCTCACTCTATCGCTCAGGCTGGAGTGGTGTGGTGCGATCTCGGCTCACTGCAAGCTCCGCCTCCCGCGTTCACACCATTCTCCTGCCTCAGCCTCCCGAGTAGCTGGGACTACAGGCGCCCGCCACCATGCCCAGCTACTTTTTTGTATTTTTAGTAGAGACGGGGTTTCACCGTGTTAGCCAGGATGGTCTCGATCTCCTGACCTTGTGATCCGCCCGCCTCAGCCTCCCAAAGTGCTGGGATTACAGGCGTGAGCCACCGCGCCCGGCGTGAGTGACACTTTTAAAAACTTGACTATTCCGATGATCCAATTAGACAGAGTAACACTTCGGGTGCTGCTAAAGTCTGCAGTAATTTCTTGTTCTCTGAGATGAATTTTGTTCAGTATGATCAAGTCCAACATGCCCAACCAGGGGAGGGCCTCCCGTAAGCTTGCCATAGGACACAGCTTGTTTTTGTTACTTCTAAACACATGTGCAGGACAAGAGATTGGCAAAGGACGGGTATATTAGTAAATATATTTATATTATTTTTTCTAGAAATCATTTCGCCTTTTAGAATTGTGACAAAATCATTCTTATTAAATGTAAGTCAACAAATAAAGCTGGATAAATAAAATTGTAAAGTGTGACTCCACTCACCATGGTGGAGCTCCAGGACACCTATGCGATCCCTCCACTTAAGAGAATTCGGCTGCTGCTTTAAAAAATAAAAACTGTTTTTAAAACTCAATCAATCAGCATTGCATTATTTAACTGAGAGAGTAAAAATCTCACTGTTTCGAGGTTTTTCCCCTCAGAAACAATCATTCACATTAAGTTTCATCACTAATGGTATAATTTGCCTAATCTGATATTAATCTAAAAACTTAGAGGAAAACAAAATCAGCAACGTGTTAACTGGTGAAAGTTCTCTCTCAAAATCAAAATTCAATAGAATTATTTCATGTAACATGGTTTATTTTGTTATAGAAAGTAAAGGTGACAAAAGTAAAGGTGACAAAATGAGCACAAAGGGAGTTCTTCATAAAAAGAAACCTGCCAAGAATTCTTGCAATTTCTCATAAGTCACTTTTGTCAGGTTCAAATCTACATGAACTAGACTATCCTCAACTGTTAGAGACCCTAAAATCCATTCCAACATGGCCAAATATCATGTGTTTCTTAATGATAGGAATATGTTCTGAAAAATGCATTGTTAGGTAATTTCATCACTGTGCGAACATCACTAAGTACACTTACACAAACCTAGATGGCATAACCTACTACACGCCTGGGCTCTGTGGTACAGCCTACTGCTCCTGGGCTACAAACCTGCACAGCATGTAACTGTACTGAATACTGTAGGCAACTGTAACACAACGGTAAGTATGTTTGTATCTAAACATGTCTAAACATACAAAGAGTGCAGTAAAAAATACAGTATAAAAGACACACATGGTACACCTGTTTAGGGCAGGTACCACTAATGGAGCTTGCAGGACTGGAGGTGGCGTTGGGTGAGTCAGTGAGTGAGTGGTGAGTGAATGTGAAGGCTAGGACATTACGGTACACTACCGTAGACTTTATAAATACTGTGCACTTAGGCAACACTAAATTTATAAGAAAATATATTTTTCCTCAGTAATAAATTAACCTTGGCTTATTGTAACTTTTTTACCCTATGAGCGTTTTAGTATTTTTTTGTTTTTGTTTTTTACTTTTTGACTACTGTGTAATAATACTTAGTTTAAAACACAGATTGTCCAGCTATAAAAAAAATTCTTTATATTCTTATCCTATAAGCTTTTTTAATTTAATTTTTACTCTTTCGACTTTTTAAACTTTTTTGTTAAAAATTAAAACATGAGCCCACACATTAGCCGAGGCCTACCCAGGGTCAGGAGCATCAGTGTCACTGTCTTCCACCTCCACAACTTGTCCCACTGGAAGGTCTTCAGGGGCAGTAACACGCATGGAGCTGTCACTTCCTAAGATAACAGTGCCTTCTTCTGGAATAACTCCTGACAACCTGCCTGAGGCTGTTTTACAGTTAACCTTTTTTATAAGTAGAAACATACATTCTAAAATAACAATAAAACCTATGGTATAGTAAATACATAAACCAGCAACATAGTTATTGCCATTATCAAGCATTAATACTGTACATAATTCTACGTGCTACCGTTTTATAAGACTGGTAGTGCAATAGGTTTATTTTCACAGCATCACCGCAAACATGGGAGGAAAACACTGCACTATGTTACGATGGCTACAACTTCAAGAGGCTATAGGAATTTTTCAGCTCTGTTATAATCCATGGGATCACTGTCGTATACGCGGTTTGTCACTGACTGAAACATTATTACACAGTGTCTGACTGTAATTCATTGATCTGGAAAGCCAGTTCAGCAGGTGTTGGCACCTCCAGACAGTGGATGGTAAGAGATTTGATCATCCCTGGCATGGCAGTCAACATATCAGCCTAATAATTGTCACTGACTCTGGCTGACAAAGTACCGCATGATATTAGAATTTTCTCCATTTCCTGTTCATCGTCATTCATAAATTCTTCTGTGTTTATCTAAAATTTCACATAATCTGGCCCGGCGCAGTGGCTCATACCTGTAATCCCAGCACTTTGGGAGGCCGAGGCATACGAATCACCTGAGGTCAGGAGTTCGAGACCAGCCTGCCCAACATGGTGAAACCCTGTCTCTACTAAAAATATAAAAATTAGCCGGGCTTGGTGGTGCATGCCTGTAGTCCCAGCTACTTGGGAGGCTGAGGAAGGAGAATCGCTTGAACCCAGAAGGCAGAGGTTGCAGTGAGGTGTGATCGTGCTACTGCACTCCAGCCTGGGCAACAGAGACTCAGTCTCAAATAACATAAAATAAATAAAATAAATAAAATAAAATAAAATAAAATAAAATAATTTAAACAATAAAATAAAATAAAATAATTTAAACAATAAAATAAAATAATTTAAACAATAAAATAAAATAAAATAATTTAAACAATAAAATAAAATTTCACATAATCCTTTGGAAATCTTTCATTTTTTTCTTTCTTTTTTTATTATACTTTAAATTTTAGGGTACATGTGCACAATGTGCAGGTTAGTTACATATGTATACATGTGCCATGCTGGTGTGCTGCACCCATTAACTCGTCATTTAGCATTAGGTATATCAACACAATTAATTTCCTCATTTAATTCAAGATGTGAAGAGCTCAACACAGAGTTCAAAATATCACACAGATTCAAAGAAGAATGTATACTGTGTCCAATGTCTGGAGCTACTGGGTTCTTCTCCATTCCATTCATGTCTTTAGGGGTTGTAGCGTTTAGATACCTAGAAAAGACTACTTGATGCTATGTAAGCCTAAAAGTTCTGCCTAACTATTAGGGAGCAGTTCGTTAGTATTCTTTGGGTCTACAACAGCATCAGGAAATACACTTGCTATTAATTCAGTTTTTTTGTTGTTGTTTTTATTTGTTTGTTTGTTTGAGGCAGAGTCTCCCTCTGTCCCCCAGGCTGGAGTGCAACGGCCCGATCTCGGCTCACTGCAAGCTCCACCTCCTGGGTTCATGCCATTCTCCAGCCTTAGCCTCCCGAGTAGCTGGGACTACAGGCGCCCGCCACCACGCCTGGCTAATTTTTTGTACTTTTAGTAGAAACGGGGTTTCACCGTGTTAGCCAGGATGGTCTCGATCTCCTGACCTTGTGATCTGCCCGCCTCAGCCTCCCAAAGTGCTGGGATTACAGGCGTGAGCCACCGCGCCCAGCCTATTAATTCAGTTTTTTCAGAAGTTACAGCTTTTATTTCTGCTTGTTCTGAGCTTTCCCTTTCTGCATCTTTGGTAGGCTCTGCACACATTATTGTTACTCATTCAAAACTGAATGTGAAGTTAAGGGATGTAAAGTGAATACAGGAAAAATTTCCTAAATTTTTATTATTCAAATTTGCATTTTGTGTAGAAATACATATAATACTTATAAACTCACTTGAGTCACAAAGTAGTAACATCTCGTTAAGGCAAAATGAATCTATTTGGTCCTCGGGAAGAAAGTTCAATTTCTTTTCTTTCTTTTTTTTTTTTTTTTTTTTTTTTTTTTTGAGACGGAGTCCCGCTCTTTCACCCAGGCCGGAGTGCAGTGGCGCCATCTCGGCTCACTGCAAGCTCCGCCTCCCGGGTTCACGCCATTCTCCTGCCTCAGCCTCCCGAGTAGCTGGGACTACAGGCGCCTGCCACCACGCCCGGCTAATTTGTTGTATTTTTCAGTAGAGACGGGGTTTCACCGTGTTCGCCAGGATGGTCTCGATCTCCTGACCTCGTGATCTGCCCGCCTCGGCCTCCCAAAGTGCTGGGATTACAGGCGTGAGCCACGGCGCCCGGCCAGGAAGTTCAATTTCTTAAAAGCATTCTCGGTTAAGGAATCCAAATCTTCGATTCGCTACATGTCCAAAAGTGAATCCATGTTTGAAGCTTCACTCCCTTCTTAAGAAAGCCACTTTTCCATGATCTCACTTCCTGATGCACTCTCCTGACTCTCAGAACCAATTCATCTGCCCGAGAAGATTCTTATTTCAGATAATCTTAATAGACAATCTATTGCATTTCAACTGAGAGGATTGCTGTGCGGACTAAACGAGATAATCCCTAAAAGCCTGCTGTGTAAGAAGACTGGCACTTAGTAAGCACCCAACTACGTTCCCTTTGAAGTCACATTCGGAGCGCATCCAGTACACAACATCCAGTCCAGGTAGAAAACGTCTCTGAGACACTGGGGAAAAGCTCTTTCTGATCTATTTTTGTCTCTTCCATACTTTTTCTTTCAGAAGGAAGATACTGTCAATATGACATTTCACCACTAAAAAATGTCCATTATATATCTCCTTAAAATGGAAATATCCTGCTATAAAATGACACCCCCATAATCAAAGCGAAGAAAATTAAACTAATCCCCACTATCATCTCGTACACAGTCCATATTCAAATTTCTCCAAGTGCTTCAAAAATGACTTTTATAATTTTATTAAAACAAGAATACAGTCTACATTCGCATATTACATTTTGTTATTGCGTCTCTTCAATAAAGAAAGCCCTCTCCTTTTTTCTTTTGTCGTGGTATTGATTTATTGAGGGAACTGAGCTTGTGGAATATTTTGTATTCTGGATTCATGGTTGAATCTTCTATTTTCCATATTTCATACAACTGAGAAACTAGATTTAAAAGCTTGTTTAGATTTGTACTAAATATTTTTGGCAAGAATACGGCTTCTGTGTATTTCATACCACCTTGCACCAAGAGGCACATAATATTAGGAAGTTTCTGTTAGTGATGTTAATTGTATTGCATAGCTAAATGTGTAACGGTGCTCCGTTATCTAAGGTATGTTTACCCTTTCCAGTCCGCAAGCACTCCATGGGGTGATGTTATGAGACTGCAGGAATATCGTGTTCCTTATTACCCTGCCTTTACTGCTTTTCAGCATCTCTTGATGATCCTTATCTGAATCCCTTATTTTACTAGTTTACACTATGGTGATTTTTCTATTTTGTTCATTCCTTCTACATTTATTTACTGATTTTCCTCTTTCCCCCCTCATAATGACTACTGAAATGCTTCTATTAAAATATCAATTATCAAAATATTTCAACCCCACACTTCTCCACCAAGGCTGGCTTTGCTGTACCTTAAGCCTGAGTTTATGGGGGTAATCCAGCCCCTTGAGCAGGGCTCCTTCACCTGAGACCCCAGCTAGGCTGCTCAGTTCAGGTTCTGGAGACAACTTCTGAGTCATCTCCAAATTTTAGTGGTAGACTAAGCACCAGTATATGAGGTATTTATACATTTTTTACTCTTTATTTTACGATAATTATAGATTCACATGCAGTTCTAAGAAATAATCACATCCCATAAACTCTTCCCCCAATTTCACTCAGTGGTAACATATTGCATGACAAGAGTACAGTATCAAAAGTGGGACACTGGCATTGATGCAATCCATTGCCTCTATTCAAATTTCACCTGCTTTACATGCACTCATTTGTCTGTGTGTGGATATTTATTTCTATGAAATTTTACCTTACTTATAGATTTGTGTGACCACCGCCACAGTCAAGATACAAACAGACCCATCAACAATTCTTTACTAACCTTCATAGTCACAGCCTCTCCCTGTATCTTGAGCCCTTGGCAATCATTAATCTGTCTTCCAACTCTATAATTTTGTCATTTTGAGAGTGCTATATTAATGGAATCATATCACATGTAACTTCTTACGATTGGCTTTATTTTTCTTTTTTTTGGTGGGCACAAATTCCTGGAGTTCACCAAAGTTGTTAAGCATATTAATAGTTTGTTCCTTTTTATTTCTGAGTGTTCCATATGCATGTACCACAGTTGTACCATTTGCCCACTGAGGGACATTTGAGCTGTTTCCAGTTTTCAATTATTATAAACAAAACTGCTGTGAATATTCACATACTGGTTTTTTGTGAACATAAGTTTTCATTTCTCTGGGATAAATGCCCAAGAGTGTAATTCCTGGGTTGTATAATAAGTATACTGTAAGTGTTTTGTAAGAAGTGTTTCTGCTGAACCTTTCCCAGAGAGGCTGTATATACTATTGTCCCATTTTATATTTCCACCAAAAATCTATGAGTTATCCAGTTATGTGGCATTTCTGCCAGGATTTGGTGTCATCACTGTTAGTTTGCCTGTTTGTTTTAGCCATTTTGACAGGTGTATAGTGATATTTCACTGGGATTTTAATGTGCATTTCTCTAACGGCTAATGATATTGCATGTCTTTTCATATGTTCATCATCTGTCTGTCCTACTTAGTGAAATATATTTTGCTAATTTCTCATTGGATTGATTTTTAACTGTTGAGTGTTAAGTGTTCTATATACATTATAGATACAAGTCATTGTTTAGATACGTGGTTTATAAATATTTTCTCCCAGGTTTTTATTCTTTTCACATAGGCTTTCACAGAGCAAAAGTTTTGGTGAAGTCCTATTATCAATTTTTTCTTCCCCTTTCTAGATCATGATTTCTGTGCCAAGTCTAAGAAGTTTTTGCCTAGCCATATATCGTGGAAGATTTTCATTTGTCTTTTTAAAAAGGTTTTCTAATTTATGTTTTGCATTTGTGTGTGTGATGCACTTTGAGTTAGTCTTTTGTGTAGGCTGTGATGTTTAGGACAATGTTCGTTTTTTGGCTTATGAATGCCAAATTGTTCCAGCGTCACTTGTTAAAAAGACGATCCTTCCTCCATTAAATTGCTTTATCATCTCTGTTGAAATGAATTCCTTTATTAGTCAGTTGGGCTTATTTGTGTGGGTTTATTTTTGGGTTCTTTATCCTGTTCCATCTATCTGTGTATCTATTATTTGCTAATAAACATTGTCTTGATTATTGTAGCTACATAATATCCCTTATTGTGTATCTAATAAAATATGCATACAATTGACCCTTGAACAACATGGGTTTGAACTGTGCAAATCTATTTATATGTGGATTTTCTTCTGCCACCCCGAGACAGCAAGACCAAACCCTTCCCTTCCTCTTCCTCCTCAGCTCACTCAACATGGAGACAATGATAATGAAGGCCTTTATGATGACTCACTTCCACTTAATGAATAGTAAATATATTTTATCTTCCTTACGATTTTCCTAATAACATTTTCTTTTCTCTAGCTTATTTTATTGTAAGAATACAGTACATAATACATATAACATACAAAGATTTTTTCACTCACCTGTTTGTGTGATCAGTAGATCTTCCACTCAACAGGGTATTAGTAGTTAAGCTTTGGGGAGTCAAAAGTCGTATGTGGATTTTTGACTGCACAAAAATCCACATATATGTCGGGGAGGGGAGCTCCTGATGCTCACATTGTTCAAGCGTCAACTTCATGTACGGTTATCCCTCGATATCAATGGGGCAGAGTTCCAGAACCTCCCACTGACAATCAGAATCCCCAGGTGTTCAAGTCTCTGATATAAAATGGCATAGTATTAGCATATAACTTATGCGCCTCCTCCCATATACTTTAAATCATCTCTATTATTAGTTATATTGCCTAGTACCATGTAAACACTATGTAAATAATTATTATACTTATACAGTATTATTTGCAATAATGATAAAAGTCTGTATATGTTCAATACGAACTCCATTTTTTTAAAATATTTTTGATTCATGATAGGTTGGATCCACAGATGCAGAACCTATGGATACACAAGATGAAATATATTTGGTTTTTGTCCCTGGTTCCTGGCACAGAACTGCAATTTCCCGAGTGATAGGCGTGTCTTTTGAATGAGTGTTGGATTGTGTCATATTTTTCTGAGGATATCTATATGATTATATGATTTTTCTTTAGCCTATTGATATAATTATTATATTAATTGATTTTCAGATATTGAACCAGATATATATCTCTGGAATATATCCCACTTGGTCAAACGTGTAATTCTTTCTATGCATTTGGATTTGATTTGCTAATACTTTTGAGGATTTTTGCATCCAAGTTTATGGGAGATATTGGTCCATAGTTTGGGGGTTTTTTGTACTCTTTGTTTAATTTTGTATTAGGGTAATACTAACTTCATAAATGAGTTAGTGTTTCCTTCTCTTCTATTTTCTGGAAGTGATTGCATAAAATTTGTGTCAATTCTCTCCTAAATGTTTGGTGGAATTCTCTAGTAAAACCATCGGGGCCTGAACATCTCATTGCGGGAGATTTTTATTATGTATTCAATTAATTTAATGATTGTAAGACTAATCAGATTTTCTATTTCTTCTTGATTGAGTTTCATAGCTTGTGACTTTTGAGAAATTGATCCATTTCTTCTCAGTTGTTGAATTTATGAGTGTGAAGTTGTTCATAATATTCCCTTATTCTTTTAATGGCTACATGATCTGCAGTAATAACTCCTGTTTCCTTCCTCATACTGGTGACACGTCTCTCTCTTTTATATCTTTGTCAACTTGCTAGATGTTTATCATTTTTTATTTTCTTTTCAAAAAAGCTGCTTTTGATTTATTGGTTTTCTTCCATTGTTTTTATATTTTTAGTGTTATAAATTCCTGCTTTTATCTTTATTATTTCCTTTCTTTTGCTTACCTTGAATGTATTTTGCTCTCCTTTTTTCAGTTTCTTGAGGTAGGAACCCAGACTAATGATTTGATCCCTTTTTCTTTATCTAAACTTTGAGAATTGTTATTGTTTCTTCCTTGAATGTAGAAATAATCAGTGGAGCCAGGTACGTCTGAAATTTTTATTGTGCGAATATTTTAACTATGAATGCAATTTTAAAAATAGATACAGAGCTACTCAGAGCTTCGATAATTTGGATATTCCAAGAAATATGTCCACTTTATCTAAGTTACCACACTTACCGTAATGAGGTGTTTATAATACTTTAAAAATCATCTTTTTAATAGTTGTAGGATTTGTAGTGATGTCCCTTTTTAATTCCTGATAATAATGAACTAATTTTATTACTGCTTTTTAAAAAGTGGATTTTAGTTTTATTTCTGATTGTTATTCTATTTCATTGATTTCTGCTGTCATGTTTATTATTTGCAAATATTTGAAGATTTTTCAGATTTTCATGTTACTCATTTCTAATTTAATATAATTGTTGTCAGAAGAATTGTGGATGATTTCAGTCCTTTTTTATTGAGAATTTTTCTGTGGTTTATGATATAGTCTATTTTGGTAAATAGTGCATGTTCACTTGAAAGGAATATGTATGATGGAGTATTCTATAAATGTCTATTAGGTCAGGATTATGGTAATGTTGCTTAAGTTGGCTATATTTTTACTGATTTTCTATCTACTTCTCACTGATTATTGTCAGTGGGATGTTGAGATCTCCAACTATAAATGTGAATTTGTTTCTTCTTGTAATTCTCAGATTTTTTTCCTTCATGTATTTTGAAGTTATGTTATTAGGAGCATAACATTTAGGGTTATTATATTGTTTTGATGAATTGCTCCTGTAATCATTATGAAAGACCCTCTTTTTTCTTGGCACCATCCCTTGTCCTGAAATATACCTTGATATTAATATAGTTTCCCATCTGTTCTTTGTTCTCCTTTCTTATATTTTTCTGCCTTCACTTGGGTCAACTGAGCACCTTTCATACTTTTAATTTATCTTCTTAGTTATTTTTTCACTCATGGCTATTTGCTCTTAGTTTATAATGTGCATCTTGACTTATGAAAGTCTGATTTCAAATAATATTACCACTTCAAATCTCGTATAAGAGCTTTACAACTGTATACTTACATTTTCCTCTCCCATTATTGCATGATTGTTGTCACATTTTACTTCTGAATTTGTTTTAAAATTAAAATACATGGTTACTTTGCTTTAATCATCTATTTTCAGAGTGATTTCAAAATATAAAAATGTCATTGTATTCACCCAAATATTAACACACACATCTCCATTTCCAGTGTTCTTCATTCATTTAGGTAGATGCACATTCCTATCTGCTTTTATGGAGAAAGTCAATTTCTGGTTTTTCTATTTTTGTTGGGTGCAGAATTCTAGGTTGCCAGATTTTTCCTTCAGTACTTGAAAGATGTTTTTCCACTATCTTCTGGCTTATTGTTTCCACTATTTCACTGTTGTTTTTCTTTTTCTTTCTTTCTTTTTTTTTTTTTTTTTTTTTTTTGAGATGGAGTTTCGCTTTTGTTGCCCAGGCTGGAGTGCAATGGCGCAATCTCAGCTCACCGCAACATCTGCCTGCCTCCCAGGTTCAAGTGATTCTCCTGCCTCAGCCTCCCAAGTAGCTGGGATTAAAGGCATGCGCCACCACACCCACCTAGTTTTGTATTTTTAGTACAGACGGGGTTTCTCCATGTTGGTCAGGCTGGTCTTGAACTCCCGACCTCAGGTGATCCGCATGCCTTGGTTTCCCAAAGGGTTGGGATTACAGGCATGAGCCACCATGTCCAGCTGATTTCTTTTTCTTTTTTCTTTTTTTAGAGATGGGGTCTTGCTCTGTCACCCAAGCTACAGTGCAGTGGTGCAATTATAGCTCACTGTAACCTTGAACTTCTGGGCTCAAGTGATCCTCCCACCTTAGCCTCCCGAGTAAGCTGGGACTGAAGGTTAATTTTTTGATGTTGGTTTTACTTTCTCTGCCCAATCTGAAAATCTCTGCCTTTTATTTGGGAACACATTCAATTAAACTCAATTAGATTTTACTTGCTAAAAAGAGTCCAAGGCACAGACACAATGGTAAACCACATAAACTCTTCAGGTTCCCTGCCAGTTCCAGACATCAGTTTTTCTTCCCCCCGAAAAAACACAGTAAAACCCTGTCTCTACCAAAAAGGAAAAAAATTATTATTTTTTTTTTGTAAAGACAGGGTTCTGCTGTGTTGCCCACGCTGGTCCCAAATTCGTGGCCTCAAGTGATCCCCTGCCTTGGCCTCCCCAAGTGCTTGGATTACAGGTATGAGCCGCTGCACTTGGACTTCTTATTCTTATCTTCGTTTCTCTGTATGTATTGAGTTTCAGTATGTGTTAATACATTACTGTATTTAAAAAAATTTTTTAGTTTTGTTTTAGGACGCAGATAAGTTATTTAGAAACAAATCTGATCTTTTCTAGCTTTGCTTTTAATCTTTCTTACGTGGGATAGATCAAACCTTTAATCAAGGGCTATTTTTTTTTTCTGTTACTGAGCCAATATATTTCCGATTACTGTACCCAATGTGTCATGCATTTTAACAGTTTGCCTTTCTGGCTGATAGAAACAAAATATCCCTAGTTCCATGTGATCCCTGGAAATTATTATGCCTACTTCATTAGACTGTACTTTGGTCTTGGATATTTTCATACACATGCACTTATCAATACTAACCTGGAGACTCAAGTGACATCTTTGCAGATATCTGGAGTTCAATGTCTCTCTCTTCTTTCCTCTCTTCCTCTCTTCTCTTCCTCTTCCTTTTGCTCTGCCTCTTCTTCTTCCTCTCTCTCTCTCGTTGTCTCTTCCCTCGTACTCTGTCCCATGAACTCTAGCTACGTTGGTTCCCCTGAGCCAATTCTGTCCCAATTCTGTCTCCTCAACTCAAATGCTGGCTTAAGTTATCCCTCCCTGGGCTCTTTCCTTAAGCAAGTTTCCTTTAATAGCATTTTATCCACTGTAGAACTTCAATCAGAATTGAAGTCAATCCTCTCAAACCCTGCCACTTCTTTACTAACTAAATTTATGTAATATTTTAAATCCTTTGTAGTCATTTCAATGGTGTTCATGGTATCTTCACCATGAGTAGATTCCATCTTAACTAATCACTTTCTTTGGTAACTCATAAGAAGAAACTCCTCATCCATTCAAGTTTATCAAGAGATGCAGCAATTCTCCACTTCTAATTCTAGTTTTCTTGCTATTTTCACCACAACTGCAGTTACTTCTCCCACTGAAGCCTTGAACCCCTCAAAATCATCCTTAGGGTTGGAATACACTTCTTCCAATCTCCTGTTAATGTTGATATTTTGACCTCCTCCCATGAATTACACATGTTCTTTGTGGCGTCTAGAATGGTGAGTCCTTTCCAAAAGGCTTTTTATTTACTTTGCCTGGATACATCAAAGCGATCACTATCTATGGCAGCTGTAGCCTTAGAAAATGTTATCTATGTAATGTATCCATGTTCAATTCAATTAAACTCAATTAGATTTTATTTGCTAAAAAGAGTTCAAGGCACAGACACAATAATAAACCACATAAATTCTTCAGGTTCCCTATCAGTTCCAGACATCAGTTTTTCTTCCCAAAAGCGTTGTTCTGGATTGCAGGCCTAGGTCAGGTGAGAGGGTACCAGCAGAGGGATGCCTGCATGCCTGCTCCAAACCGGTGCCTCCCCAGCAGTCCTGAGTTGCATGCACTAGAGCATTTCACAGTCGCCACCTCCTTTGCCATAGCAAAACTTGGTTTTGTTTGTGCCTCAGTAGAGGCTGAGGGCCATCACTGAAGAAAATCCACAATAACAAGCAGACAGGAAACCAATATATGAAGCAAAATAATTCTTTATTTTATAATAAAATTATCTACCACAAAACTGAAAGTTTATTCTGACTTAAGGGAAGTCAAATGAGAATCCGAAAGTTTTGTGGTGCATATAGATTCACAGCAATGGGAATTAGTTAGAGGTCTTATATGTAAGTTCACTCAGTGAATGTGTATGGCCCCCAAGCACAGGCCTGGAAGGAACTTCACTGACATGTTTTCTTAAATGACCTTCAACTTGCATCTCTGATTATGTCTTCTTGTAATCCACGCTGGACTCTTTTCTTCTAAGTGACACATTACTTCTTCAGGTAGATCAATATCATCAATTAAAATGCAATTTTGTCTTGTTTTTGCACGGTCTGTTTTTTTAAGTCTAACTTTGCATACTTACCCACTTACCTACACTTTAACTAAAGTGTGTTTATTAAACTTTCCAAACTCTGGGATGCCTTGCTTTCATGCCTACTTATAATTACTTTATGTGTGCTAAAAAGTCACAAATAGCACTTTTTGCCCTATGTTCTTTTCTTCTTTGTACTCTGGAAGAAGAACCAATGACGACAATGAAAAGCAGGCAGTAGCAGAGTTGAAGAAGAGCATAGGACTTGGCAGTGCACAGCATGAATCCTCAGTCCTTGGCCAACAAACGTCATCATTTCAACAGACCAAATCTATTGTCAAGATGTGTTTTCTGTTAAGTCTCCATTGGCCCAATGAGAAACACTTAAATTGAGCTTCCCTAGACAACATTTTGCAAAGGGACTGTGATGCTAACTCTCCCTTGAAAACATTACAATTTATATATTAATAAAATCTTCTTATTTTCATGTTTTAAAACTTCAGCTTGAATTTGAGCCCATTAAGTACAACTGGCAGTAATTTCTTCGCCATGGTCATGTCCAAATGTTGTGATGAACACAGAGATAAGGCTAATTGTCATAGATTTAAATAATCTAAAACAATTGGGATTGCTTCATGTCACCGGTACTCTCTGCTCCAGGCTCAGACATGATAACTTTATGATCAGCATCTTAAATATCTCACATCTCTCAACTCAATTCATATCTTGAGATTGGTTCCAGCTCCAGCATGAATTTTGAAGAGCTCCCTGTGGCTACAAGTCTCTGATTCTTCCCTGTTTGATAGGGGAGCTGGGTCCTGCCCACTGCTTTGTCCTGTGTTCCAGTCCTCCTGGAAAGTCCAGTCCCCCAGTCCCTTGTCATGATGGTCTGTGTCTCTTGGCCAGCTAGGGTTAGGCTCAGAGTTAAGCTAACTGTTGTAGACTCTAACCGTGGCTTGCTTATTTGCACCTGTCTTCTTTGGCTACTAAATAGTTTTTTTTTCTTTTGACCGATTGCATCTGGCTTCCCCACCTGCTCTGTGCCCCTAGTGTATTAGTTTATTAGGGCTGCCATAACAAAATACCACAGACAGAGTGGTTTAAGTGACAGAAGTTTATTTTCTCGCAATTCTAGAAGCTAGAAGTCTAAGATCGAGGTGTCAGCAGAGTTGCTTTCTCCTGAGGCCTGTCTCTTTGATGTGTAGATGGCTGCTATCTTCCTTTGTCTCTGCCTGTTCTTCCCTTTGTGCAGGACTGCATCCTAATCTCCTCTTAAGGACGGAAGTCATATTGAATTAGGACCCAGGCATATGACCTCGTTTAACCTTAATTGCCTTTTTAAACACTCTAGCTCCAAATCCAGTCACGTTCTGAATTTTGAGGCACCAAAGGGGTGGTTAGAACTTCAACATCTGAATTTGGGGGGGGATGCAATTCATCTCACAACACCCAAGATGGTTCTTACATCCGTTCTCAGCCTCAGATGTCCTCAGTCCTGGTGCTGCCTATGTGGCGTGCCTGAGGGCAGAGCTCACTGCCAGCCTGGTGCTCCACAGCTGAATTTCTGACTGTCCAGCAAAGTATCCTTTGTCCAATTTGTACCCACAGGTAGGCTTTAGCTTTCAGGCCAATGTTAGATTCTTCTCCTGGCTTTAGAACAACTTGGTGGTCTCCTCCAGTTTCTAGGGACATCTCTATGCCTTTCAACTCCTGATTCCATTTGGACCCATCTCTGTATGACCTCTCACAATGCGAGCTTGGGTATCTTTCCCTTCTTATTGTGACTCACCACTAATAGCAGTACAAAATCCTGTTTCATAAAGTGGGTTCCTCAGAACATTAGTTATGTTGGATATAAATAGATTTCGTGTAGGATACCAAGAATGTTTGAGAAATGTTGCATGACAGAAAACAAAGTTTCTTTCATGCAAAACTTCCTATATGTCCACAGGTGGGAAAGTGGGAAGATAGACCTTGCGTGATTTCCAAATGTTTTTGTTTCCAAATGTTTTATTTGGGTTGGGGTGTGAACTGTGAACTTCCCAATGACCCAAAGGACTTGCCCACATGCAGTGCTGAGATCCTTGGCCACACTTCAGCCTGGCTTCTACCTGCACTAGTCATGTGCCTAAAAGTGACACAGCTCTTGTGTGAGTCTCTGCTCAAGAAAATGCAATGCTCCTGAACTGCCAGATGTAAATTGTCCCAACCCACAAGGCCAAACCATTTTCAGTAATCCTCTGCAACTCCACTCTGTAGCTTCCTACTTATAGCCCCCAGTCTCTTTTCTGGTCCCCCTTTTTTTACTTCCCATAATCTCGTTGTGTGCCCTATCAGATCTCCCTTTGAAAACCCCAGTCACCTTTGTCTTATTTGGAATTAAACTGATTCATACTGGAGCCTCTCTGCCCTACTGCAGTAGTCTGAGTGAAATCTGTCTTGCTGCCTCTAACAGTGTCCAGTGCTCTTTCTCTGACAAGGGGAGGTGCCTCACCAACCCTGAGATATCTGTTAGGAAAATGCTGCTCTGGCATTATGCTCCAAGTGAACCAATTCCAAGATATTCTGCAGAAACTATGGCCCAAAGACACTGAGAACACACAGAAATATGCTTGTGCTTTCTATAAGTTTTCCACTTTGTATTAAGTGAAAAAAATTCTATAATAAAACAAACAGTGAATTTGTGTCACATGTCAGGTATATATGAGTGAGGGCCACATGGCCTCACAGTACATTACACGAATGATGACGCCATGATAACCTGAATGATGAAAGGACTGAGCCTTCCAGGGAACATTCCCATGCTGAGGCCAGGGTCCCCCCTCTGCCACACTGGCAGGATGTGCTGCCACATCCACATTGCAGGCAAATGTCAGCTGGCTGCCCCTTGAACACACACTGACTTGGACATTCACTGACAGTCAACATAATTGTCACTGGACTGCAGAGGGAGTGTTAGGGCTCCCTATGTGGATGTCAGCTCTTACAAATAAAGCTACCCTCATGTTTGTATGGGGGCAGCAGTCTGCAGTCTGTCATCCAGGGGTAGGGGAATAAACCTGAGGATCAACAAAGTCCATTCAATATTAAATAAACCTAATTACATACAAAAGAGGGGTCATGTCTTAGTCTGCTCAGGTTGACATCACAAAATGTCATAGATTGAGTGCTTCAAACAACAGAAATTTTTTCTCACAGTGATGGAGGATGCAAGTTCAAGATTAAGTTTCTGGAGGCTGGAAGTCCAAGTCAAGCAAGTGACACCTGTGACCACCTCCAGCAGCAGAGTCCCACTAAACAGTGGAGAACAGAAAGCATAACAATGCCTGCCTCCAGGAGCAGTAATCCCAAGACGTCAACCCACCACATGATTTTCAGGCACGACTCATGCAGGCACTGGATGGAACAACGCTTTATGCACATAGAGAAGACACAGAGCAAGAGCAGCTTCAGTTTCGACTGTTGATCCCTCATGGCCAGTGGGTCTCACCCCACAGCCAGCACAGGGAGATGTTCCACACACTCATGCTATAGACAAAGGCCCCTGTTCCCAGCAGTGGGGTCGTTCAGGTGCCATATGATGCACATGCTTTAGTAGAACGAAGAAGTACGCCTCCAGTCCAGAACAGAGAAAGAGGTTCCCCATAAAGGGTAATGGACAGCGCAGGCTGTGAAAGCTCTTTATCTCTTTGTAAGAAAATGTTCCTAACCCAAGGCACACTCCTATGCAACTGTACAGAGGTCAAAAGACTACGTTTGTGTGACTGCTTCTCTCAACATGTTCCTGGTGAGGGCTCTTTTCCTGGCTTGCAGACAGCCACCTTCTCCATGTGTCTTCACATGGTCTTTCCTTGGGGCTTGCATGAAAAGAGACAGAGAGATGCTGTGAGAGAGCACTGGGGTGTATCTTCTTATAAGAACACAAATCCCTTCGGATCAAAGCCCCACCCTTAAGATCTTATTAACTTTAGTTCTTTATAGACCCCCCTCCCCCACCTCCAAATATAGCCACACCGGGCATTATGGCTTAAACCTGTGGATCTGGGGGAGACACAAACATTCTATTCATAATAGGCCAAGATGCATAAACAGAATAATTGACTCAGGAGAAAGATGGCAAAAATTCAAAAATTCATCAAATGTAGTACACTTTTAAAATATTCTAACTTGTATCTTAAAGAGAAGCTGGACAATATTGCACCCATTAAACAAGGGCATATGTCAATGAAAAAGAGGAAATCAGAAAATAAAATATTCTTAAATATTAGAAATATAATCATTACAATAAAGATACGATGTCTGAAAGAAAACTTGAAGGACAACTGTCAGCATGTACATAAAAAGAGAAAACATGAAGAGAGATATGAGAAAAAAAGTTTAATAAGAGCATTTAAATCCAGGAAGTCCAAAGAGTTACATAAAGAGAAAATACAGAAACTGATAAAAATGAAATGATCAAAGAATAGCCTATTAGGAGAACATTTTCCAGAGCTATGAGGAGGTGCTGCGTGCATCTCGACTTAAAAAGTCACCGACGGTTGATCAGGAGATATAAAAAAATCACCCACCCCTAAATGCATCATTGTGATGTTTCAGAAGAGAAGGAACAAAACAGGGCATCTGTAAAGAAATCACAGTCAAACTCGCATCAGATTTCTCATTAGTAACACTGGAATACAATGAGGCAGTAACTTCAAAGTCCACAGAGGAAATTATTTTCAACTTAGAATTCTACACCTGGTAAAAAAAAATTATACTGAGTGTCGATGCCAAATAAACACATTTTCAGTCATCCTAGGCCTCAGAATGTTTACCCTTTATGCATCTTCAGTGAAAAAGATAAATCCTTGATGATATTCTGCAGTAAAACCAATAAAAATCCTAGACAAAAGGAGACATAGCCCCATCCTCAAGACAATAAAGGACTATCTCAGATGACAACTGAGCAGCAGACTTAGAGAGCAACTGGTCTACCACAGTGCAAGGTCAGGGGAGTGCAGGTGCAAATGTTGCTAGGGAGAAACGTTTAAGAAGAAAGCAGACTTGTGAAAGCAAAAGCATCACGATGGTGGAAAATCTTGGTGATAAGTCAGAGGACAAGTTTAAAACAAAGGGAAAATGTTGGGAATTCTAGGAAACTCACAAATATGTAGAAGAGAGTCATGCTTTAGTGCCAAGCAACAAGCACATGCCATGGGCTAGCAGCATGGACACCTCCTGGAAACTTGTTAGAAATACACATCCTTAGGCCACCCCAGACCTGCTGAATCAGGAACTGTGGATGGCACCCAGCAATCTGCCTTCAGCAAGCCCTCCAGGGGTTTTTGATCCTCTGCATTGGACCAGGGTTTGGCAGTGGCCTCTTTTTGTAAATCAGTTTTGTTGGAACTCATGACACTTATTTTATCCTGCAGTTTCTATGGCTGCTTCCACTCTGCAACAGCAGAGGGTAGTGGCTGTGACAGACACCCTATGGCCCCAAAGCCTAAATATCTGCTATTTGATTCTGTACAGAAAATATTTGCGAATCCCTGCTTTATACCTTTAGATAGGCTACAAAAGTGTTTGAGACTTCATTTGACTTGACTTTGAATTTTAGTATGTGCTTCTTAGATGTATCAGTCTGGGAATCCCAGGTCCTTCTATCTGCAGCCAAGTGCACTACACTCCTGTTTGCAGTGACAATCCTCCTAATATTGTGAAGGCTGCTTCTTAGTTTTCAGTCAACATCTAGAGCAAGCCCAGGAGACTTGGGATTAAGGAATAGGAGTGTAAGAGTTAAAACGTCATAAATGTGAAAGTCAGGTACAGCTCCGGAAACTAGCAGAAGGGAAGCACAGGGAAAAATATTTCCTCATCTCAGATAAAAGGGAGACAAGAGAGACTGTCAAATTGGTGCAACCAGAAAAATATGCTCACACAACTCATAAAAAGTTTTAAAGGCAAAAGAAGTAAAAATCAGACCATAACTAAGAAAAATTGAGAGGGAGTGGAAAGAGAGAAGAGGCAAGGAATAATAGAAAGTATCTAAATCAAGAAATGAGGGATAGAAGATCCTCCAGAGGAACAGAAGAAGAAACAGAAACAAGAGCTGGCTTTGAGCAGGCATCCCAGATGTTGGTTTGACATGGGGCAGACTTTTGTTTTCATTTCTTTGTTTAGTTTTTGTGTGCAAATGTACATTTGACTCCAATGATAGTACAGATTTTGAAAGGTAGAGATAAACACTGGCAGGACCCTGGCCCATGGAATTAGGAAACTTCCAAGCCTCACTCTCCAGCCCTCCTGCCCCCACCAGGTCTGCCCAGTGCTATGTGCTCCCTAAGCCCCCTCTTCCCCACAAACTGCCTTCTGTCTTTTTTAACTGCTGTTGCTTTAATGTTTGTTTTGTCTGATATAAAAATAGTTACTCCTACTCACTTTTGGTCTCTATTTGCACGGAATATCTTTTTCCACCCCTTTACCTTAAGTTTATGTGAGTGCTTATGTGTTAGCTGAGTCTCCTGAAGACAGCAGAAACTTGGTTGGTAAATTTGTATCCATTCTGCCATTCCTTTTTGTTTGTTTGTTTGTTTTGAGATGGTGTCTCACTCTGTCACCCAGGCTGGGGTGCAGTGGCATGATCTCAGCTCACTGTAATCTCCATCCTGGGTTCCAGTAATTCTCCCACCTCAGTCTCCTGAGTAGCTGAGATTACAGGCATGCACCCACATGACCAGCTAATTTTTTTGTATTTGGGTTTTCACCATGTTGGCCAGGCTGTTCTCGAACTCCTGACCTCAGGTGATACACCTGTCTTGGCCTCCCAAAGTGCTGGGATTACAGGCATGAGCCACTGCACTGGGCCCATTCTGTATCTTTTTTTTTTTTTTTTTGAGACAGAGTCTCGCTCTGTCGCCCAAGCTGGAGTGCAGTGGCATGATCTCGGCTCAGTGCAACCTCCGCCTCCTGGGTTCACACCGTTCTCCTGCCTCAGCCTCTCACAGGCTGAGGGCGCCCAACAACACGCCCGGCTAATTTTTTTCTATTTTTTTGTATTTTTAGTAGAGATGGGGTTTCACCGTGTTAGCCAGGATGGTCTCGATCTCCTGACCTCATGATCCGCCCGCCTCGGCCTCCTAAAGTGCTGGGATTACAGGCATGAGCCACCGCACCCGGCCCCATTCTGTATCTTTTAAGTGGAGCATTTAGGCCATTTACATTCAACGTTAGTATTGAGAAGTAAGGTAGTATTCTATTCATCACGCTATTTGTTACTTGAATACTTTGTTGTTTTTTTCATTGTGCTATTGATATACAGGTCCTGTGAAATTTATGCTTTAAGGGGGTTCTATTTTGGTGTATTTTGAGGATGTGTTTCAAGATTTAGAGCTCCTTTTAGCAGTTCTTGTAGTGCCAGCTTGGTAGTGGTAGATTCTCTCAGCATTTGTTCGTCTGAAAAAGACTTTATCTTTTCTTCATTTCTGAAGCTTAGTTTCGCCGGATACAAAATTCTTGGCTGATAATTGTTTTGTTCAAGGAGGCTAAAAATAGGACTCCTATCCCTTCTAGCTTGCAGGGTTTTTGCTGAGAAATCTGCTGTTAATCTGATAGGTTTTCCTTTATAGGTTACCTAATGCTTTTGCCTCACAGCTCTTGAGATTCTTTCCTTTATCTTGACTTTTGATAACCTGATGACTATGCGTCTAGGTGATGATATTTTTGTGATGAATTGCCCAGGAGTTCTTTGAGCTTCTTGTATTTGGATGTCTAGATCTCTAGCAAGGCCATGAAAGTTTTTCTCAATTATTCCCTCAAATATATTTTACAGACTTTTAGATTTCTCTTCTTCCTCAGGTACACCAATTATTCTTAGGTTTGGACACTTAACATAGTCCCAAACTTCCTGGCAGCTTTGTTCATTTTTTAAAATTCTTTATTCTTTGTCTTTGGTGGATGGGGTTAATTCGAAAACCTCGTCTTCGAGCTCTGAAGTTCTTTCTTCTGCTTGTTCAGTTCTATTGCTGAGACTTTCCAGTGGATTTTGCATTTCTATAAGTGTGTCCTTGATTTCCAGAAGTTGTGATTGTTTTTTATTTATGCTATCTATTTCACTGAAGATTTTTCCCTTTATGTCCTATATCATGTTTTTGATTTCTTTAAGTTGGACTTCACCTTTCTCTGGTGTCTCCTTGATAGTTTAATAATCAACTTTCTGATTCTTTGTCTGCCAATTCAGTGATTTCATCTTGGTTTATATCCATTGCTGTTAAACTGGTGTGATTTTTTGGGGGTGTTAGAGAAGCCTGTTTTGTCATATTACCCGAATTGTTTTCCTGGTTCCTTCTCATTTGGGTAGACTATGTCAGAGGGAAGATCTGGGACTCAAGGGCTGCTGTTCAGATTCTTTTTTCCCACAGGGTGCTCCCTTTATGTGGTTTTCTCCTCCTTCCCATAGGGATGGGACTTCCTGAGAGCCAAACCGCTGTGATTATTTTTTGCCACTCAGCAGAGCTACCAGGCTCAGGCTGGTACTGGAGAGTGTCTGCAAAGAGTCCTATGATGTGATCTGTCTTCAGGTCTTCAGCTGTGGATACCAACACCTGCTCTGGTGGAGGCAACAGGGGAGTGACGTGGACTCTGTGAGGGTCCTTAGTTGTATTTTTGTTTAGTGTGCTGGCTTTGTGCTGATTTTGTGTTGGTTGGCCTCCAGCCAGGAGGTGGTGCTTTCAAGAGTGCATGAGGTGCATGAGGTGCATGAGGGAGGATGCAAACTTGGCCTAGGGTCACCTGGTTAAGCATTCAGGTTTCTCAGGTGTTGGGCAGGGCCACAGAGCTCCCAAGAGACTATGGCCTTTTTCTTCAGCTACCAGGGAGGGTAGAGAAAGACTACCAGGTGGGGACAGGGATAGGCATGTCTGAGCTCAGACTTTCCTGGGGCAGGGCTTGCTGTGGCTGCTGTGGGGGTGTGGCCCCCAGGCCAATGGAGTTATATTTCCAGGGAGATTATGGCTGTCTCTGCTGCATTACACAGGTTGCCAGGGAAGTGGGGGAAAACCGGCAATCATAGGCCTCACCCCACTCCCATGCAGCCGGTAGTCCTAGAGGCCAGTATTACTTCCACTGTGCCCCGGCAACAGCACTGAGTCTACTTCCAGGCAGCTGGTGACCAGGGCTGAGAACTTGCCCCAGACCACCAGCCTCCCCACTGAGAAAATAAGCAGACTCATAGTTTTTTGGCATCTCAGGGAGCCTGTAGCAGGGATCCAGTTCCTTCAAAGGGTCTGTGGATTCTCTT
Source organism: Homo sapiens (assembly GCF_000001405.40). NCBI lineage: Eukaryota > Metazoa > Chordata > Mammalia > Primates > Hominidae > Homo > Homo sapiens. The sequence goes on along the minus strand of NT_187660.1, from coordinate 2,549,648 downwards.
GACTTTCTTGGTAGATTCCTGTGGTACTTCTTGGAGCAGAAGTTCACAATGTGAGTCTCCACACACTGCTCTGTCCGTCCAAGTGGGAGCATTAAGCTAGTCCTCCTCTCCACCATCTTAATCTCCTTGCTGTCTTGTGAAAAACCATCTCCACGGCTGCCTCCTGCCTCCTCTGCAGGATGTGAAATGGTAGCTGGCAAGGTGAACACGAGCACCGCAGCTCCAGCCAATCCTGCGTTGCCACCAAATGACCCTGAACACTGGTGTCCCTCTTCTGCAAGCCCCTCTGAGCCCATCCATCAAGATACACTTCTTGATTCTCCACCCCCATCCAGTCCCAGAGACCATCTTGTTGCATATTCTATGACAACACATCCTTCTCCTTGCTGGTATTTATCACAAATGTAATTATTAACTACATGTGCAATTATTTGTTGAATGTTCTCCATATCCAGCTGGGCTGAAGACAGAGAGACGGTGTCTGGCTCATAGACAGCTGGACCTGCCACTCCTCCCCGATGCCTGTGATACAGGGAGGACTCAATCAGTGCCTGTTACTGGAAGGAGCGAATCCTGCTGGCAGGCAGGCCTCAGCACAGGGCCTGGCACTGCTCTGCTGCAAGACTCAGTACCTGCATCAAGGCACACAGGGAGAGAGGTCGTCAGAGTGTTTGGGGGTAAGATGATCTTTGAGCCTCAAGGTGACAGTCTGTCTGGATTGCTAACAACTTTGGCAGTGGAAAGGGGATGTTGCAGGCTGAGTCTGTCCATCTTCCTAGTGATGTCCTGTCACATCCTCCATATGGGCAACAAAAACTGTTTTCAGGGACATATCAGAGGAGCTGTTTCCAATTTTGTGAAAATTACCTTTGAGATTCCAATCTGAGCTGGGAAATCATTTGACAAACATCAGTGGGGATGGATGTGCCAGCACTTCAATGACAAAATCAGATGGATCCCTGGGGCCAAAATATAAGCAGCAGCCAGGACTGGCCCTGGGCCCCCTGTTGTCCTGTGTGGATGCTGGGTTGCCATAATCAACAACATAGTGGCCACACTTTAGAAAACTACTGGAATGAAATGATGAAGGGAATGAATGGGCTGGGAGGCAGTGTAGACCTTCACTATGGAAATTCAGGCAGATCTTCCAATTATAGGCAGGCTTGGTGCCTGTTCTCATGCAGAGCACGCTGCAAGCAGAGACTCCGAATACAGTCATTGAAACAGCTCTGGAGACACAAGCATAAAGCAGAAAAAAACTGATTTGAGTGTCATGTGCAGACAGAGGTGAGGTTTAGGCCACAAGAGAGAATAAGCTCTCCGAGAGAAAGAGAGGCAGAACCTTGCAAAGTATACCTGTGACCTTGTAGAATAGTACTAGGGCAAACCTCCCAGGTTGCTGAACACTGAACCGTTAGTGAGGAAATAAATGTTTTTCAAGAATCACAGTGGAAGTGAGGCTGAAGGCCCACATTTCATTAGACAGAAGAGCACACTCCTCCCGTGCCCCTATGAAATGTAATGTCTGATGAAGCCCAGCAAGAATTTTACTGACCCTTTGGGGCTTTGCAATTTGGCTGAAACAGGTTGTGAAGTCAGCAGCCATTTTCTTCAGCCTTCACAACCTGAAAATCTTTCACTCAATCCAGAAAGGATAGGAATGAGAGGGTGAGGATTTGTGAGCGAGCTTCTCAATCATAGCAAGTTAACCAGATTCGAAATGGAGGAACGTGAGTCTCTCACGCACCAGTCTTAGGTACAGATTTTGCATCTGGCTTTTCAACAACTGTGCAGAACTTCAGAGGTCCCTTCTCTCTTCTGTAAGCCACGGGTCTTCCAGCACCAGCTGACCAAGAGCCACTGAATTTTTATATTTCTGATATCTCATTTTTGATAAATTTTTTGCCTTTGGAGGGTTATTTATGTGTTTATTATTTCTATGGTGACAAAAGTGATGAAGGATCTTATGGGATTTTAAAAGAATGCCCTTTGGAGGCTATTCTGATTACCAAAAAGATTGAACAGGAGAATGGGCTGTTTAAGAAAAGCCCAAAAGTTCTCATGGTAACTAGAGCTGTTATTGACAGAAGGGGATTGGAGATGGAGGTATCTCTGCCCAAATTAACCCATTAACATATCAAATCCTTTAAAAGAAAAAAAAAAGTCCTACATGATTCAATATTTGAGAATATTTTCTCATACAGATGGTATAGGAGGGTTCGGGTAAAATAAACAGAACAACAGCGAAGCCCCAGGAACCCGGACCTCATGGCGAAATTCACACCCTTTTTGAGTTTTTGTCCATTCTGCAGCTCTGAGGGCCCCCCCACCTCCACGCGCCTCTGTCAGGTTAGAAAGCAGAAGGGTCTTCCAAGGCCAGGGCTTGGCTGGACTTCAGCTGTGCGGGGATGCGGAGCTGCAGGAGAGGGGCGCCCTCTGGTGGCCGCTACGGGCTGTGCTGAGGCCGAGTGGATGGGAAATGGGCAAAGGGGCCTAGAAAACCCTTCCTGCAGACTCGCGGAAGGAGGAAAGTAGGGAGGCATGATGAGAGCGCTCATGAGAGATGAGTGGTAACCACAGCTGTGGCCAAGCCGCTTTTTTACAAGACTGAGATTCCCCCAGGGCCTCGGGTCACCCTGGCTTTCCTCAAGACACCCCCGACCCAGCCCTACTCCCTGAGGTCCTGAAGGGACCTCTGGGGTCCTGGTTGGTACGGATTCTGCTTGATTCGTGTCGGGGTTGATGCTTGTCCCATGTGGTGGTTAAGGATTTGGGACGTGAATCCCTGGGGAAGCTGGTGTTTGGGACAGATTGGAAGAGGTGAAGAAGGAAGGAGAGGAACTGTTACACTCAGAAAGGGAGGCAGACAGAGCAGTAAAAAGAACCGGGCGCTCCCAGGCTGAGCTGAGACCTGGCCTCTGTGTGTGGCGCTGGCTATGCTCCCAGCGAGGATGGAGAGCCTGCCCTTGGCACTCTCTGGACACTTCCAAGGGGGGACGCGTCCATCCATCCCGCGTGTCTGTGTTACGGTCCACATGGTGGGGCATACCTGGACACCTCTACACGATCTGGCACATATGTCATCAAACTCCTTAGGATGGATTCTGAGCCTCCTCCAGGTAGCTCCTGGGGAGACGGGAGTCCCTGCCTCAGCAGCGCCAGGCGGCACAGGTGCGGGAAGATCTGGACACACTGGGCTGCAGCAAAGGCGCTCTTCGCTGGACCTGTCAATGTCTGTGTCTAAGGCAAGGAGCAAGCTGGTAGGAGGGGGAGGGCGACGGAAAAGAAGAGCCAGGAGAAAGGGCAGTGCAGGAAAGGGAAACAGATCCTAGGCACAGGGACCCAGGACATGCCCTCCTGGAAGAAAGATGAGGACCAAGAGAACAAGTGCTAAAGAGGGGACGGAGGGAAACAGGGCGAGGCTGGAACGACAGGCGGCCAGCCGGGGGCAGAGCAGGATGGGCTCGGGGAAGCCATGAAGCTAGAATGGTGCTATTTACCCCACACTAAACTGTCTACTGGGCAGGCAGCCTTAAATTCGTCCCCGTACCTGGGAGGCTGAAAATACAGTGGTGTTTTGGCAGAAAAAAATAAGTGAAGCGGCTGAATCCAGTACTGAAGGAAAGCATTAGGTGTGGAGCCTCATTTTTATCTCTGCCAAGTTCTAAATGCAAGAGTGCTGCCTGGCTCGTGTCACATGGCTGTGGGCAGGTTCACACAAGAGAATGCAGGGCAAGGTTCTTCAAATCAGAGTGCTATATTGTATAAAGCTGTATTATTTCCAGCATAGACATTTTTGCACATGTAAGTCATTTTCTCAAATATGAAGAAACTGGATTCCTAGAACATCATTGCTATGATTCCATCACCTTTCCCCAAAGGTAGATCTTTCATCCTTGTTGGGTTGAGATGAGAATGTGTCAGCTGCTAAGGGAACCCATATAGCTCAGGCTGTCACCTCCATCTCCCAGTGTACCAGGAGGAGTGGCTCCCCTGGTCCTCTGCCCACAGCTGCCCCGCAGCACCAGCCACTTCCAGCACACTGCCAGCAGACCCTGGGAGAACTGGCATACGAAAGAAGTGCTAACTCCAGAGGTAGCACTAGGACCCACAGGTGCAAATTGCAAAAGAAAAAGTTCAGTTGCACTCTGACCCTTGGAATTTTCCAAACCCGGACAAGGAGGTCTCTGCAGCTGATAAGCCCCATCTCAGGAGTGGGCATTGCTTAGAGCCCGCACAGCTCTATGGCCTGAGCCTAGTGTTCATGGCATTATCAACAACCAAGGCTGGCGGCAGGCATGAATGTGGAGGTGGTGACTATACAAGGCTTAAGAAAGAGAAACGTTCTGTATTTTCACCAGTACTGTAAATGGTATCCTTGTTTCCCACAGAGCCTTTGAATCTGGGCAATAGGATCTCTTGTTAAGAATGGGGCTGGGCTGGGTGTGGCCCAGCACTTTGTGAGGCCAAGGAGGACAGATCATGAGGTCAGGAGTTTGAGACCAGCCTGCCCAACATGGTGAAACCCTCTCTCTACTAAAAATACAAAAATTAGCCAGGCATGGTGGACATGCCTGTAATCCCAGCTACTCAGGAGGCTGAGACAGGAGAATTTTTCGAACCCGGGAGATGGAGGTTGCAGTGAGCCAAGATTGCACCACTGTACTCCAGCCTGGGTGACAGAGCAAGACTCTGTCTCAAAAAAAAAAAAGAATGGGGCTGAGACAGTACAAGCAGCTTGGAGCTCTGGACTTGGAGCAAACAGCTATGTTTAACTCCTTATCATTCACCATCTGTGGGCATTTAGCAAGGCATTTTGCAACACTTTTGCTTTCTTGTAAAATAAAGTTCAAATAGCTTAATTTACAATGTTATTGTACAATTCAGCTAAGCTTATCCTTGTAAAAGTCTCGAGTAAAAAGTATAAAAACTGTGTGTCATTTATCAATCGGCATTATTGGGATGTGAATAGCACACTGCATGTGGGCTCAGAGAATATGGGCTAGCTATGGGCCTTTCCAAGAGAAGTGGGAATCACTCACGACCTTTCCCTCCTTCTGCAAAGGCAAATTTACAAGTCTTCTTTTAAGCATGTCATATTGATATATGCATAAAATTTTGGTTTTTTAATTGAACTTATTATTGAGATAACTGTTGATTTATATGCAGTTGCAAACAATAATACAGGGAAATCCTAGGTACATTTAACTCACCTTCCCCCAGCAATAACCATTTTAGTATATCACACCAGAATATTGACATGGATACAATTCACTGATTTTGTTCAGATTTCTCCAGTGTTACTTATACTTATCTGTGTGTCTGTGTATGTATTTAGGCGCGTTTAGTTCTAGATAAATTTACCACCCATGTTAAGTTCATGTATGCACCACCAAAGTTAAGATTCTTAAGAGTACTGATCAATAAATACCTACATTAAAAGAGAAGATGGCCCCAAATAAATAGCCTAACATTACACCTCAAGGAGCTAAAAAATGAACAAAGCAAGCCCAAAGTTACAAGAAGGAAGGGAATAACAAATATCAGAACAGAAATAAATCAAAATAGAATAAAAAACCATAGAAGAAATCAATAAAACTAAGAGTTAGTTTAAAAACAAACAAACAAACAAAATCGACAGACCCTGAGGTAAACTTAAAAAAAAAAAAAGAGAAAAGCCTCAAATAAATAAAACCAGAAATAAAAGGAAGGACATTACAACAGATGCCTCAGAAATAAAAAGGATCATAAAGGACTATTGTGAACAATATTATGCCAACAAATTGGATACCCTAAGGGAAACAGACAAACTCCAAGAAAAATTTAACCTACCAAAATTGAATCAGGAAGAAATAAAAAGCCTACACAGACCAATAACAAATAAAAAGATCAGAGTAGTAATTAAAAATTTCATAACAAGTACGACAACAACAAAAAGCCCAGAATCAAATGGTTTTGCAACTAAATTCCTTCAAACATTCAATGACAAATTAATACCAACATTTCCTAAATTCTTCCAAAAAATAGACCTAGAGGGAATACTTCCTAACACATTCTATGAGTGCAGGATCACCCTGATACCTAAGCCAGACAGATACTGTAAGAAAAGAAAACTACAGGCCAATATCGCTGAAAATATTGATGAAAAAAACACAATAAAATATTAGCAAACCAAATTCAACAACACATCACAATATTATACATCATGATCAAGTGAAATTTATCACTGACATGGACCCTCATTTAACATATACTAATTAATCAATGTGATACATTAACAGACTGAAAGATAAAAATCACATGATCATCTCAATTGATGCAGAAAAAGCATTCAACGAAGTTCAACATTGTTTCTTGATTTAAACTCTCAACAGTTTAGGTATAAATGGAAAGTTTGTCATCATAAAAAAGGCTATGAAAAAGCCACAGTTAACATCATAGTCAATGGGAAAAAAATTAAAGCTTTTCCGCTAAGATCTGGTACAAGGTGAGGATGCCCACTCTTGCTGCTTCTATTCAGCGTGGTACTGGAAATACTAGCAAGAGCAATTAGACAAGAAAAAGAAATAAAAGGCATTTAAATCAGAAAGAAAAAACTCAGATTATCTCTATGGATGGCATGATCCCATATTTAGTAAACCCCAAAGACTCCACCAAAAAAAAAAAAATGTTAGAACTAAAAAACAAACTTGGTAAAGTTAAAGGATACAAAATCAGTTGCATTTATGTGCACAAATAACAACCTACGTGAAAAAGAAATCAAGGAAACGATTGTATTTATGAAAGCATCAAAAATACAGTTAGGAATAAGTTTAACCATGGAAGTAAAAGACATGTACACTGAAAATTATAAACCATTGATAAAATTAATAGAAGACACAAATACGTGGAAAGATAACCCATATTCATGGATCTGAAAACTTGATGTTGTTAAAATGTCCATATTACCCAAAGGAATATGCAGATTCAATGGCATCCTTATCAAAATCCCGATGGCATTCTTCACAGAAATTTAAAAAATCCTGAAATTTGTATGGAACCATAAAAAAACTAAATAATAAAAGTAATTTTGAGAAGAGAAAATGACATTGGAGTTATCACACTTCCTGAGTTAAATTAGATTGCAAAGCTATAACAATCAAAACACTATGATACTGGCATAAAATCAGACCACAGACCAGTGGAACAAAAGAGAGAGCCCCAAAATAAATCTATATATATATATATACAGTAAACTAATTTTTGACAAAGGCACCAAGAAGACAAAATGGGAAAAGGATAATCTCTTCAATAAATGATGCTGGGGAAACTGGATTTGCATGCCCAAAAGAATAAAACTGGGCCCTTGTACCATACACAAAAATCAACTCAAAATGGATACAAGACCTAAATGTAAAATCTGAAACCATAAAACTCCAAGGAGAAAACATAGGAGAACAGGTCCTTGACATTGCCCTTGGCAATAATTTTTGAATATCACACCAAAAGGCTACAAAAGCAAAAATAAATAAATGGGAATATGTCAAACTGAAAAGCTTCTGCACAGCAAAGAAAACAATCAACAAAATGAAAAAGTAACCTATAGATTGGAAAAATAATTGCAAGACATATATTTGATAAGGTTTAATATCCAAAATTTATAAAATGTTCACACAGCTCAATAGCAAAAAACATATAACCCAATTAAAAAATGGGCAAATTATCTGAATAGTTATTTATCCAAAGAAGACATCAAAATGACCCACAGGTTAATGAAAAGATGCTCAATGTCACTAATCCTCAGGGAAATGCAAATCAAAACCATTATGCGTTATCACCTGACACCAGCAAGTGGAGCTTCCTAAAGAAATTAAAGTTAGAAGTACCATAAGATGTAGCAATTCCTCCTCTGGGTATGCATCCAAAGGAAAGGAAATCAGCACTCAGGGAGATATCTTCACTGTCATGTCCATTCCAGCATTATTCTCAATATCTAAGATAAGAAACAACCTAAATGTTCATTGGCAGGCAAATGGGTAAAGAAACTGTGATATATATGTACAAAGGAATATCCTTCAGCCTCAAAAAAGGAGATCCTGCCATTTGCCACAACATGGATGGAATTGCAAGACATTATGCTAAGTAAATATGTCAGATGCAGAAGGAAAAATATTGCATAATCTCACTCATATGTAAAATCTTTTAAACAAATTCAAATATACAGAAATAGAGAATTACACCGTGGTTACCAGGGGCAGTGTGGCAGGAAGGAATTGCAGAGAAGTAGGTCAAGGGTTACAAAGTCGCAGATAAGGAGGGTGGACAAGTCTAGAGATCTAATGTAAAACATGAGGACCGCCAATACTAACAGTGTCTTGTATTCAGGATTTTTGCTAAATGAGTTGATTGTAGATACTTCAGCCCCACACACAAAACATGGGTACATTAATTTGCTTCACTATATTAACCAATTTACTATATATATATATATATATATATATATATATACACACACACACATATATATATATATAAACATCATGATGCTTACCTTAAACATACACAATTAAATGTATTTAAAAAATCCATCATGATGTACAACTTATATACATAAAATAACTAAAATAAAATTTAAAAAATAAGATTCTCCCCCTCCCACAACAAGAAAGGCTTTGGAAGGACTTGAATATAAGATGGCAGAATAATTTGGTAATAAATGCCAACGACTGAGATCTGGGACATCTGTTGACTGAGATGCCAGGTGCCATGTTGCATGGCATGGCATGAGGCCAGAGCCATGGGGCAGGCATTGTAGGATATGTACCAATGTCCAGTCTCCTCCACGGTGACTCTCTATGTGCTCAGACCATCAGGAATTATTTTCTTTTGCTCTTTTGGTGTCTCTGTAAATCCCATCTTATCTCCCAAAAATTTCCTCCTCTCCTCTGCTTTAAATGCAATGTCCTTTGAGGCCCAGCTCACAGGCCACATCAGCTACGCAGCGACGCAGCCCTGGAGGAACGAGCCCAGAGCCTGGGCTGTATCTCATGTTGCAGATTTCTGGCATCTTGAATCTTCTTATCCTGACCTCTCCAATCGCTGCCACCCTTCATCTTTGATCCCATTGGTGGGCTTGTGCAAGTGTGCAGGATGGAACCTGAGTTCCAGCCCCTTACGCTGACAATTACAGTAGTTGCTTACCAGCATCCTATGTCTGGGCCCTCTTCCCCTCAGAGGCAGGTTGCCTGGAAAGAACAGAAAGAACAAAGGGATCCATTTCTGTCTTTCTCCGAGGGACTGTCTGGAGCATCTCCAAAGATGGGGACTACAAAATGCGATTTGCATCACAGCCCACAGCAAACACAAAACTGCACACATCTGTGTCCAGTGGTGTATTAGCCATGTGGCTCCACCTCCAGAGGAGGATATCTGATCAGCCTCCAGGGCTTCATCCCCTAAGTCCCTGGCAGGTGTTGCAGCTGTTCCTTTCCTCAGGCTGCAGGTGAACAAGTGGGTGGCCACGCTTTGTTAAGTGGCATGGCCATCGAGAGTCATCCGGCTCTGTTGAGGCATCATTGTCCTTTCTGCTGGAAAAGTTGAGTCTTCCTGAACCTTGAAGACAAACCACAAGCTCATCGGTTGTTGTTTGTATGCATGTGTGACAGAAGAAAAAAAATTTCTCTTGAGAGAGGTGTTCAGTGCTCCCCTCATCCTCTTGCCCAGAAGGTGCCCCTGTTAGCACAGAACGCCCAGTATCTGTGAGTGGAGCAGGGGCAGGTGCTATGCGCCTGGGGACAGGCCACTTCATCTTTATGTGCCTCGATCTCCCCACCCACAATGAGATCTGGATCACACTTCTGAGTGACTGCTACCAGGTAGCCACTGGCCCATGTTTCAGTGGAAAGGAGAACAGGAGCCCAAAGATGACAAAAGACACAGCCCCACTGTCCAGAAGCTCACAGCTAGGAAATGAGATGCCCTTTCCTTAGTTCCTAATCAAAATTCCCATTTCAGGCCAATAACCATGAGCTGCTCTGTTGGGGTGATGCTGCAGTTAGCAAGACGTGCATCCCACCCTCTGGAAATTCATGGCACCAAAAGTTGTCACAGAGTGAGTTGGGGGCAAAATGACACTAAATGGTGCATCTTTAACCTTATGTCACAGATGTTAGCAAACTCAGTCCAAGAAAAAAAAGGCAATTAGTGCTCGCTTCGGCAGCACATATACTAAAATTGGAACGATACAGAGAAGATTAGCATGGCCCCTGAGCAAGGATGACACGCAAATTCGTGAAGCGTTCCATATTTTTTATTCACAATAGCAAAGACTTGGAACCAACCCAAATGTCCAACAATGATAGACTGGATTAAGAAAATGTGGCACATATACACCATGGAATACTATGCAGCCATAAAAAATGATAAGTTCTTGTCCTTTGTAGGGACATGGATGAAATTGGAAATCATCATTCTCAGTAAACTATCGCAAGGACAAAAAAACAAACACCACATGTTCTCACTCATAGATGGGAATTGAACAATGAGAACACATGGACACAGGAAGGGGAACATCACACTCTGGGGACTGTTGTGGGGTCGGGGGAGGGGGGAGGGATAGCATTAGGAGATATACCTAATGCTAAATGACGAGTTAATGGGTGCAGCACACCAGCATGGCACATGTATACATATGTAACTAACCTGCACATTGTGCACATGTACCCTAAAACTTAAAGTATAATAATAATTTTTTAAAAAGGCAATTAATACTGTTTTTACACATTATTTTGAAAGGCATTTTGATGATGCAAATAACCCACGTTACATACAGAATAATTATGAAATATAGGTAAAAGGAAAATGAAAATTACAAAATTACGGATACCTGGAAATATGTGCTTCTGACTGTGGGTCTGTCTCTCCATCTTCACTTGCTCAAAAGTAAAAAAAATGACATCTTTGCTGCTCTGCAACCTGCTTAGTACTTAAATGAATTTTCCATATTTATATAAATGATGAAATCCCAGCACTGCTGTTTTAATGAATGCAGGATGATTCAGTTCAGATGTACCATGATTTGATTATCCTAAAGAAATTACAATAACCATCTTTACATCTATATATCTGTACACATCCTTATTTATTTAGAAGGAATTCTTAGAAACTGAATTGCTGAATAAAGGCACGTTTTATACGTACTGCAAAATGGCTAAGTTTTTTGGGTAATCTACTTCATGGATAATAAACTGCAATATGGTATACTAAACCTGACTTCTTCCCAGCATGTCACAGATCCGCCTCCACAAGTTACCATTCTGACTTCAAATGACTTGCTTGAACAAACTCACGTGCCTGATGTTGACTCACCTATGTTATTGCACCATGAAAGATGTGGAGCGCATCATGTTTTCACACGAATTAGCATGGAAAGGTGGTAACTTTATAGTTTTACCACCTCAAGCTTTTAATACCTTTCTTGCTGCAATGTATTGCCAACCAATGTGAACCATAATAGCACCAAGAGAAAACAGGATGCAGGAGGGAAGGAAGAAAAGTAATATTCCTTAAAATGTGCAGCACCATGTTCTCTAAATTTTGAAATACTGAACAAAAAGCATTAACAGGTTTGTAAACCTTTAACACAAATTGAGTTCTATTTCCTCTGCTGGCCCCTGGGAAGGGTATGTGGCCCAGTGGTGGGGACCTGAGACTTGGCTGGAAAGTCAGGGCTCTGGGTCTTTTTCCATACTTTAAAGCTCAGTGAGCAAATTTGAGATCAATTAAGTTCCCCATCTGGAACCGGATGAAAAAGCTTGCCAGATCCACCTCACGTGATACCACAATTTCCTATGAAGATTACTATTAAATTAAGGAACTATGATGAAGACCAACTGGCGTAACTGCTTGGGTTTAGTTATCTTCCAGAAATGATTCATGCTATACGTATTTAATTAGTTTTTTTCAGTTATTTGAAAGGCTCCTTTCAGGAGGATGTTGGAACACAATTACATGTGACATTTGGCTGAGAGCAGTGACTCCTAGGTCGTGACCTGTCCACCTGCGTGTGCCCGTAGCAGCATTGAGCAGGTCTTCCCAGAAAAGCCAAGACAGTGGGAAAATGATCACCTGGTATAGCTAAGTGTGAGTACAGGCTACAACATTGTTGAGCTACACATAGCCACAGACACCAAATGCATTAGGTCGTTCTAAAACCATAAAGGATTCCAATGTTTCATAGCTACATTTGTGGACTAGAAATGATGGAGCTACCTAAATTCCACAGATATTCTGATTAGAGTCTCCTACTAGATGTAATTTTTTCCTCAAGCTATCAATAGCAAAATTAACAAGTGAGCAAGCTCCTCTCCATCTCCCTGTGGAACAGCCAACAATTAGGAGAAAGAAAAGTCTTATAGCTGGTGAGAGACTAGGATGTGAAGGCTGGAGGAGCTGGGATTGGTGCTGCAAAGGAGATAGCACGGACAGGAGTGGCTAGTGCTGACCTTGTCCCAGGCACTGCAGCCAAAAGAAGTTTGCTTGTGACCAAACTTCTCAGTCATTAGGATTCATCTCCATTGTACAGATAATGAAATAAAGACTCAGAGATGAATCACTTTCAGATGCATCCACAGTCAGTCAATAGATGTTTGAAGTAGTTTTCTGTGTTTCTCTTGTGCCAAATACTAAACTGTTTCTTCTAGAGAAGAGAGATCTTAAAATCATGAAGTCCAACAATGGCCAAGGTGTAGCTAGGCAGAGCTGGGGCTGTTCAAATATGAACATCATTAGGAATGATGACAGGAATAATCATTATTATTATAACAATAATAAACATTTGCTGAGTACCAACTATGGGCCAGACACGAGTTTGGGCACTTTAGATTCTGTTTTCCTTAAGATGGGGGAGGCTGGCCGGGCGTGCTGGCTCACTTCTGTAATCCCAGCACTTTGGGAGGCCGAGGCAGGTGGATTGCCTGAGGTCAGGAGTTCGAGACCAGTCTGGCCAACATGGTGAAACCCCATCTCTAATAAAAACACTAAAAAATTAGCCAGGTGTGGCAGTGTGCTCCTGTAATCCCAGCTACTCTGGAGTCTAAAGCGGGAGAATCACTTGAACCCGGGAGGCGGAGCTTGCAGTGAGCCAAGATCACGCCACTGCACTCTAGCCTGGGTGACAGAGTGAGACTCTGTCACAAAAAAAAAAAGATGGGGGAGGCCATATTGCAATAATAAAATATCATCAATATTTTCTGGGACCTAAACCGACAAAGTCCCAGAAGATTTTATGGTACTATGTGTCAGTTTTGGACTGGCCAGGCTGTGCTGTATGTCATTTTGCACTACCTGGCAGATAAAGAGAAATATCAAATCACACGCTGTCTCCTGAAGCTCCAGCCAGAAGTGAACAAACAGATACCACAAGCCAAAGCACAATCCCAAGGCCAGGCCTGATTTGAAGGGGAGCAGGCTGTGCCTAAGGATCAGAAATATTAGGTGCCAGCAGCAACGACCCCCATACATGTGTTCTGTCATTTACCTCCCCAAAAGACTTTTACAGAAGAGAAAATGCGGCATGGAGAGCTTCAGGGACCTGTGTAAATGCCACACAGCTAAGTAGAGACAAGCTTGGCCTTGACTCCAGGCAGCTGGACTCCACAGTCTGTGCTCTGTTTGTAAATTTTTACTTATTTATTTATTTATTGAGAAGGAGTCTCGCTCTGTCGCCCAGGCTGGAGTGCAATAGTGCGATCTCGGCTCACCCCACCTCCGCCTCCCAGGTTCAAGTGATTCTCCTGCCTCAGCCTCCCAAGTAGCTGGGATTATAGTTGTGCACCACCACGCCCGGCTAATTTTGTATTTTTAGTAGAGACGGGGTTTCTCCATGTTGGTCAGGCTGGTCTCAAACTCGCAACCTCAGGTGATTCGCCCATCTCGGCCTCCTGAAGTGCTGGGATTACAGGCGTGAGCCACTGCACCCAGCCATAATTTTTTTTTTTAATTGACGGACACGAACTGTATATATTTATGGTATATGACATAATGTTTTTTCTTTTTTTGTCCTCATCGCCTGTCCTAAGAAGAACATAGTGTTTTGATATACAGTATGCGTACACTATGGAATGGCTAAACTGAACTAAGTAACATATGCATTGCCTCACCTACTTGCCAGTTATTTGTGGTAAGAACACTTAAAACTACTCTCTTAGAAGTGCTCAAGAATACAAGACACTGTGTTTAGCTGTGGTCACCATGCTGTGCAACAGATTTCTTGAAGTTTCTCCTCCTAACTGAAATTGTGTATCCCTGGCCAACCTCTTCTCAGTCCTTCCCCTGCCCCAGCCTCTGGTAAGCACCATCCCACTCTCTGCCTCTGTGAGTTTGACATTTTTAGCCTCTGTATATAAGTGAGATCATAAAGTAGCTGTCTTTTGGCACCCAGCTTATTTTGCTTAGCATAATGTCCTCCAGGTTCATCTATGGTGTTGCAAATGACAGGATTTCCTTGTTTCTTAAGGCTGAATAGTACTCAACCGTGTATTTATAACACATTTTCTTCACCTGTCGATGGACACGGAGGTTGATTCCATATTCTGGCTGTTGTGGATAGTGCTATGATGAACATGGGTACAGGTAGAGTAGCCTGCACTCTTTACCATCATTCATTTCTCTCTCTCTAGCTACTGTCGACAGCACCAACTACGTACCAGGCATGGAATGCAATATTATTTATATCCTTTACTCCTCCCAGTCCTGCAGATTTTATTCATCACATTTTACCCGTGAGGACCATGAATCTTTCCATGAGGACAATGAAGATGTAGAACTTATTCTAGTATCCTAAGCAGTAGTCAAAGTTTGAACCTTAGCTTGCCTGACCCCAAAGCCCATGCTCTTCAGCATTACATTATGAAATTCTTGGGAGACCTAGCACAACTCTGAATTCGAGAAATATTAACTCAGCACCTACTCTGCACAAGATACATGAAACTCAACCCTCTCTCTTGTTGGCTTGTAGTCAGTCATTAGTGATATTTGAGAGCAGTAGGTCATCTGGAGAGACTGGATGCAAAGCAATCACAGTCCATGAGCTGTCTCCATGAAGATTAGAAAAGAGGCACTTCTTTCTCAAGACATGTTACTTCTATCTCTTGGGATGCTGTCATATTACACTGTTTTGTTAGAATAAGATCTCCTACTACCATCTTCTAGAGAACTGTTGTAAAGCACATGTGAGTCTGTGGAAGTTGTGATGTGCATGGGGCCTGCAAGGATGTGCACCAACACAACCTAAATGGGTGGCCTGGCTATGCTCACCAAAGGGCTTCTTGCTCTCCTTCCACATTTTTACCAGGCTGGATTCCATTTGCATTTTGTATTCTAGGACACACAGAAGCAGCTTTGTTGTCATGATGCAATGGCAGTGATCAGAAATGATCACCCCTTCCATGAGAAAAATCATGAGAATCTAAAAATATGCAGACTTCCTACCTTACTCTAATGCTGAAAGAGAGTGATTTGAAGTCACCACTTTTTTTTTAAATAGGTTTTCACTTTGCCTCCCAGGCTGGAGTGCAGTGGTGCGATCTCAGCTCACTTCATCCTCGACCTCCCGGGCTCAAGCGATCCTACCACCTCTGCCTCCCAAGTAGCTGGGACTATAGTTAAGACTATTTTTTCCAGCCAGGTGCAGTGGCTCACTCCTGTAATCCCAGCACTTTGGGAGGCCAAGGCAGGCGGATGACCTGAGGTCAGGAGTTCAAGACCAGCCTGAACAACATGGTGAAACCCCGTCTCTATCAAAAAAAAAAAATTAACCTGGTGTGCTGGTGGGTGCCTGTAATCTCAGCTACTCGAAAGGCTGAGGCAGGAGAATTCCTTGAACCCGGGAGGCAAAAGTTTCAGTGAGCCAAGATCGTGCCGTTGCACTCCAGCCTGGGCGACAGAGCAAAACTCCATCTCAGGAAAAAAAAAAAAAAAAAAAAAAAAAGCTATTTTTTCCCCTCTTTTTAGAGGTGGGATTTCACTCTGTCACCCAGGCTGGAGTGCAGTGCCATGATCATAGCTCAGTTCAGCCTCAAACTTCTGGGCTCAAGCAATCCTCCAGCCTGAGCTTCCTCAGTGGCTAGGACTATAGGCACACAGCACAATGCCTGGTGAATTTTCTATTATATTTTTTGTAGAGACAGGTCTTGCTATGTTTCCCAGGCCAGTCTCAAACTCCTGGCCACAAGAGATCCTCCTGCTTTGGCCTCCCAAAGCACTGGGATAATAGACATGAGCCACCATGCCTGGCCCTGCAAATGACTTATAGTCTGCAGATCTGAGTGTTCATTTCAGCTTTGCCACGTTCTTCCCAGTGACCCTTCACAAGTCACTCTACTTCTGAGCATTCAGTTGCTTCTCTTTGAAAAGGAATTGTGTCCCCAGCCTGTGTGCCTCACATCGGGGCCACGGTTCTGCTTTGTAAGGGCTTTGAAGCACTAGGGGAATTGGGATGCACCACATGCCTGCTAGTTCTGCATCACCAGGCTCTCTTCGGAGTGCTCCTTACCTTCATCACACACATGTGAGTTCCCGTTACCAAGCCAGGGTCTGTGTCAGATGTTGAGATACAAGAATGAAGAAAACTTTACCTGCATAGTTAACTAGTGTCTATTCACCAGAATGAGTCGTTTGAGAGTAGAGAGTCTACATTAAGCTTTTCTCTGCCACCCCACCCTTGTACCTAGGACAGCTCCAAGGTCTCCAGATGTGCCTAATGAGCTGTTTTTCAGTTAGGAAATATTAAGAATAAATCTCTGCATATGACCCAGTGTCTCTGTGGTGTTAGATTTTTCTGTGGTACCAGATGACCAAACTGAAGTTAACCTTAACTAGTTTCCTCGTTTCAGAAAATAAGGACTTATTATCTTAACCCAACCCCTTATCTAGTTTTTAAACAATGAATTTGGGAGCATTTAGAGGATAGTGTATTGATTAATACAAACTGATAACAATAATACTAATGCGTACACTTTGTTGAATGATTCCTACGTATCAGCTTTACAGCTCCAGGTTTACCAGGAGTAAGTCCGTTCTAATGGGGAAAAAAAACTGTTATTGCCCTTTAGAACAGAGTGTGGTATGTATCTCTACTTCAGCCGAGTACTTGACACTGTGTCTGTATCTTGATAGATTAGTGAATTTCCTGGGTAAAGAGAATTTGCCTGGGTTTAGAGATCAACCCAAGTGATTTCCTGGGTTTAGAGATCCTAAACTAGATCTCTAAAGAGTATTACTACCAGGTCTGTGTCAAATTGAAAGGTGATTCTGAATGTTGGGTCATCAGCATATATTGTTTAGTATGTTTATCAGAAGCTCAAGTGGAAACAGATTTGCAGCTCTGCTGTAGAAGACAGCTTCAAGACTTGTAAAATGACATTGACAGATAAGAATGAGGAGCTACAGAAAAATGAAATAAAATTTATTAGGAAAAAGTGTGATAGCCTGTATTCCAGAAAGTCGCTTGCAAGGTACAAAAGATTCCTGGCTTGGTGATGACTCATGTGAGGAAGGAATGAGATTTAGGCAAATAAAACCTCACATAAGGAATCCTGTGACAAGGCTGCCAAAACAGTGAGAACAATTGAAATCTACCACCCAATTAAAAGGTGGCAATAGTTCTACTTTCTCTGTGAATACTACTATAAGTAGAATTATTATTCCATTCTGAATTCATTTTTACATTCTAAATACATTTATATCTATTGAAAATTTTCCCATCAGATAATGATATATTATCAATGGATTTGAAAAATTAGAAATATCTTAATATTTCAAAATAAATATTTAACTCCAGAGAATAGGATAGCTTTTCTCATGTTCATCATTGTTGAAAATGCTTGTAGCAGTTACTTATATACATACTTTTAAAATAATTTTTATTAGTTCTGTTAATTGACAATTTATAATCTGGGAAAGATTATAAATTCCTTTTATAAAGAGAAAAATGAAATTGAGATGTGACCCTGTCATAGTAATGCATTCAGGAATCTCATATAAGCATTGCTAGATGAGTCATTTTGCTGGGAGCAGGGCAGCTCATTTTAAGGATGATATTGACAAAGAGGGTATAATACAGATGGCAGAAAACATGAAAATCATCTTGTGTGTAGAAACCTGGAATATTTATCCCAGGAGTCATAAATAATAAAGGTTTTCCACTATGTGATATCACAGCCTGTGAATAAGTAATCCCTGTGTTCTTAATATCACCAAATGTCAGAGCTACGAGTCCCAAACAGGATGATTAAAACAAGTTATAAGAAATAAAGATAGAGAGAGGAGCCAAGATGGCCGAATAGGAACAGCTCCGGTCTACAGCTCCCAGCGTGAGCAACGCAGAAGACAGGTGATTTCTGCATTTCCATCTGAGGTACCGGGTTCATCTCACTAGGGAGTGCCAGACAGTGGGCGCAGGTCAGTGGGTGCGCGCACCGTGCGCCAGCCGAAGCAGGGCGAGGCACTGCCTCACTCGGGAAGCGCAAGGGGTCAGGGAGTTCCCTTTCCTAGTCAAAGAAAGGGGTGACGGACAGCACCTGGAAAATCAGGCCACTCCCACCCGAATACTGCGCTTTTCCTACGGGCTTAAAAAACGGCGCACCACGAGATTATATCCCGCACCTGGCTCGGAGGGTCCTACGACCACGGAGTCTCGCTGATTGCTAGCACAGCAGTCTGAGATCAAACTGCAAGGCGGCAGCGAGGCTGGGGGAGGGGCGCCCGCCATTGCCCAGGCTTGATTAGGTAAACAAAGCAGCTGGGAAGCTCGAACTGGGTGGAGCCCACCACAGCTCAAGGAGGCCTGCCTGCCTGCCTCTGTAGGCTACACCTCTGGGGGCAGGGCACAGACAAACAAAAAGACAGCAGTAACCTCTGCAGACTTAAATATCCCTGTCTGACAGCTTTGAAGAGAGCAGTCGTTCTCCCAGCACGCAGCTGGAGATCTAAGAACGGGCAGACTGCCTCCTCAAGTGCGTCCCTGACCCCTGACCCCCGAGCAGCCTAACTGGGAGGCACCCCCCAGCAGGGGCACACTGACACCTCACACTGCAGGGTACTCCAACAGACCTGCAGCTGAGGGTCCTGTTTGTTAGAAGGAAAACTAACAAACAGAAAGGACATCCACACCAAAAACCCATCTGTACATCGCCATTGTCAAAGACCAAAAGTAGATAAAACCACAAAGATGGGGAAAAAACAGAACAGAAAAACTGGAAACTCTAAAAAGCAGAGCGCCTCTCCTCCTCCAAAGGAACGCAGTTCCTCACCAGCAATGGAACAAAGCTGGACGGAGAATGACTTTGACGAGCTGAGAGAAGAAGGCTTCAGACGATCAAATTACTCTGAGCTACAGGAGGACATTCAAACCAAAGGCAAAGAAGTTGAAAACTTTGAAAAAAATTTAGAAGAATGTATAACTAGAATAACCAATACAGAGAAGTGCTTAAAGGAGCTGATGGAGCTGAAAACCAAGGCTCGAGAACTACGTGAAGAATGCAGAAGCCTCAGGAGCCGACGCGATCAACTGGAAGAAAGGGTATCAGCAATGGAAGATGAAATGAATGAAATGAAGTGAGAAGGGAAGTTTAGAGAAAAAAGAATAAAAAGAAATGAGCAAAGCCTCCAAGAAATATGGGACTATGTGAAAAGACCAAATCTACGTCTGATTGGTGTACCTGAAAGTGATGGGGAGAATGGAACCAAGTTGGAAAACACTCTGCAGGATATTATCCAGGAGAACTTCCCCAATCTAGCAAGGCAGGCCAACGTTCAGATTCAGGAAATACAGAGAACGCCACAAAGATATTCCTCGAGAAGAGCAACTCCAAGACACATAATTCTCAGATTCACCAAAGTTGAAATGAAGGAAAAAATGTTAAGGGCAGCCAGAGAGAAAGGTCGGGTTACCCTCAAAGGGAAGCCCATCAGACTAACAGCGGATCTCTCGGCAGAAACCCTACAAGCCAGAAGAGAGTGGGGGCCAATATT
Source organism: Homo sapiens (assembly GCF_000001405.40). NCBI lineage: Eukaryota > Metazoa > Chordata > Mammalia > Primates > Hominidae > Homo > Homo sapiens. Next base: position 2,529,638 of record NT_187660.1, on the reverse strand, counting down.
CAACATTCTTAAAGAAAAGAATTTTCAACCCAGAATTTCATATCCAGCCAAACTAAGCTTCATAAGTGAAGGAGAAATAAAATACTTTACAGACAAGCAAATGCTGAGAGATTTTGTCACCACCAGGCCTGCCCTAAAAGAGCTCCTGAAGGAAGCGCTAAATATGGAAAGGAACAACCGGTACCAGCCGCTGCAAAATCATGCCAAAATGTAAAGACCATCGAGACTAGGAAGAAACTGCATCAACTAACGAGCAAAATAACCAGCTAACATCATAATGACAGGATCAAATTCACACATAACAATATTAACTTTAAATGTAAATGGACTAAATGCTCCAATTAAAAGATGCAGACTGGCAAATTGGATAAAGAGTCAAGATCCATCAGTGTGCTGTATTCAGCAAACCCATCTCACGTGCAGAGACACACATAGGCTCAAAATAAAAGGATGGAGGAAAATCTACCAAGCAAATGGAAAACAAAAAAAGGCAGGGGTTGCAATCCTAGTCTCTGATAAAACAGACTTTAAACCAACAAAGATCAAAAGAGACAAAGAAGGCCATTACATAATGGTAAAGGGATCAATTCAACAAGAAGAGCTAACTATCCTAAATATATATGCACCCAACACAGGAGCACCCAGATTCATAAAGCAAGTCCTGAGTGACGTACAAAGAGACTTAGACTCCCACACATTAATAATGGGAGACTTTAACACCCCACTGTCAACATTAGACAGATCAACGAGACAGAAAGTCAACAAGGATACCCAGGAATTCAACTCAGCTCTGCACCAAGCAGACCTAATAGACATCTACAGAACTCTCCACCCCAAATCAACAGAATATACATTTTTTTCAGCACCACACCACACCTATTCCAAAATTGACCACATACTTGGAAGTAAAGCTCTCCTCAGCAAATGTAAAAGAACAGAAATTATAACAAACTGTCTCTCAGACCACAGTGCAATCAAACTAGAACTCAGGATTAAGAATCTCACTCAAAACCGCTCAACTACATGGAAACTGAACAACCTGCTCCTGAATGACTACTGGGTACATAACGAAATGAAGGCAGAAATAAAGATGTTCTTTGAAACCAACGAGAACAAAGACACAACATACCAGAATCTCTGCGACGCATTCAAAGCAGTGTGTACAGGGAAATTTATAGCACTAAATGCCCACAAGAGAAAGCAGGAAAGATCCAAAATTGGCACCCTAACATCGCAATTAAAAGAACTAGAAAAGCAAGAGCAAACACATTCAAAAGCTAGCAGAAGGCAAGAAATAACTAAAATCAGAGCAGAACTGAAGGAAATAGAGACACAAAAAACCCTTCAAAGAATTAATGAATCCAGGAGCTGGTTTTTTGAAAAGATCAACAAAATTGATAGACCGCTAGCAAGACTAATAAAGAAAAAAAGAGAGAAGAATCAAATAGACGCAATAAAAAATGATAAAGGGGATCTCACCACCGATCCCACAGAAATACAAACTACCATCAGAGAATACTACAAACACCTCTACGCAAATAAACTAGAAAATCTAGAAGAAATGGATACATTCCTCGACACATACACTCTCCCAAGACTAAATCAGGAAGAAGTTGAATCTCTGAATAGACAATAACAGGAGCTGAAATTGTGGCAATAATCAATAGCTTACCAACCAAAAAGAGTCCAGGACCAGACGGATTCACAGGCGAATTCTACCAGAGGTACAAGGAGGAACTGGTACCATTCCTTCTGAAACTATTCCAATCAATAGAAAAAGAGGGAATCCTCCCTAACTCATTTTATGAGGCCAGCATCATTCTGATACCAAAGCCAGGCAGAGACACAACCAAAAAAGAGAATTTTAGACCAATATCCTTGATGAACATTGATGCAAAAATCCTCAATAAAATACTGGCAGACCGAATCCAGCAGCACATCAAAAAGCTTATCCACCATGATCAAGTGGGCTTCATCCCTGGGATGCAAGGCTGGTTCAATATACGCAAATCAATAAATGTAATCCAGCATATAAACAGAGCCAAAGACAAAAACCACATGATTATCTCAATAGATGCAGAAAAGGCCTTTGACAAAATTCAACAACCCTTCATGCTAAAAACTCTCAATAAATTAGGTATTGATGGGACGTATATTTCAAAATAATAAGAGCTATCTGTGACAAACCCACAGCCAATATCATACTGAATGGGCAAAAACTGGAAGCATTCCCTTTGAAAACTGGCACAAGACAGGGATGCCCTCTCTCACCACTCCTATTCAACATAGTGTTGGAAGTTCTGGCCAGGGCAATTAGGCAGGAGAAAGAAAGAAAGGGTATTCAATTAGGAAAAGAGGAAGTCAAATTGTCCCTGTTTGCAGATGACATGATTGTATATCTAGAAAACCCCACTGTCTCAGCCCAAAATCTCCTTAAGCTGATAAGCAACTTCAGCAAAGTCTCAGGATACAAAATCAATGTACAAAAATCACAAGCATTCTTATACAGCAACAACAGACAAACAGAGAGCCAAATCATGAGTGAACTCCCATTCACAATTGCTTCAAAGAGAATAAAATACCTAGGAATCCACCTTACAAGGGATGTGAAGGACCTCTTCAAGGAGAACTACAAACCACTGCTCAAGGAAATAAAAGAGGATACAAACAAATGGAAGAACATTCCATGCTTATGGGTAGGAAGAATCAATATCGTGAAAATGGCCATACTACCCAAGGTAATTTACAGATTCAATGCCATCCCCATCAGGCTATCAATGACTTTCTTCACAGAATTGGAAAAAACTACTTTAAAGTTCATATGGAACCAAAAAAGAGCCTGCATCGCCAAGTCAATCCTAAGCCAAAAGAACAAAGCTGGAGGCGTCACGCTACCTGACTTCAAACTATACTACAAGGCTACAGTAACCAAAACAGCATGGTACTGGTACCAAAACAGAGATATAGATCAATGGAACAGAACAGAGCCCTCAGAAATAACGCCGCATACCTAAAACTATCTGATCTTTGACAAACCTGAGAAAAACAAGCAATGGGGAAAGGATTCCCTATTTAATGAATGGTGCTGGGAAAATTGGCTAGCCATATGTAGAAAGCTGAAACTGGATCCCTTCCTTACACCTTATACAAAAATCAATTCAAGATGGATTAAAGACTTAAACGTTAGACCTAAAACCATAAAAGCCCTAGAAGAAAACCTAGGCATTACCATTCAGGACATAGGCATGGGCAAGGACTTCATGTCTAAAACACCAAAAGCAATGGCAACAAAAGCCAAAATTGACAAATGGGATCTAATTAAACTAAAGAGCTTCTGCACAGCGAAACAAACTACCATTAGAGTGAACAGGCAACCTACAAAATGAGAGAAAATTTTCGCAAGCTACTCATCTGACAAAGGGCTAATATCCAGAATCTACAATGAACTCAAACAAATTTACAAGAAAAAAACAAACAACCCCATCAAAAAGTGGGCAAAGGACATGAACAGACAGTTCTCAAAAGAAGACATTTATGCAGCCAAAAAACACATGAAAAAATGCTCATCATCACTGGCCATCAGAGAAATGCAAATCAAAACCACAATGAGATACCGTCTCACACCAGTTAAAATGGCAATCATTAAAAAGTCAGGAAACAACAGGTGCTGGAGAGGATGTGGAGAAATAGGAACACTTTTACACTGTTGGTGGGACTGTAAACCAGTTCAACCATTGTGGAAGTCAGTGTGGCGATTCCTCAGGGATCTAGAACTAGAAATACCATTTGACCCAGCTATCCCATTACTGGGTATATACCCAAAGGACTATAAATCATGCTGCTATAAAGACACATGCACACGTATGTTTATTGCGGCATTATTCACAATAGCAAAGACTTGGAACCAAGCCAAATGTCCAACAATGATAGACTGGATTAAGAAAATGTGGCACATATACACCATGGAATACTATGCAGCCATAAAAAATGATGAGTTCATGTCCTTTGCAGGGACATGGATGAAACTGGAAATCATCATTCTCAGTAAACTATCGCAAGAACAAAAAACCAAACACCGCATATTCTCACTTACAGGTGGGAATTGAACAATGAGATCACATGGACACAGGAAGGGGAACATCACACTCTGGGGACTGTTGTGGGGTGGGAGGAGGGGGGAGGGATAGCATTGGGAGATATACCTAATGCTAGATGACAAGTTAGTGGGTGCAGCGCACCAGCATGGCACATGTATACATATGTAAATAACCTGCACAATGTGCACATGTACCCTAAAACTTAAAGTATAATAATAAAAGAAAAAAAAAAAGAAATAAAGATAAACAGGCCAGGCGCAGTGGCTGATGCCTGTAATCCCGGCACTTTGGGAGGCCAAGGCAGGAGGATCACAAGGTCAGGAGATCAAGACCATCCTGGCTAACACGGTGAAACCCCGTCTCTGCTAAAACTACAAAAAATTAACCAGTCGTGGTGGCGGGCGCCTGTAGTCCCAGCTACTCGGGATGCTGAGGCAGGAGAATGGCGTGAACCCAGGAGGCAGAGCTTGCAGTGAGCCGAGATTGCGCCACTGCACTCCAGCCTGGGGGACAGAGCTAGACTCCATCTCAAAAAAAAAAAAAAAAAAAAAAGAAAAGAAAGAAAGAAACAACAAAGATGTTTTCAGAATGAGATAAGCTGCCTCTTAGAATAGTCTTCTTTACTAGGTTCATTCTGGAGAAAATCTTTAAATTTTAGGGTAATCTATGGGGTGATTCATGAGGTCCTTTCTGACTACAGGGTTGTGTGCCCCGTGGTGATGATTTCTGGAGCCAAATTATCGTCTGAATACTAATCCACATGTCTGAGCTCACCTCTGCCATGACAGCCACTCCCTTTGCCACAATTCCAAAATGTTTTTGTTTGCAAACTCAATCTGGTGAAGTATTGAAATGTTTGAACAAATTCTGTGTTTCTCGATATGAGGCAACTTGTGGAATGTGTAAGTGACTTGAGGTTTCCAGAAATATTTAGGTTCCATTTCTCTCTATGTGTACAGATGCTTCCCTATTCTGGTAACAGTGGATTAACTTTGTGGGAAATAGCTAGGTTGTGGCTGAACAAAAAGCAAAGTGTTTCTAATCATCAGTGTGTTTTTTTCTTCCCATGAGAAAATATACTTACTATAAACTTAGGAGGAAGTCAAGCCACCTCACTTCCTTTCTGTTTTTTTTTTTTTTCAGGTTTAAAATACTCCATTTTTGCTATTCACTTTTACTTGAGCAAAAATAGTTAAAGAAAGACCCTGGAGATACCTAAAAAAGGTACACTATTTAGGTTCAGTTCCATGAAAGCAAGGCCTAGAAAGCAATAGTGTCTTTGTGATCACACAGAATTTGGGAACAAGGCTGAGAGAATTTTCCTTTAAGTGATATTTCATAGGACTTATAAAACATAAATAAATAGTTATAGAATAATAACTACAGAAAACACTCTATGATACCAGCTGACAAGCTGCATGAGAAACCTTATCTATCTCCTGCATAAATCCCTATTACAAACAGACCCATGGCCAGGAGGAAATCAATATAATTAAACCTCACAGTGGGGAGAACTTCCTCTGCCAAACTTCAAGATCAAAGAAGGCTTTGCGGAAGAGATGGCATTGGATCTGGTTCTGAAAGATAGGAAGAATTTGAAGTATAAAGTGGACTATTATTCAGCCATAAAAAGAAAATCCTGCCATTTGCAACAACACAGATGAACCTGGAGGACATGTTACATAAAATAAGCATAGAAAGACACAGACAGACAAATACTGCATGATCTCACTTATGTGTGGAATCTAAAAGTGTCAAACTGGGCAGGGCATGGTGGCTCACACCTGTAATCCCAGCACTTTGGGAGGCCGAGGCAGGTGGATCACCTGAGGTCAGGAGTTCAAGAGGAGCCTGACCAACATGGTGAAACCCCATCCCTACTAAAATTACAAAATTAGCTGGGTGTGGTGGCACATGCCATGCCTGTAATCCCAGCTACTCGGGAGGTTGAGGCAGGAGAATCACTTGAACCCGGGAGGCAGAGGTTACAGTGAGCTCAGACTGTGCCATTGCACTCTAGCCTGGGCGACAAGAGCAAAAATCTGTCTCAAAAATAAATAAATAAATAAAAGTGTCAAACTCATAGAAGCAGAGAGTTAAATGGTGATGCCAGGGGTGGGGGAGAGGGGAAACTGGGTGAGAGGCTGGACAAAGAATACAAGCTTTCAGTTACAAGACGAATCAGTTCTGGGGTTCTCATATACAGCATGGGTGGTGATGGATGTGTTAATTAATTTGATTTTGGTAATCACTACACAATGCATACATATGTCAAATCATCATGTTGCACACCAAAAATATTCAATCTTTGTTAATTAAATATTTTAAAATTTAAAAAATACATTTTTAAAATAAAATATAATAATGAACTGTCATCATGGTTAAGTAACCTACCCAGATTCAAACGAGACATAAAACTAGATATTCTCAAGTATGCAGAAAGAGCCACTAACACTATGCAAGTCAATAAATGCAATACACCACATAAACAGGATTAAAAACAAAAATTACATGATTATCTCGATAGACGCAGAAAAAGCATTTGACATTAAGCATCCCTTAATGATTAAAGCCCTCAGCAAAATCAGCATAGAAGGGACACAAGGTAACAAAAGCCATCTTCAACAAACCCACAGCCAACATAATACTGAAGGGGGATGAGCTGAAAGCATTCCTCCTGAGAACTGGAACAAGACAAGGATGCCCACTTTCACCACTTCTATTCACCACAGTACTGAAAGTCCTAGCCAAAGTAATCAGACAAGAGAAGGAAATAAAGGGCATCCAAATGGCTAAAGAGGAAGTCAAACTGTTGTTGTTTGCTGATGATATGATTATATACCTAGAAAACCCCAAAGACTTCTCCAAAAAGCTCCTAGAACTGATAAGTGAATTGAGCAAAGTTTTAGGATACAAATTTATTGTACACAAATCGGTAGCTCTACTATACACCAACAGCAACCAACCTGAGAATCAAATCAAGAACTCATCCCCTTTTACAATAGCTGAAAACAAAACAAAAAAAAAAAACTTAGGAATATACCTAACCAAGGAGGTAAAAGACCTCTACAAGAAAAGCTACAAAACACTGCTGAAAGAAATCACAGATGACACAAACAAATGAAAACACATCCCACGCTCGTGGATGGGTAGAATCAATGTTGTGAAAATGACCGTATTGCCAAAAGCAATCTACAAATTCAATGCAATTCCCATCAAAACATACCATCGTTCTTCACAGAACTAGAAAAAACAATCCTAAAATTCATATGGAACCAAAAAAGAGCCCACGTAGCCAAAGAAAGACTAAGCAAAAAGAACAAATCTGGAGGTATCAACTGATATACCCTAAGGCCATAGTCACCAAAACAGCATGGTACTGGTATAAAAGCAGGCATATAGACCAATGGAACAGAATAGAGAACCCAGAAATAAAGCCAAATACTTACAGCCAACTGATCTTCAACAAAGCAAACAAAAACATAAAGTGGGGAAAGGACACCCTATTCAACAAATGGGGCTGGGATAATTGGCAAGCCACCTTAGGAAAATATTACCAATATAAAAATCCACGGCAATATACTAAATTGTATTTTATAACTGATTAAAACAGGAATTGGGTAGTAAGAATTGGCAGTATTTATTAGTACTCTCCAGTTGAGAGACATGTTGGGGATAGAGAGTAGTCTGGCCTTGTCCTATATACCTATATGGATCTGGGGTAGTCTTCCAGATTCATATGACTTGTGTGAAATATCCCTTAAGAGTATCCAATTCCTCCTGGGCCAGGCCGTGTTGCATCCAGGTCACTTGTACCTCCCCTCTTTCTCTCCGAGGCTGCTTGTCCTCTCCCTGCATGCTCCAGGCCTCCTCGGACTTTCAGGGAAGCTCTAGTTGGGAAAGAGAGCTATTAATTAACCACCCACTTGCTCAGCAATTCAGTGTTATGCTAGTTTGCTTTCCTGTGGGGAAAACCTCAAAATCTCGGGGGCTTATACCAACAGCTATATTCCACTTGGGTTAGATGAGGGCTGCATGTTGTCTATTGGTCTGATCCATGGGTTGCTTTTGCTCCAAGGTCCAGGCTAAAGGAGATGCCCTCTCTTGGGGAATGTCATGCCCCTGCTAGAGGTAGTCTCTGCTTGGACTGGGCACACTGCTACTTCGCTGCTCATTTCATCAACCCCAGCCAGCCACTGTGGGGCAAGCCAGTGTTCCTTGCTTGTCAGAGATGCTGTACTTTGCATACAATGGTGAAGAGAGTGAACAGCAGGGTGTAATTAAACAGTCAACCACAACCTGAAGCCACTTTCCCTGCTAAGTGGACCTCAACTCAATGGTCTCATTCTGAAAGATGTGGCCTAAATTCTTGCTTGGAATGGTAATTCCTCTCTAATAGACTCTGCTGTTCTCTTGCCAGTCAAGAGGACTGAAGGGGATTGAAGCTCTGAACCTAGGCTCAGTGGCTACTGCCCCTCCTCCACAGCCGCTGGCTTCCAGCAGACATTCCTGATGCTGATGTGCTCCTTGGAGTGCTGAGCTTTGGGGGAAATCCTGTTGCATGGTGCCAGACCCTCCTTCCCCATCTCATAACTCCATCACAGAGTTGGTCTACCATGGATGAACTTATCCTAGGTTCAAGATATTCTGCCCAGGTGACTAGGCTTCTCCAGTGACAGATGGACCACTGCTCTTACCCCCTCATACCTGCTCCATCTGAGCTACTGGCCAGCTGGCCTCACCTGCCAAAGGCAACTGGGCCATGACGGCTGAGTAATAAAAAGCAATGCTGTGCTTTGCTTCCAGACTCACCAAGAACCCTCTGGCTACTAATTTTGTGTAGCAGATTTGCATTTTGATCCACATCCTTAGGTGCTTATGAAATAAAACTTGGATGCCTTTTGATAATCATGTTCTGGGTGTGTACCCAAAAGTGGAGTTGCTAACTCATAGGGTATGATTTTGTTCAAAACTGACATACTGTCAATAGTTTTCCAAATTAATGGTAATAATTTATACCTACACCAGTAATATAATGTGTTTCTGTCAATCCTTAAATTTTAGCCATCATGAAGTTAAGTAATGTGATGCCTCTGGTTTTATTTTTCTTAGAATGACTTTGGCTCTTTTTGGGTTCCATATGAATATTAGAACAGTTTTTCTAATTCTGTGAAAAATTGCATTGGTAATTTGATAGAAATAATGCTGAATCTATAGTATGGACATTTTAACAATATTGATTCTTTCAACACACCAGCATGGAATGTTTTTCCATTGGTCTGTGTCATCTATGATTTCTTTGAGTAGTGTTTTGTAGTTCTCCTTGTAGAGATTTTTCACCTCCTTGGTTAGATGTATTCCTAAGTATTTTAATTTGTTGGGGGGTGGTGCTATTTTGAATGGGATTTCACTCTTGATTTGGCTCTCAGCTTAAAAACTATTGGTATATAGAAATGCTACTGATTTGTGTATGCTGATTTTGTATCCTGAAGCTTTGCTGAAGTCATTTACCAGGTCTAGGAGTTTTTTGGTAAAGTCTTTAAACTATTCCACAAGGCTACAGTAACCAAAACAGCATGGTACTGGTACAAAAAGAGACACATAGACCAATGAGACAGTATAGAGAACCCAGAAATAAGGTCACACGCTTACAACCAACTGATCTTTGACAAAGTCAACAGAAACAAGTAATGGGGAAAAGACTCCATATTCAACAAATGGTGCAGGGAAAACTGCCTAATAATATGCAGAAGAATGAAACTGGACACTTAGCCCATATACAAAAATTAACTCAGGGGGATTAAAGACTTAATTGTAAGACCTGAAACTGTAAAAATGCTAGAATAAAACATAGAAAATACCTTTCTTTAGCATGGCCTTGGCAAAGAATTTTTGGCCAAGTCCCCAAAAGCAACTGTTACAGAAACAAAAATTGGTGAGTAGGATTTAATTAAACTAAAGAGATTTTGCACAACAACAAAAAAACATCAACACAGTAAACAGACAACCTACAGAATGAGAGAAAATATTTGCAAACTGTACATCCAACAAAGCAGCATCTATAAGCAACTTAAACAAATCAACAAGCAAAAAACAAATAACCCCATTAAAAAGTGGGCAAAGGACGTGAACAGATACTTCTCAAAAGAAGACATATAAGTGGCCAGCAAACAGATGAAAAAAAAAGTTCAACATCATTAATCACTAGAGAAATGCAAATCAAAACCACAATGAGATATCATCTCACATCAGTCAGAATGGCCAATATTAAAAGTCAAAAAATAACAGATGTTGGTGAGGTTGTAAAGAAAGGGGAAATTTTATACATTGTTGGTGGGAATGTAAATTACTCCAGCTACTATGGAGAGCAGTTTGGAGATTTCTCAAAGAACTAAGATTTGAGGTACCATTTGATCCAGCAATTTTATTACTGGGTGTATGCCCAAAGGAAAATAAGCCATTTTACTGAAAAGACACATGAGCTTATATGTTCATTGCAGTGCTATTCATAATAGCAACGACATGGAATCCAGGTGCCCGTCAACTCTGGATCAGATAAAGAAAATGTGGTACCTATACACCACGGAATACTATGCAGCCATAGAAAAGAATAAAATAATATCCCTTGCAGCAACATGGATGCAGTCGGAGGCCACCATCCTAAGTGAATTAATGCATCAACAGAAAACCAAAAGTCACGTGTTCTCTTATAAGTGGGAGCTATATTGTGGGTATATGTGAGCATAAAGATGGGAACAATAGACACTGGGGACTCCAAAAGAGGAAAAAGAGGGGAGAAGGGCTAAAAACTTCCTATCGTGCAGTATGTTCACTACATGGATGACGGGATCAATAGAAGCCCAAACCTCAGCATCATGCAATATACCCCTGTAACAAACCTGTATATGTACCCCCTGAATCTAAAGTAAAAATGTAAGCAAATAAAATAAAAAATGTAGGCCTCTTGATGAGTATACAGTGTTATCTCTTGGTTGGTTTACTTTGCAGTTTCCTGATGATTAACGATGTTGAACCACTTTTAATGTGAGCATTGATCATTTGAATACTCTTTTATTATGAAGTGCCTATCCAAACGTTTTCCCAATGTTTTAATTGAGTCTTTTTCTTACTGGCTTTTAGAAGCACTTTATATCATCTAGGCATAGGACCTTCGCTGCCATACTTAAAATATTCTCTCCTACTCTGTGATTTATGTTTTCATTATTTAAACATTGTATTTCATTGAAGATATATTCAATATTTTAGTGTAGTCTAACTTATCAATCTTTTTTATGTTTAAAGTTTCCTATATAGTGTTTTAAAAAATCTGTTCCTACACCAAGATCATTAATATAATCTGTTAGAATATATTCTAAAATTTTTATTGCTCACTTATTGCATTTAGATTTAAACTCCACAAGGAAGTTATAGTGTGTGTCTATGAGATGTGAAATAAGGCTCAAATTTCTTTTTTGAACATGAATACTCAATTAAGCCAACACTGTCATTAAAATGACTGTTCTTCCTTCACCATTCTGCAGTGTTACCTTTGTCTCCATGGAGTATGCATGCGGCTGGTTTTGTTCTTTTGTCATGTTCTGTTGGTATGTGTGTTTATATTTATGTCCCTACCATACTGTCTTGCTAATATATCTTTATAATAACTTTTAATATTTAATATTGACTTCTTTACGAAATAAGCTAAGCACAGAAAGACAAATAATGAACCAGGTGCAGTGGCTCACACCTGCAATCCAACATTTTGGGAGGCCAAGGAGGAAGGATCATTTGAGCCCAGTAGTTTGAGACCAGCTTGGGCAACATAGGGAGACCCTGTCTCTACAAAAAAAAAAAAAGAATTTAAAAAATTAGTCAGGCATGGTGATATAGCCTGTGGTCCCAGCTACTTGGAGGGTGCTGAGGCAGAAAGATCGCTTGAACCCAGGAGTTCAAGGCTGCAGTGAGCTATGATCACGCTACTGCACTCCAGCCTGAATGACAGAGTGAGACCTTGTCTGAAAGAAGGAAGGAAGGAAGGAAGGAGGAAGACAGAAAGAAAGAAAGAAAGAAAGAAAGAAAGAAAGAAAGAAAGAAAGAAAGAAAGAAAGAAAAAGAAAGAAAGAAAGGAAAGAAAGAGGGAGAAAGGAAGGAAGAAAGGAAGGAAGGAGAGATGAAAGAGAAAGGAAGGAAGGAAGAAAGGAAGGAAAGAGAGATGAAAGAAAGAGAAAGAAAGAAAGAAAAGAAAAGAGAGAAAGAGAGGAAGGAAGGAAGAAGGGAGGGAGGAAGGAAGATATCACGTGATCTCACATACATATGAAATCTAAAAACCTTCTAAGAGTAGAGCTCAGAATGGTGGTTCCACGGGCTAGGGAGAAGAGGAAATGGGGAGATAATGGTCAGAGGACACAAATTTTCAGCCAGACAGGAGGAATGACTGAAAGAGCTCTATTGTACAACATGGTGACTGTACTTAACAACAATGTATTGTATACTTAAAAATCACTAAGGGAGTAAATATTAAAAGTTCTCATCACAAGACAATAATAAGTATGTGAGGTGGCGCATATATTAATTAGCTCCATTTAAACATTCTACATTGTACACATATATCAAAACATCATTTTGTATACCTTTAACATACAATTTTTTTGTCAATTAAAATTAAATATAGGCCAGGCATGGTAGCTCACGCCTGTAATCCCAGCACTTTGGGAGGCCAAGGCAGGTGGATCACCTGAGGCTGGGAGTTCAAGACCAGCCTGACCAATATGGAGAAACCTCGTCTCTACTAAAAATTAGCCAGGCGTGGTGGCACATACCTGTAATCCCAGCTACTCGGGAGGCTGAAGGAGGAGAATCACTTGAAGCAGGAGGCAGAGGTTGTGGTGAGCTAAGATTGCACCATTGCCCAGCCTGGGCAACAAGAGTGAAACTCCGTCTCAAAAAAAAAAAAAAAAAAAAAAAAGTAAATATAGTTCATGTCCTTTGCAGGGACATGGATGAAGCTAGAAGCCATCATTCTCAGCAAACTAACACAGGAACAGAAAACCAAACACTGCATGTTCTCACTCATAAGTGGGAGTTAAACAATGAGAACACATGGACACAGGGAGGGGAACATCACACACTGGGGCCTGTAGGGAAGTGGGGGGCAAGGGGAGGGAGAGCATTAGGACAAATACCTAATGTATGCAGCGCTTAAAACCTAGATGACAGGTTGATAGGCACAGCAAACCACCATGACACTTCTATACCTATGTAACAAACCTGCACATTCTGCACGTGTATCCCAGAACTTGAAGTAAAATTTAAAAATATATATGTATAAATTAACCAATTTTAAAAATAAATACATACATACATAGAAAAAATATGACTTGTTTAATCATGGCCACTTAATTTGCCATGTAAGTCTTAAAATAAGAGTTTTGTGACTTCTTTCTTTTATGTAATAAACTTTTTACTTTTGGAATAATTTTAGATCTACAGAAAAGCTGCAAAAAAAGTAAAGAGAGTTATCTTATCCAGCTTTCCTTAAAGTTAACATGTTACACAACCATGCTACGTTTGCCAAAACTAAGAAACCAATATTAAATTCTGAATTTTCATTAACAGTAATGTATTTGCATTCCACTAAGTTTTTACACCAACGTTCTTTTTCTGTTCCCAGTATCCAGTTCAGGATACTATCTGGCACTTAATCATTACGTTTCCTTGGGTTCCTCTGGCCTGTGGCCAACTCTTAGCCTCTCCTTGTTACTGTGTATCGACAGTTTGAAGATTACTGGTCAGGTCCTTAGAATGCTCTTTAATTTGTGTTTGTCTGATTATTTTTTTCCTGATTAGGCTGGAATTATGAGCTTTTGGAAAAAATTCTGCAGAGGTTAAGCTTCCTTCTCATCACTTCATATCAAGGGGATGTGATATCAACATGCCTCATTACTGGTGATGTTCACCTTGATCATGTGGTCAAGGAGGCGTTTGCTAGGTTTCTCTACCACACAGATACTCTTTCCCGGCTTTCAATACTCTAGTCTTGCATGTGAATCACTAAGTCCAGGCCAGGCACAAGGTGGCCTGGGAGGTAGACACTAAGGTCCAATTCCTGGAAGAGACAGTATCTATTCATATTATCTGGAATTCTTCTACAAAGAGTTGTCCTTCTTCTTTCTTTTGTATTTACTTGTTCATTTAATCATTTATTTATATCAGTGTAACCTCATGTATATTGATTTTATACTTTGGGTTGTAAGCCAATACCATGTTATTTATTTTATATCAGGGTCACTTCTATATCTCTCTGATATGCCCCATCCTTTTTGCTTTTTTGAGCATTTTCATTATTCTGGCACTTGAAAATGATACACGCTTTTCTGGCTATCTCTTGCCTCAGTGCACAGACTAGCACCTCCAGTATCATGTTGAATAACAATGGTAAGAGCAGACATCCTGTTGTTTTAATTTCTAATCTCTGAGAATGCTCTTACAACATTTTTTCATTCAATATAAAAACACCTTTCTCACATTTAGAAAGTGTATTCCTATTTCTAATATAGTGATAGTTTCTTTTTTAACAATCATAACTAGACAGTTCAATTTTTTAAAATGTTTTTTTCATGGAGAATTATGTTGATTGATTTTCATATGTTAAACTAATCTTGTATCCCTGGCCCCCAACATGACCATGATGTATTTTCCTTTATGTATATGTCACTAGACTCAGTTTGCTAATGTTTTTATTTGGATTTATTTTGTAGTTTTATGTTTTGAGACACAGTCTCACTTTGTTGCCAAGGCTGGAGTGCAGTGGTGCAATCTTGGCTCACTGCAACCTCTGCCTCCCAGGTTGAAGGGGTCCTCCTGCCTCACCCTCCCAAGTAGCTGGGATTACAGGCACCCGCCACCACGCCTGGCTAATTTTTTTGTATTTTTAGTAGACATGGGGTTTCACCATGTTGGCCAGGCTGGTCTCGAACTCCTGGACTCAAGTGATCCGCCTGCCTTGGCCTCCCAAAGTGCTGGGATTACCGGCATGAGCCACTGCGCCTGGCTTGGATTTATTTTTAAGTCATATTCAAGAGAGAAATTGTCTTTCAAGAGTTTAGAGTAACTTATTAAGAATTCAAGAGCAATTTTATTTTTTCCGATACTCTTATTTTGGTTTTGGTTGTGACCAAGATTATCTTTCCCTCATTGGAAAGTATTTTCTCTTCTTCTATTCTCTAGAATGATTTGTGTAATATGACTTCTTATTTCTTCCTCAAATGTTTGGTGGTAAAAATCATCAGTAAATCCTTTGGGACTTGGCATTTCTTGATGACAAATTGTTTAATTACAGATTCAATTTTATAATTATAGGGTTGTGAAGACTTTATATTTTTGAATGCACTTTAATAAATCATATGCTTGGAGGAAGTTGTCTGTTTTTCAGCAATTTTTGTATAAAGATTTTCATAGTATAAAGATAATTTTGTATAAAGATTTTCATAGATTTACTAGTTATTTTTTAATACCTGTATGATCTGTGGCCATATCTCTGTTTCAGTCCTAAAATTTGTTATTTGTGTCTTAATTACCTTAGAATTCATTATAAATTATTTTCATATAATTTATATTTATAATAATTATTTTTATACTTATATTTATGTTAAATATATAAATTATGTAAACTATAAGTAACTGTATAAATCATCATGTATGATTTCGTGTGTGTGTGTGTGTAATGAGTGAGACAGAGAGTGAGAATAATATAATCAACCACCATTAACCTATCACCCAGCTTCAAAAATTATCAACTCAGGGCCAAGTGTTTTATTAAAAACCCCATAAATTCTCTAATATGAACAGAGATGTAAAATTATGTTAAATACATTACAGAGATCTTTTCAAATGTTTATTGGGCATTCAGTTCATTCAATCAAGAATTGTCTTTTTCTTTTTTTTTTTTTTTAATTTTGAGACAGTCTTGCTTTGTCGCCCAGGCTGGAGCGTAGTGGCAAGATCACAGTTTACTGCAACCTCCGCCTCCCAGGTTCAAGCGATTCTTGTGCATTAGCCTCCCAAGTAGCAGGGACTATAGGTGTGTGCCACCACACCTGGCTAAATTTTGTATTTTTACTAGAGGCGGGGTTTCACCATGTTGGCCAGGCTGATCTCGAACTCCTGACCTCAACTGATCCACCTGTCTCAGCCTCCCAAAGTGCTGGGATTACAGGTGTGAGCCACCGCGCCCGGCTGAAAATTGTCTTTTTCTATTGGGTCATTTTTCTATTCTATACTGATTTTTACATAACCCATTGGGTTCAAAATTATTCTTTTTATGAACAGCCAATCTAAAATAGCATCTCCCATCTCTCACGAAGCTCTATTCTCCCACCTGCTTTAGTTCTCTCCTTGGTACTTTCTGAAATCTGAGGTTTATCAACATATGTAATGACGTATTTATTAGTGTCTGCCTCTCCTATGAGGGGAGGATATTAGTTTTGTTTTCTACAGTTACCCTGGTGACTAGAACAGGGCCTGGCACATAGACATTCAATAAGGATTTGTTTGAATGGATTAATTAACTTGATTGATGTATAATCTGAATATACTAAGCCCCTGTCAGCTATATCACATGGTTAGAGATACATGATACCTAATCCTTGCTGGCTTATGGTGTCTTTTTGCATACAGGTATGTTTAACTTTAATGTTGTCAAATTATTATAATACCTATTTTCTTATGATTGTCTACATTAGTAAATCTGTCCCCATCCTGAGAACAAGAACATGATCCTCATTCTTCCAAAGACATGCTTAATTTCGCTGCTCACTATTAGGTTTTAATCTATCTGAAACATTTTTATAAACGGTGTCTGATAAAAATCTACATTTTTCCTGAATAAACAGTGTTTGGATCACTTTATCCCATAATTTACCTCTTACTTGCTGATCTGCAATGCATTTCTTTGCACTTAAGGTTTGATTCTCTTTTGCCTATTGGCTATGTCTATGTACTGCCACGTTCTTTAATTTTCACAGATTCCTAGTAGGTTTGATAGTTTTAGTTGGTGAGTGCCCACCCACTTTGGTTCCAGTGCACGATTTGCTAGAAAGACTCACAGGACACAGACAGCTGTTAGACTCACAGCTATTGTTAATTACAGTGAAAGGATATAGATTAGAAGCAGCAAGGAAAAAGGTGCACACAGCAGAGTCCAGCACTAAGGAGGAGGCATGGGCTTCCAGTTGTGCTCCACATGACTGACCTCAACCACTCAGTCTCCAGTCAGCTGTCTGCCACCCCCAGAGGTCAAAGTGACACAATGTGACCCAAGGCCCAGGCATACATAAACAGGTGTTCACTATAAAGCATGTTGATAGCATGTGGTGTGACCCAAAGCTTCAGGTTTACAAAGTCACTCAAATCACACAGAATATTACAAAGGCTCAGAGGTTATCTCCAGGAGCCTGTCAGGGACTGTCCTGAAGCCCTTCGGAATATGCAGGGTTTGGGCAGCCCAGGCCTGCTGAGTTAACACTTTACTGCACAGTTCTTCTTTTCCAAAATTTTTTTTTTCTTGGCCCTATACACTTTCATATAAATTTTATATTTAACTTTTTTCAATGAAATACCCTGCTGGTATTTATATTTGAATTGCATTTAATTATTAAATATCTTCATAATATTTAGGCCTCTGATACAAAAACTTTGCCTATCTACTCATTCATTTTTAGTTTATTTTCTGTGTTGAAAGACAATGCTACATTTACTTCTGCATAAATGTTTTGCATATCTATGTTAGATTTAATTTTAGGTATATTGCTTTCTGTGAGTAAAGTATATACTTTATTTTTTTAAATTCAGGATATTTGCATCTCTCTCCATAAACGAGCTTGGACTATAATGCTTTATTCTCACATATTTTTATATATTTATTTCTGTTTCTTTTTCTATTCTCTAGTACAGATGATATAAGACTAGAAGTATCTGTACCTTGAATAGAATTTATTAGCAACACATCTTTGGTACTTTGTCAAAGTTAATTTTCAAGAGTTGATGTAATTCATTTAATTCATGTAGGACCATTAAAGTTTTCTATCTCCTGTAATTACTTCAGCTGGTATAAATTTTTCTAGGAAACAGGCAACTGTAATTTGCCATACTGTAGGTTGTCTAGTGGACCTGTAACTTCTGCCTGGCTCTCCCTGGCTCTTACATCTCTTCATTTCTGGAAGAAGTCAGCCACCACCCTGAGAGGACACTCAAGCAGCCCTGGGGCAGGAGGTTGTGTGGGAAGGAATGGACTTCTCAGAACCTACTTCCCAGAAATGTGAGTTAGCTGCCTTGGAAGTAGGTTCTCCAGTTCAAGTCTTTTTTTTTTTTTTTTTTTTTGCCGATGCTGTCGTTCATTGCGCGGAATGGGGGTGTGGGGGTTAATTGGGCGTAGGGGCCACGGTGGGGGCACTGCTGCCTCAGCTGGTCAGTACATTCATCACGGTGGCGGGACCCCAGCCTCGCCCCCGCGCCCGGAGCAACCAGGCCCGCCCCTCGGTGCCAGTGCTGGAGGGAGCTGGGGTGCTGCTCCCCAAGGTCACCGCGGGACGCGCGTGGACCGGGGCCGGGTCGGTTATTGCATGAGCGCGATGGGGGCAGCGGGAAGCCGGTGGGCCAAGTATTGCACTTAAAAAACGATCCTCATCGGACGGCGGGCCACCTAGAGGGCGGGGGGCGGGCGGGGCTCCACAGCCGGCTCCTCTCAGCCACTGGGCCGCCCCGTCCCTGTTTTACAGCTAGGGGAACTGAGGCACTGAGGTGAAGGGAGCCCCCTCGCACGCGAGGCCGCCGCCGGGGGCAGGGGCGATGGGAGTGGGCGCAGGGCGATAAGGGGGGACGGCCGGGGACGCGGAGGGGGCTGCCCCGCCGGCCCTGCCCGTCAGTCCAACTACGGCTACCTATGTCTTGTCTGTGGTTTCTGGGCGGGCTGGCGGCCGGGGCAGCGCAATGGCATGGCTTTGGTCTGGATGACGGCCCCGCCTCCGGCCCTCCTGGGCCCGCAGGGCGGTTGGCGAGGGTCACAAGTTGGACGAGAGGCGCGAGCGCGCGGAGTCCTGGGGGTCCAGGCCGCTGGCGGCGCCGGGTGAGGCGGAGTCCCTGCGATCCGGGCTGGGCGCGGCGGCCCGGGCAGCGGGCGTGGGTCCCAGAAGCGGTGTGGAGCTGCTGGCCGGGCGTGTGGAGGCCGCTGGGACGGGCGTTCCGTGGGGCAGCGAGGGCTGCGAGGCGGACAGTGGGCGCAACGCGCGGCTCAGGCGGCGCGAGGGCAGGGCGGTCCCAGCAAGGGGGGCGGCGGGCAAGCTGCCGTAGGGCGAGGTCCGCGGTGCCCGGGGGCTGGCGGGCGCGCCCAGGGGGCTGGCGGGGGGCGGGGGCCCGGGTGAGGCGGCGGCAGGTGCGGGCCCCGGGGGCGGGCGGCGCACGAGGCGCGGCGAGCCGAGCGCCAGCGGCCCCACGAGCGGCCGCGCCACCTGCGGGCAGAAGCTCATGACCACGGCCTGCTGCAGCGTGGCGATGGCCGAGGTGACCTGCGGCGGCGGCGGCGGCGGGAAGAGGCCCAGGCGCTGACCCAGCTCGGCCTGCTGCACCATCTCGCCGTCGTACTTGACGATCTCCTGGATGATGGCGTTCTACTGGTTGTTGAATACGCCCGAGTTAAGGTCATGCTGCACCTTGTGCAGGAGGATGGAATTCTTCTTGCCGATGCGGTCCAGGCGGTCGATGGCCACCGTCTCGAAGGCGCGCCGCATCATGGGGTACTCCTCCAGCACCTCGTTGAAGTTGTCCACGCTCAGCGAAAGGAGGCGGCAATAGGTGTTGGCCCGCACGCTCGCCATGCGGTGGCCCCGGGTGAGCAGGCAGATCTCTCCGAAGTAGGAGCCATCGAACAGCTTCATCTCCTTGTTGCCCTTAGCGAGCACGCTGACCACGCCGTGCTGGATGAAGTACATCTTCCCGATGGTGCCTTCGCGGATGAGGTAGTCACCCGGCTGGAAGACCTCGAACTTGAGCTTGGTCAGCATGGCCGTGACGAAGTTGGGGTCAGCATTGGCGAACAGCGGCATGGAGGTCACCAGCTTCCGGCAGTTGAAGTTGACAATCTCCTCCCGCAGGGGCCCGTTGAGCTCGCCCAGGATGCTGTCCTCGTCGAACATCTTGCCCTGGTAACGGTGCTCGTAGTAGTCGTGGATCTTCTGGCGGAAGTCGGCCGGCAGCTTGTGGAAGGACATGTACTGCTCCACCTGCTTGTACTTCTGGTATTGGCGCCGCGAGGAGTCCAGCGACTGGATGAGGGCAGTGGCGTGGCCGATGAACATGGCGTAGCAGGTGTCACTCACAATCATGCTGAGCATGGTCAGCCAGATGTCCGTCATGCTCTCGGGCGCCTGCCGGCCATACCCAATGCACAGCATGTGGCTCATGGCCTTGAAGAGTGCGAAGGAATACAGTTCGCTCCACCAGTGGTTCACCATGCCATTGATGGACACCCAGCAGTTGCACGGGAAGTCCTGCAGCATGGCCACCAGGAACTGCAGGCAGCCATCCCAGTGGCAGAGCAGCAGCATCATACTGATGAGGTTGCAGAACCGCATCACCGCGCTGGCCAGGTCATAGGTCATGTGGAAGATCTCCTCCCACTGGTGGATGTAGCGGATCAGGCGCGAGAGGCGCAGCAGCCGCAGGAGGCTGAGGATCTTGGTGAAGCGCACGATCCGCAGGGCGCACGCCGTCTTGTAGACCTCGGAGTCGATGCCCTTCTCCACGATGAGGAAGATGTAGTCCACGGGGATGGAGGACACGAAGTCCACCATGAACCACGTGCGCACGTACTTCTTGATCTTCTCTTGGTCCAGGATGATCTCCGTGTTGTCCTCGATCACAATGCCGGTGCGGAAGTTCAACACCAGGTCCATGAGGCAGAAGGTGTCCGAGACCACGTTGAACACGATCCACAGGGCAGTGGTCTCGTCCTTGAAGAAGGTGATGCCCACTGGGATGATGATGAGGTTTCCCACCATGAACAGCAGCATGGTGAAGTCCCAGTAGAACCTGAAGTCGCTGTACGGGTGGATGATCCAGGACCCCGCTGACTGGACGCGCTCCTGCTCGCGCTCCACGGCCTTCTGGCTGCCGAACATCCGCAGCGAGAACTTGTTGACGCCCAGCTGCAGGAGCGCGCCGAAGTGGCGCTGCATGAAGCTGGCCCGGCTGCGGCGCGGCTCCGCCGCCGGGCCGCCACCTCGCTGCCGGCCTCCTCCGCCGGCCCCGGCCCCGGCCCCGGCGCGGGCCCCGAGGCCGCCCCGGGGCACAAGAACTACACCTTGGGCCCCCGCGCCGGGCCCTCGGGCCCCGCGGGGCTGCACTGCGGCTAGCCGCGCCCGCACTCGGCCGTTCCGGCTGCCCTTGGCCGTGCTCGCCGTGCCCGGGATGCCGGGGCTGCCGCACTAGCTGTCGCGGCTGCGGCGCTGGCCCCGCGGGCCGCCCTCCTCCGCCGCCTCCGGGGGCAACGCCTCGGCCCGGGGCGGCTGCTGTTGGGGGGGCGCGGCGGCGGCGGGGCTCTCCCCGGGCCGCCCGCCGCCCCCGCGCGCGTCCATGGCGAGGCGGCGCCCGGCAGTGCGGAGCGGAGCCGCCGACCAGTTCAAGTCTTTACATGGCCGTTACCCCAGACATCTGCCTGAAGCCTCCTGAGAGCTCCCAAACCAGAAATATATATTTGAGCTGCTCCTAAGTACATGACCCACCCACAAATGAGAGATCATCAAAGATTATTGTTTTTGAAATCACTAAGTAGGGGGGCGACCTGTTATGCAACAATATATTACTAATACAAATGTTTTCTTATGATTACAAATAAAAATTGTTATTTGACTGACTTATGAGGATTTTAAAATATTAACATACAATCTTTTTTGTTATTTTTTATTTTGATTTCTAATTGCATTGCCTTACGACTGAAGAACAATTGGATAACGTCTGCATATCTTTATTGAAAATTTTCTTGTATTTATGGCACATAGCCCATTTTTATAAATGTTCCATGAGTGAATGAGAATATGTACTTTCTAATTATTTGTTGCAGTTAAATATTGACACACTTGACAAATATGTGATCACTTTACTTACCAATTTCTTCATGAAGTTCTGACTGTGCATAGTTGATATTATGTTCTTAGGTTTAGACAAAAACTGTTGTCTATTTCTGAGGAGTTGAATACTTGACCCTCATGTACTGAATGTATTTATTCCTAATGATACATTTTACTGTATGGTTTATTTTTCTGGATGGTAATAATACCATGGTGGCTTTCTTCTGATTAGAAAATGTCTGCTATATATTTTCCTTCCTTTTATATTAATATGTCTATTTCCCTATACTATACACATGTTTACTCTCAACATTTTTCTGTTATAAAATATTTCAATACGAATATCTATGTCTTTTTATTGGCATGTATTCATCTCGTCTCCATCCCATTTGTGGAGGAGAGATTCCCACACTGGGGTTATGGAAATGACTGGACACATGACACCCAACACTAGACAGTTGAGTTCACACCAGCTTATTAGTCACAGGCACACACAGCCCAGGGGAGGATGGAACCACATGATGTGGGGCCACATGAGGGCTGCGCTTGGAAACAGAGTGAACAAGCAGGAGCTGAGGGAGTCAGGCTTTGTAGTAACAAGAGGGTGGAGTGACACTTGCTTCCGGGCTCTGCCACCCATGATAAGGAAGGTTGTCTAGTGGACCTGCCACTGGAGCAGGGTGGGTAGGGGTATTATAGTTAGGCTATTCAAGGTCCTCCAGATTCTACGTATAAAGTGGCAGATAATGTTAATTTTGTGCCTTAGAAGAAACATCTTTTGATCGTTTATATTTATTATTTTACCAATACATTTAGATGTATTCCATTCTTTTTATTATATGCTATGTATTATGTTCATTTTTCTGTTTTTGCTTTTTAGTATCTTGCTGGAGAGCTATACATTTTATTTCCCTATTTTTGAAGATTCCCTTTCATATTTTAATACATATAGTTAACTATACAGTTTTAATTCCACCAGTTAACCAGGATAATTCAAAGACCTTAGGATTCATGAATTCTAATCAGCTCCCTTTCAAGTTCCATTATTTAAAATCTGGTATTTTAGCTTCACCTGGTTTTTTAAATCTGAAATTAATTATGCTGTAGTTACGAGAACTGCCATCATTTTCTATCTTTATCCTGCTAGATGGGTCAACTGGAATCCTAGGTGGAGGGCCTGCCCTTCACAGCTGCCTTGTGTTTGCTTCTGCTAGAACCCTGTGGTGACACAGTGATGGCCACCCTGATATCCCTTCAGGAGTAAAGGGCTTATTGCCCCGAGACTGACAGTGCTGCCAGCAGAAGCCCTGGACAGACAGTCCTTTCAGGAGTAAGGACTTACTGCCTGCCCCATCTGACAGTGCAGTCAGGTGCCAGCCCTTCCGACATGGCCCCACCACCCAAGGTCATGGCCCCCTCCCAGAGCATCCCGAGACTGATTCACTTGGAGCACTAAGGGCCTCGCCTCTCGCCCTACTCCAGATAATTCTTAAGAGCCACGTAATCTTTAGAACTCCCTGCAAGGCTGGCTGAGTCTTGCCCTCTTCCTCGGCCCAGTCCCAGTCCTGCTTTCTACTCCTCACTTCCAGGTGGAGATTCCAAGAGCATTCCCTCATCCCTCTCCTGCATGTCAGTCTCTGTCTCAGAGCTTGCTTCCCACAACAATGTCACAGTGGTATTACCATCCAGGAAACAATTCCTATCAGTGTCTTACTTTGTCCACTCCCAAGCCACAAGGAGAGCATGAATTCACACGTGAATACACTGGAGGCATCAGCCTTTGCCTATAAATTCTTAGGGGAGACTTTACCACCTAGAACCTGCGATCAGTCAAACAGGCTCTCTGTTGTTTCTCTGAACCCACAGGAGGTTGAATGTTTTTCTAGTCTCTGGCTTACTGGGAGGGAGGGGCAGTGTCAGCATATAGGACAGGCTTACTGTGGATCTAGGTCTAATTTCTACCTGATGCAGCCCAGAGCACCACCTCCTACTATAAAACAAAGATGTCAGTGAGGTCCACTCATGTGCTTTACAGTTCTGGTTTGCAGATTCGTCTTAAAATGTGGTCTTGGGACTTTGTTGGAATTTCAGCTCTCCATTTGAAACTGTTTGCTACAGTATCCAGTACTTCTGAATGTTCTGCACTAGGGAGATACTCAATTATCTGCTCTGCCCTATTGCTGGGAATGAACATCTTCTCATTATAAATGATGTAAGCATTGTTTATGCATTTTTTATGAGCTTGATTTGTGAGATTCGTCCTTTCAGAGACCTATTCTTGTAGGAACTGGTATAATGAGGTTTCTAAATCTAAAATGCATAGAATCTCAGGCTCTGCTGCTGTGGAAACTCCTCCAGGTACAGACACAATTGTACAGACAGTGCAGCGCAGCTAATATCCTCATCTCAAAGAGATCCGTTTAGTTGAACGCATTATCTACCAAAGAAATCAGGCCCTTGCGTTCATTTGATAAAGGAAGTCCCACTGGATTGCATATTTCCATCTTTTTCTTCTAAACTCTATGACTCCAGAACCGGGCTCAGGGCCTGGAAATCATAAGGGCTTAACATAGTTATTTTGATGAATTTTTTAAGAAGTGATTTTCCTCATTCTGTACTTTCTTCCAAAGAGTGAAAAAGAAATCGATTTTGCTGAGTTTTTGGAATAAATCAAATATGTTAGATATGGTTTTTCTACCTTATAGAGGAGTAACAGTACCATGGTTTCTGAAAACTTGAAACAGCACAGAAGTGGCTGCTCTCAGCCTAGACAGGAGTTCTCCTGAATATTATCTGTGAGTAATGACCTTCAAGTTCATATGAATAGCACTTTTCAAATGGGCCCTAAAACATTCTTCTTTAACTTTAAAAAGACTTGGAAGTAATATTTCTCTGAATTACTGCACTGCACAATGAATGTCTTTCTTTGCCAGTGAAGGGTGTCTCTGGACTAAATAATTTTGTTTTGCACCAAAAATAAATGTATTCTACTAAGGAATTATATTGGAGTACATGTAAATGCCTAGCTTAAAAAGAAATGGCTCACATTAAGGTAAAAGCTCATAGTTTAAAAATTAGACTTCCACCTTCTTGTAAGGAGTAATGCCGCATCCTTTCCAACTGTCCTTTGATGAAGAAGATTAGCAGATGAATGGATACAACTCTTCCAGCTGAAAGAATCCTTAGAGGTCATTAAAGGGAACTCCCTACCTAATATGAGTATTGACATTACAATAGATAACAAAGAATGGGCTTGGGAGGAATCAGACATGGATTGTTTGAAACCAGAGCCATCCCTTCTTGCCTTTCTCTGTGCTCGGCTCAAGATTACCATCAGTAATTTCCTCTTTCCTTTCTTCCATCAAGACAAACCTGATCTGTCCTGTGCTACACTTTCTCAGTTCTTATCAGGTGACAGAGTGCTTCATGCTAAGTTGCTAATAGTTTTTCGGTTTTTTTTTTTTTTTTAGATGGAGTTTCACTCATCTCCCAGGCTGGAGTGCAACAGCACAACCTTGATTCACCGCAACCTCCACCTCCTGGGTTCAAATGATTATCCTGCCTCAGCCTCCCGAGTAGCTGGGATTACAGGTGCACACTACCATGACCAGCTAATTTTTATATTTTTTAGTACAGCCAGGGTTTCGCCATGTTGGCCAGGCTGGTTTTGAACTCCTGACCTCAGGTGATTCACCTGCTTCAGCCTCCCAGAGTGCTGGGATTACAGGCGTGAGCCACTGTGCCCAGCCAGTTGTTAATAGTTAATAATACCTTGATCTCATACCACTTTCCTGCAGAATGTTCAAGTGAAACATTAACTTTATTTCTAATTTAAAATAGAGATCTTTGGGGCTTATGTAGGCTATTATATAGGGCTGAATCAGATAATTTGGTTTGATGCTCTTTTTAATGCTCCCAAAGTCAGAATGCCTGTACTCTACCTGTGAGGCTAGTCCTGACGTGGCCTCCAGATGGACTACTCCAGAAAGGTTTTCCTTCATATCATTTGCCAGTTATCTGAATCCCTCTGTCTTGGGATGAAGATTGAGCACACACTCAATGCATTAAACACAAATGACCTAAGTGAGCATTTAAAAGCTGATCTTGGCAACTTTGGTAATGCTGGGAGTAATGTCAATTATTTTTAAATTATAAAATTATAAAATTACTCTGAATGTACCACACTGACTTGCTTTTCACTACAACATTCTAGAAAGCAGCGTGGATCAAGGCTTTTTCTTTTGCAGAATCTATCAAATTTCAGGAGGGAGAGACATGAAGGACCCGAGCACAGACTGGGGTAGACGGTGTCTCTGATGGGTCCTGGTGATTCCTGCCTCCTGGTAGGCAAGCCCTCCCCTGAGTTTCAGCTGGACTTAGTGACTCACTTCTAACATACAGAACACAGCAGATGTCACTTCTGAGATTAAGTTACAAAAAGGCAGTGTCTTTTGCCTTGAGCACTCTCTCTTGCTCTCTGCTCAGTCTGAGGGAAACCAGCTGCTATGCTGTGAGCTTCCTAATGGAGAGACCCACAGAGTCAAGAACTGAGGTGGCCTCAGCTAATAACCAGCAAGGAGCTGAGCCCTCTGTCCAATAACCTGAAAGGGGCTGAATCCTGCCAACTCTACAAGAGTTAAGTTTGAGTGGCTCCTTGCTCAATTAAACCTTTAGACAAGATTACAGTCTGAGCTGACAGCTGGATGGTGACCTTGTGAGAGATTCAGAGCTGAAGATGCATCCAAGCCATATCCAGTTTCCTGGCACACAGAAACTGTGAACTAATGGTGGTTTTAAGCCTGTATGTTTGGGGATGATTTGTTGTGCAACAATTGATACCTAATACACAAGGTAAAACATATAGAACTATTCTGATTTAATCTTTTCTTCTGGAACTAACAGCAAGAGGAAACCAGTTCTGGTTAATAAAAAAGTTAAGAACTGATGTGGCCAGTTAGCAATTTTTTTGTATTTCTTTAAAATATTGCATGTCTTAAGTATTGTATGTGCTTATCTCAATATAAGGCAAAATACGTTTACAATTGTGTTTTAGAATTCAGGCTTCACAGCCAACACCCAGGCACCATGGTCAATGATTGCTTTGGACTCTAAATGAAAAACGATTGAATGTTAAGCTTGCAAATGCAGCATTATAAGATATCAATTGTGGCAGGCATCAGAATTCTCCTGTCTCTAACTTAAAATTGGGGGCTCAGCATAGCTCCTCCCCCATTTTTTATACTCTTAATCAGATACAGTCATCAATACTTTTCTAAACAATTATTTGAATTTGCTCTGCTTAGCAATACCTATTACTAGACCCTCATCACTTGAACTCAAGTAAAAAAAAAAAAAAGGGAGAGAAAGATATCTTATGAGCACCTGTCAAGTACGAGGTCCTACACCTGATATTTATAGAGGCAAAGATGGAGTGGTCTAGTGTCTATGCTCAGATAAGCGGCTGCAAATTAGGGATAAGTAAACACTACACAATGCATCTAATATGAGGCAGAAGATGTCCAATGCCACAGAGACATACCAAAAAAGTGACATGAGGTTTCAAACCAGAGAGACTTCAGAGCTAATCGAGAAGATCAGAGAGGATATGTGAAGGGTCTCATGCCCAGCAGCTTGGTGCCTTGTCAGCTCCACGCAGGGATGGATTACTCTGCAGTCACATGAGAAAGTGGCCCAGCTTCTCAGGGAGCATCTCTTCTGAGGCCATGTCTTCTTTTCTGTTGACACCCATCACAGTGAGTTGGTCTCAGGTCCATCTTTGACCTGCCTGCCCGAACTCCTCATTGGATATGAGGTTCTGTTTCCCCAGTACTCTGGGACCTGGTCCCATTTCATTCCCCACATACAGTGTTGTGCTTGGTCATGGAGGGAACAGGTAGGCCACACTTCCCAAGCCAGCCCCATCTGGTTTCCCAGTCCTGAGTTCTCTGCTTACTTTGGAAGGCAGCTCAGACAGAGTTGACATTTGTGATGAGGAATGGGGTAGATGGCAGTGTAGAGGGAGATGCTCAACCACCTTGGAGTGAAAAACACCAGGCACACAGCTTAAAGCTGGAGGTATGTAAATACTGTACCCTCTTCTTTGTGTTCAATCTAGGAAGCTTCCAGGATCAAATATCATGGTTTACAGAACTGTCCTTGCAATTGAAGGTTTTATGTAATGGATAGTGTTTGTTTCTAGGAGAAGGTCTAAAGGAATTTGCCTCTATGGCTGGTTTTATCCTCTGTAATTTAGGGGACACAAAAGGGGTACTTAAAAATGCATGCTTTCAGTAGATTTTATTTAAAATAATCTACATAACTTTGGTATGCTGGGAGGCAAACAGGGGGTCTAACTGCACTTTATAAAGTATGGGATGGCAAAAGATGAAAAAAATACCAGCAGTTTTCCTCTTGGACTCTAATTGAATTCACTCTTTTGCAATATAGGTCATTATAGTAACAGCAGGGGCTGTGGAATTATGAGAGTGGAGAAGATATTATAATTTTGAGATCCTTAAATTCATGGTGAATAGAGTTTTCTTTCAGTCATATTTGGTGAGGAATATATTTGACACCCAAGAGAAATTTGGAATATCATTAAGTCAATACATTCTGTGAAGACCAAAATTCTTTTCTCTATTATCATGGAGTCTTAGGACAAAAAAAAATTGTGAGAAGTCAGAGGATGGAATAGATTTTGGGAGCAGTGTGAATAACGGTGCTATATTGGGAAAGAGTAGATTAGGGTGAGGATTGGAATTTAAAGATCTATTGAAGGGAAAAAAAGACATCACAGGGTTATCAGTTTAATAGAACTGATCCAAATATCAGAAAAAAAAATGATCAGACATGGTGCCCAGTATAGAATGAGTGAAAAGAGGATGATGAAGATAAGTTATTAGGAGGCTACTGTAATAGCTCAGGCCAAAAGAATGAACATGTATTACTGTGCCTGCCTTAGTCCAAAGATGAGCAATGATCTCTAAGACCATTTAGTGTGCTAAATTGAGAAGCCAGTAGGAGACAATTTTGAACCATTACTAAGTTATTTGAGCTTTCGATGAGAAAAGCATGCAATTCCCTTACTCAGGTTATGTTGGGATTTGAAATGTAGACTGAAGTATTTCTAGCTTCCCCATAATCAATTTCAATTTTGCCAAGCTTTGAGGCGATGGGAATTCAATGAGGGTCATTAATCCTGCTGAGAATAAAGCAGACACAGTCCACAGAGTTTCAGGCTGCTTTTCTGATTGTGTGTAGACTCAGCCATTGTACATAGGCCATGGTCCAGCCAGCTGCACAGGAGCTCCGTGGAGGCCCAAAGGCAAAGTGAGAAAGTAGGTATCAAAAAAATTGGGATCATGTCTTTGTTCCAGCCACTGGGTCCTCAGCCCCGTGGGGCATGGTTGTCCTTCTCCTCTGACCAAAGCACATGTGCACTGCCAGCCTCTGGTTCAGGGACCTTCTGCCCTGGTGAGCTCTCACTCTCTGGGCTACTGAGAAGCTGTCTGCAACCATCATGTACCTGTTTTTAGTTGTGACTGCTTTGCTGGATGAAATGTTCGGGCATTGATATAACCTCAGCGAACAGTAAGGCATAATTTGTTCATACCATGTCCTCCTTATTAGAACCATCAGAGAACTGTGAGATCTCAGAGTTAGATATCTATGCTTCTTTGGGTCTTAAAAACCCTTTGAATTATATGAACAGTGATATTTCCTACTTACACTAACTGCTAGGAAGTTCTGGATCTGTGTGTTCTCAGTTCTAACAAAGTGTCCAGAACCTGAGTGGATACTTTATTTTTTTCTGTACTCATTTGCCTTTTTCTGGCTTTATTTTCCTGTCCTTTTTTTTTGCCCTTTTCCCATTTCTCTGCTTTAATTTTTTTTCTGAATTTCAAGTCCTCGTTGAAAATAAAACTGGTGATACAAAATTATGTTTACAGAAAAAAGCAGCCCTTCAGCTTATTATACTTTTATTTTGATGAGCACCAAAATATCTTTTTCTTCAAATCAATACATGAGGCTTTTTTACTTAACAAGTTATTTCCTAATTTGAGACATCCGTTCTCACATATGATCATCTTTTGCAAGTTAAGTCACCTACACTTATTTATCAGCTTTGAGAAATCTCCTCCAACCACAGTATTTCCACGATGAAATGCACATTTTCATGAAACACACATCTTTTATAAATGTGCTGTGATCTGCAGCCATAAAATGGCCATCCACAGTTATTGCTTTGCTACTGAGCCCGTCTGCACCAGCACCTCCCCTGACCATCTGTTGCCCAAACCCATGCATCCTGCGAAGGCATTTGTTCACATTGCTTCCTGTCAGCCTCCAGCCTTCTCTCCTTCTGTCTAGTCACAACCTTGTCATGAGTTCTAGTGCCAGGACAACTGTAGAACTATGATCTGATTCCAGGGCCCAAAACGTCATGGTAAGCTTGAGACCCCTGATTGCCACTCTTATGGAAGCCCCATTGGCCACGCTGGCATCTTGTATTTGTGGACCACAGGGTATAGAGATTAAACCATCTCATTAGCACCCTCTTGTGAATAGAAAAGAGAACCCCAGAGACTGGAGGGAGAATCCAGCCCAGACTGAGGGATGGGCAATCCTCAACCAGCCTCCCCGCAGCTGGGATTCGAAATGTAGACTGAAGTATTTCTAGCTTCCCCATCATCAATTTCAATTTTGCCAAGCTTCGAGGCAAAAATGGACACTTTTGTCTGTCCAGACACAGACACTTCTCCATAAGCATCTTTGGCAAAAGGAACTTCAGGATCAATTTTCTTCACATATGCATGGAATTGGTTTGAAAAGAGCCACACCTGTTTACCCGCAATGCAGCTAAAAAAGAGCCACATGCAAAGAAAGAGTGGGATATAGTGAAAATACCATGGGATCTGGTATCAGTGACCCTGGAGCCTACCACGGCAGAGTCTGAGCTGGGGGTGTTGGTTTCACCATTTGAAAATATGGCTAATAAGGTGTTCCTTATTTTTTAAAAATGCAAGGGATAATGTATATAAAAGAATGATGAAATGTTTGGTTTCATATTTTATGGTGCTTATTTACATACTTATTATTCCAAACAAGAGGTTATGCTTTAAAATCTGGAGAGGTATTTCCGACCTGGTTTCTCCAAACTTATTACTTTTATGGAGAGGAGAAAATAGGAACCTATCTTATCTATTAAGATTGTAAATTAAATCAGTACTTGATACCCTCAGTAGCAGATTTAATTGCCCATATAAAAAGAGAAGGTAAGTTTTGACAATAAATGTAAATGTAAACAAGGTCATCCTGAAACATCACAGCATTCTGGCACAGTTATTACCTATATTGATTATTTTGTTTCTGTGATAGTTAATTTTATGTGTCAGATTGGCTAGGCCAACCTACTCAGCTATTTGGTCAAATACCAGTCTCGAAATTGCTATGAAGGTATTTTTTTAGATGAGCTAAACCTCTAAGTCAGTAGACTTTCAGTAGGGCAGATTGCTTTCCATGTGTGTGGGGGCCTCATCTAGTCAGTAAAGGCCTTCAGAGAAAACAGACTGGAATTCCCTGGGAAAGAGGGAATTCTGCCTCCAGACCGTCTTCAGAGTCTAGATGCAACTCTTTCCGGGGTGCCCAGGCTTCTGGCCTGCCCTGCAGATTTTGGACTTGCCAGACTTTATGATTAAAGGAACAAATTATTATATAAATTATGAATATAATTCTTTATATGAATCTCTCTTTATCTCTGTCTCCTGCTCTTCTCTCTCTCTATAAATAATATATATATGCAGTTATCCATATACATATATATACACATATATACATTCTGTGAACATATATAAACACACACACACATGCACACATCTTATTGGGTCTGTTTCTCTGTAGAACCCTGACTAATACAGTTTCCCTCCTTTTCCCCAAGAACAGGAGAAACTGAACTGTGAGTGGAACAAGCCACAGGGAGACAAGAAATGCTGTCCCCTCACCTCTCTGCTCAGCGTCTTCCCAATGGTAGTAAAAATGTTTCCCTGCTCTGCAGATGAGCTGCTCAAGCTCCCTGGTGGGTGCAGGGGAGCTCCACTGCCTGTGTGTGACTGTCTCTCTCTCCTCTGTCTTTCTTTCCCTTCCCCACCCACTTCCTGAGTGGGAGGCTGGCTCATCTTGGGGCGGGTGGACCAGGGAGATGCCCTGTGGCAATGGCCTGTGAAAAGGCAGGGGTCACACGCACATGGTGCTCTGAGCTCTGGGAGGAAAAGCACTTCCAGCAGGGGAGAGCAAGTCCAGGCCCCACTCCAGAGCTGGCCATGTCCTCTGGCTATGTTTCATAGCCCTAAGTAGTGTTCAGATTTCATTTAGATGAAAACAAACTTTTGACCTAATTGATATTTATTTAGATATTCATTTCATTTATCCACTTGATCCTTTGGATTTGGAGCCTAGCAGAGTGTCCTTTCTCTCCAAATCACCATCATCACTAACTGAGGCAGAAGCAACATGCCAGCCAAGTTGGTGGCCTCCCCACAACAATGGCTTCCTGGTGCTGCAGGTGGAAGGGAGCTGGAAGTACCAGCATTCATTCCAAATTCACACACTATCGAAAGCCCACCGGAAAATGACTTGCTCATAAATTACCCTGAATTTGTGTTTTAGATAAGATGTGAGTAAATTATAGCTATTATCTATTTTCACTGTTTCTAGTGTAAGTGAATGATAAATCCTCCTCCTCCCTTTCCTCTTCCTTCTTCTTTTCTTCCCCCCCTTTCTTTTTTCTGTTTTTGGAGACAGAGTCTCACTCTGTTGCCCAGGCTGGAGTGCAGTGGCACCATCTCAGCTCACTGCAACCTCTGCCTCCTGGGTTCAAGTGATGCTGTGCCTCAGCCTCCAGAGTAGCTGGGATTACAGGCGTGTGCCACCACGTCCAGCTAATTTTTGCATTTTTAGTAGAGACAAGGTTTCACCATGTTGGCCAGGCTGGTCTCAAACTCCTGACCTCAAGAGATCCATCCACCTTGGCCTCCCAAAATGCTGAGATTACAGGCGTGAGCCACCATTCCCGGCCTCTTCCAATGTTATAAAACATGGTATCACTCATTTAAGCTTCTAGAGCTAGTTGTCTACACACCTTCATTCATTTACTCAGCAAATAATAATTGAGGGTCTGCCACTTTATCAGATACTATTAGACCCCATAGTTTTCATCACAGGCCAAAAAACCAAGTTTCCTTGGTTTCCAACATTCTAACTGATCATGGCAGTGGCGGATACAGAAGAACCAAAAACCCCAAAATGTACCACATGAGATCATAAGTACTCTAAAAAAAAGAGGAGAAGAGAGAACAGGTAAAATAAGGTCATGTGGGAGGTGGGTGTGAAATGGTGATGAGTGTGGGCCTCCCTGAGAAAGTGACATTTAAGTCAAGACTTGCAGGAGGTAAGGGCTGTGCCCTGAGGATCCCTGGTGAAGAGCAGTCAAGGAAGAAGGAGCAGCACTCACAAAGGTCCTGAGGCTGGAGAGGAGGTGCTATAATCCACACAACTGTAAGAAGCAGGTGTGGGCCTACGCAGAGGATGGAGGGAGCTAACAGAAAGTGAAGATGAGACTGTAGCTTCAGTCTGAGGGAACATAACGAGCCACTGCTTTGATCACTGGAAAGATCTTTGCCACGACTTCAATACTCTACTCTAGGAACCAAATTTTGAGCCTACTTTGGCATTTGTAGGAAGAATGTGTATCTTTTCCTTTATTGCAACTAAGGCAGAGAATTCTCTAACTCTAGGAGAAGAGCTCATGTCCCCTGGCATTTTCCTGACCCCAAGCTGAGATGCTTGGCATGAGTTAAGAATGGAAAGAGCTGTTTCACTAAATTTGTACCAAACATTGGGTGTTGTTTTGGATCCGTGGAACAGTGGGTGACACCAGCAGGAAAAGAAGAATGTTTTTCCCACTGGAGGTTGGGACCCCAGATGAAGCAGCAGCTTTAATCGGCTTTGAATCAGCTTTGAGTAACCAGTGAGCAAATCCATGTGTCTCTGACCAGGGAGCTGTTCATGCTGCCTGGACCTCCTATATGTCTGAGTGAAAGAAGACAAAACAAAAGAAAACAAAACAAAGAAACAGAGAGAGAAGAGGAAGATAAAGTGTGAGTTCTAATGAGCTTTATTTTTCTAGGAACATGTCTTTTTCATATACATTTTCAAATGCAAGATACAAAATTGTATATAACATCGTCTTACCATTATGTAATGTTTTAGAAGACTATACTGAATTCCATGTATTATTTCTGTCATTGGTTGTGTCCTTGCCCCTTTTTCCTCAGTCAAGCTCACTGGTATTTATCAATTTCATGAGTAATAAGATTGGTATTATTCTTTCTTATATATTTAGCAAAATTTACTGGTGAAGCCTCTAGGTCTGGAGATATTGCAGAAGTAATATTTTTAATTTAAAAATGTATTTTCTAGGCCTGGCATGGTGGCTCACACCTGTAATCCGAGCACTTTCGGAGGCCAAGGAGGGTGGATCACCTGAGGTCAGGGGTTCAAGACCAGCCTGGCCAACATGATGAAACCCCGTCTCTACTAAAAATACAAAAACAAATTTGTCAGGGATGGTGGTGCATGCCTGTAATCCTAGCTACTTGGGAGGCTGAGAGGGGAGGACTGGCTGAACCTGGAAGGTGGAGGTTGCAGTGAGCCGAGATCGCGCCACTGCACACTCCAGCCTGGGCCACAAAGCGAGACTCCATCTAAAAAAAAAAAATGTATTTTCTTATTAGCCATTGGATTATTAATGTCTAATATGTCTTAGGTCAGTGTTGGTATGTTACATTCAAATTTTGAAAGGAACCACTTTTGGCCTTATTGAACCTCTCTATTACATGTTGTTTATGTTAATTAATTAATTAATTAATTAATTAATTTTTGAGACACAGTCTCGCTCTGTTGCCAGGCTGGAGTGTGGTGGGCAATCTCAGCTCAATGCAACCTCTGCCTCCTGGGTTCAAGTGATTCTCCTGCCTCAGCCTCCTGAGTAGTTGGGACTACAAGCAGATGCCACCCTTTTTTTTTTTTTTTTTTTTCTGAGATGGAGTCTCACTCTGTCACCCAGGCTGGAGTGTAGTGGCGCCATCTCAGCTCACTGCAACCTCTGCCTCCCAGGTTCAAGCAATTCTCTGCCTCAGCCTCCTGAGTTGCTGGGATTACAGGTGCCTACCACCACACCCAGCTAATTTTTTGTATTTTTAGTAGAAATGGGGTTTCACCATCTTGGCCAGGCTGGTCTTGGAACTCCTGACCTCATGATCCACCCGCCTCGGCTTCCCAAAGTGCTGGGACTACAGGCGCGAGCCACCACATCCAGCCCAGTGCCCAGCTAATTTTTGTATTTTTAGTAGAGACAGGGTTTCACCATGTAGGCCAGGATGGTCTCAATCTCTTGACCTTGTGATCCGCCCGCCTTGGCCTCCCAAAGTGCTGGGATTACGGGCATTTATATTTTTCAGAGTACCTGTAGGAAATACATGGAACATGCAATTTAAATTATTTGAGAATAATAAAAGGACTTTTACGCAAGTATGGGCCAGGGTGGGAAAATCACAGGGATGGATAATACAGTATCCTGAGAGGTGACGCTGGGGTTATAATTACAACCTCTGGGTCCAAAAGGGCAAGGGAAGGAGCAACTGCAGAAAGCCAGCGCCAGAGGTCTGGCAGAGAGGGAGGCCTGAGAGGAGGCAGTTGGGCTGTCCACGTGGAGAGAGAGTGGGAGGAACCAATGTTACGGCCCCACACTCTTACCTTCTTCCAGGGCACCACAGAAAGCCCAAAGATGAAGTAGCCCACAGATATGGTCAGCCTCCCAAAGGGCAGATGTGAATTGAGAAAGGTCAACTGTAAGTCTGGAGGGGCAAACAGAAAGTGCTCAGCACAGGCTCCTCTTGCTCCTCTGTCTCCATACTTTTTCCAGGTAAAAACTCTGTGTCCTCAACACAGGAAAGGCAGCTTGACCATTTGAGGTAATGCTGATTCTGTCATATGCCCATGTAAAACATATACCCAGACCAGCATTCTCTAGCATACCCAGATGGATAACCTTAAAAAGTACTTCAGACACTAAAAACACTAGAACAAAGACTAAAGGATTAATGAAGATCAAAGCAGGAAGCCCAAAGTTTGACTAAAACGAGTTCCCAAAAGAGAGAACAAAGAAAATGGAGAGGTACAAATTGCCTAAAACAATGGATAAATGTATTTCAATGTTAAAGAAAGACAAGTGTCTTCAAGAAAAGGCCCACCAAGCTAAAAATATAAAAGAAGAAGATACAAATTGACCTTCATCTAAAGATAATATCATAACAAAAATATTCTAAAAATCTTTTGAAGAGAAAACAAGAAGGGAAGCTATAAGAAATTATACAAAGCTTGTCATTTGAGAGAAAAGCCACATTTTTAGTTGGAAAGTTTTAACTGTTAAAAGTCAGCTGTCTTGAAGTTAACCCAAAACTTTCATACAAGCACAATAAAATTGAAAGGTGATTTTAAAATTCATATGGAATTGAAAATATAAAAATATGCATGAAGCAATTTTGAAAGCAATCTTGCAAATCCAGGCCTTAAGAAATAAGGACTAATTAAGTCCTTATTTAAGAAAGAAGGACTTTTTCCTACCAGATAAAATAATAAAATGTCAAAACCTACTACTGAATTCATTAATTTTCCATAAATAAGTTTATGTAAAAACCACATATTACATAAAGTGTATTACTTTGAAAATACATTCTTTCAGTCTCCCATTTCATAAAATATATGTAGGATGGCAGGTATTCAAGGGTATTGTAGAAAAGATAAGAGACACTAAATATCATTACTGCTGTATCTTGATGAAGTAGGGGGTATCATGGCTAATGCATATGGCTGTGCCGGTCACACACTGCACAGCTCTAGAAGAGGTCTATGTGATTAACACTTCCTAATGTTTTTAGTAGACAGTTTGGCCTGTAAGCTGTGATGGCCCTGAATGAGGTCATCAGCTAAAAGACGGAGAGTATATCTCAGAATCTTCAACAATAGATTTTAGGTCCTATCATTAGTGGTTTAGGAGCATCCTTACATAAAATAAGACTGATGCCTCTGGCATCTTCAATTCCTTCACAAGCTCCAAGGAGGAAAATGAGGCTAATGTGCAGAATAAGGCAGAATTAAGAGAGAAAGCAGAGTGATGTTCACGCGGTGGTGGAATAAGAGCGTTCTACCATTATCGCCTAGCAGAAGCATCAAACTTGACAATTATCTATAAGAGCACTTTTGTGGGGTCCAAGAATCCAGCAGATAAAGTTTTAGCACGCCATCAGAACAAAAATCTGAGAATAGATGCACTGAAAAAGATAAGAAAAACAGTTTCACTTTACCTGCATTACCTTTCCTCCAAGGCATCATAGCTCAATGCCAAGAGAGATCATTGCAGTCCATGATTTCTCCTGGTGGGTGGGGAGAGTGCAAGCATGGTTCATGAGTGCCCAGCTCCCCCAGCTTTGTAGGATACTGAACAAGACACCCACTTTCTCATCTTATCCAAACTACAATGGTGATTGGTATGGTTTAGTGGTTGGAAGAGAACAGTGACAGGGAAGAGAGGTGGGGATCTAATTTACTGCTCTGTGATTCCATCAGGAAGTGCATCTATAAGGCACTTGGAACACATTGTGTTTGGACCCCCTGAACTGGTGCATGGGCACTCAAAATGTTTGGCACAACTCGCTCCCAAGATTGGTTCCCTAAATGCACCTGCGTGAACAGCAAATGCAAGCACTTCATGCAGGTATCTGTATCAACTATGCAGGGTTGGAGGAAGACACACAAACTTGAGCATTTCAGTGCACCACTCTAGAAAATCAAAACAGGAAGCTCTCAGCCCTGGCCTAGCTTTGCAAGATTGAAAGAAAGTGTATAATCTTAAGCATTTCCCTCCCCCAAAATGGATAAGAAGTGTGGAGTGGGTGAATCCACAGAAAAAGTCTGAGAGAGCCTCATAATCACTAACCAATCTGGTTGGTGAAGGTATTTATAGTAAGTAAAAACTGAAGGAAGTTACTCCTTCTTCAAATGGAAAGACAGCAGCAGAAGACTTCAAGAAACATGAAAAATCAAGAAAACTTGATTTTTCCCAAAGAAATTGAGATCTACAAATTGCCTGACAAAGAATTCAAAATAACTATTTTAATGAAGCTCAGTGAGCTACAAGAAAACATAGGTAGACAACTAAATAAAACAGAAAATAGGAATCAACAAAAGAATTCCAATGAATAGATAGAAATCATGAAAAGGAAACTGAACAGAAATCCTAGAGCTGAAGAACACAGTGAATGGAATTCAAAAAATGCAATAAAAACACCAACAGACTTGATCAAGCAGAAAAAAGAATCTGTGAACTTGAAGAAAAGTCATTTGAAAATATCCAGTTAGAAAAGGAAAATTTTTTTTAAAAAGAATGAAAAGGAATGAAGAAAACCGATGAGATTAGTGGAACACCATCAAGACAGCTAACATTTGCATTATGGATGTTCTAGAAGAAGAACAAAGACAGAAAGCGGAGAAAGCTTATTTAAAAAAATTATGGCTGAAAACTTCCAAAGTCTGGGGAGAAACCTGGACATTCAGGTATACAAAGCTTGCAATCTGTAATAAGGTTCAATCCAAAGAAGGCCTCACAAGTCACATTACAGGTTGAGCATCGCTAATCTAAAAACCTGAAATCTGAAATGCTTCAAAATCTGAAACTTTTTGAGAACTAAAATGACGCTTAAAGGAAATGCTCATTGGAACATTTCAGATTTCAGATTTTCAAATTAGGGATGCTCAACTGGTAAGTATAATGCAAATATTTCAAAATCTAAAACAATCTGAAATCTGAAACACTTCGATTCTATGCACTACAGATAAGGGATCCTTCACCTGCATAACGAATTGTCAAAAATTGAAGACACAGAAATTTGAAAGCAACAAGAAAAGAGGCTTGGCACATACAAGCAAACTCTGATAAGACTATTAGCAGATTTCTCAGCAGAAGCCTTACAGCCAGAAGATAGTAGAATTATATAGATATATTCAAACTGGTAAAAGAAAGAAAGATACTGCTAACCAAGAATATTTTACCTAAAAAAGTTGTTCTTCAAAAATGGAGATCTAAAGCCTTCTAAACAAACAAAAGCTGAGGAGTTCACCACTTTAGACCTGCTTTATAAGAAATGCTAGAGAGTTCTTCAAGATAAAATGAAACAAGGCTAATTAATGACATGAAAACATATGAAAGTATAAAACTGACAAATGGAAGTTTATCAGAATACTCTAATAATATTCTAATACTCTAATAAATTCAGAATATTCTAATACTGTAATGGTGTGTAAATCACTTAAAGTTTAAAAACAAAAGTATTAACAAAACTGTAAATACAATAGTCTGTGGATACATAATATTAAAAAGATATAAATTTTGACATCATAAACAAAAAATAAGGGGTGTAAAAGTATAGAGATTTTGTATGTGATCAAAGAAAATTTGTTATAAGCTTAAAATAGACTTTTATAACTAAAAGGTATTTCCTGTAAGCCTCACGGTAACCATAAACCAAAAACCTCTAGTTGATATATAGAAGAAAAAGAGAAAGGAATCAAAGCATACCACTCATTACAAAAAAATCATCAGTTCACAAAGGAAGATAGCAAGAGAGGATGAAACAAACAAAGAATCTACAAGGCAACTAGAAACCAATTAACAAAATGGCAATAGTAATTGCTTACCTATCAATAATTACTTTAAATATAAATTGCTTAAATACTCTAAAGATAGACTGCTCAATGGATTGAACACACACACACACACACACACACACACACAATATGGTACCTACAACGGATTCACTTAAGCTTTAAGAACACACTTAGAGTCAATGTAAATAAGGAAGGTTATATTCTATGCAAATGGAAACCAAAAGAGAGTAGGAATAGCTAAATTTATACAAAATAAACTTTAAGTCAAAAACTCTCGTAAGATACAAAGAAGATCATCATATAATGATAAACAGGTCAATTCATCAGGGGATATAACAATTTCAAATATATATGCACCTAACATTACAGCACTTAAATTATATAAAGCAAATATTAATAAATCTGAAGGAAGAGACAGACTGGATACAATAATAGTAGAAAACTTTAATACCTCACTTTCAACAATGGACAAATTGTTCAGATAGAAAGTCAATGAGAAAATATTGTAATTGAACTGCATTTTAGACAAAAAGAGGGCCTAACAGACATATACAATGCATTCTGTCAAAAGGCAACAGAAGACTTTTTTTCTTGTACATATAAAATTATTTCCAAATTACTTTAAGTATTAGGCCACAAAACACGTTTTAACAAATTTAAGACGATTGAAACTGCATGAAGAATATCTTCTGATTACAATGGTATGAAACTAGAAATCAATAAAAAGAAAAACTGGAAAACTCACAAATATATGCAAATTAAACAACATTCTTCTGAGCAACCAAAGGGTAAGTGGTAAATTTTCCAAGAGGGAAATTTAAAAAGATCTTGATACAAATCAAAATGGAAACACAGCATACAAAAACTTATGGGCTAGGCCGGGTGTAGTGACTCATGCCTTTAATCCCAGTACTGTGGGAGGCCAAGGTGGGCAAATCACCTGAGGTCAAGAGTTCGAGACCAGCCTGGCCAACATGGTGAAATCTTGTCTCTACTAAAAATACAAAAATTAGCTGGGCATGGTGGCATGTGCCTGTAATCCCATTTACTTGGGAGGCTGAGACAGGAGAATCACTTGAACCCAGGAGGCGAAGGTTGCAGTGAGCAGAGATCATGCCACTGCACTCCAGCCTGAGCAACAGAGTGAGACACCATCCCAAAAATAAATAAATAAATAAATAAATAAATAATAAATTATGGGCTACAGCAAAAGCAATTCTAAGAGAGAAACTTTTAGTGATAAAATCTTACGTGAAGAAAAAAGAAAGATATTAAATAAGTAAGATAACCTTATACCTCAAACACTAGAAAAAGAAGAACAAACTCCAATGTTAGAAAGAAGAAGGAAATCTTAAAGATCAGAGCTGAAAAACATGAAGTAGGGACTAGAAAAACAACAGAAAAGTAAACTGAGTTGTTTCTTAAAAGACATACAAAATTCACCTTTTGCTGGACTAAGATAAAATGTGACAGGACTCAAATAAACAAAATCATAAATCAAAGTGGAGACTTGAAAACTAATACCACAGAAATAAGAAGGACCATAAGGGTCTATGATGAACAATTATATGCCATAAAAAAGATAACCTAAAAAAGTAGGTAAATTCCTAGAAACCATATCTTACCAAGTCCAAAGCATGAAGAAATGGAGAAACTAAACATACCAGTAATGATTAAGGATATCAATTTGGTTGTTTAAAATCTCCATCAAAAAGAAGTCTATGGGCCAGGAACAGTGGTTCATGCCTGTAATCCCAGCACTTTGGGAGGCCGAAGAGAGTGGATCACTTGAGGTCAGGAGTTCAAGACCAGCCTGGCCAACATGGTGAAACCCCGACTCTACTAAAAATACAAAAATTAGCCAGGTGCGGTGGTGCACACCTGTAATCCCAGCTACTCAGGAGGCTGAGGCACAAGAATCATATGGCTTCACTACTGAATTCTATCAAGCATTTAAAGAAGAATTAATGTCAGTATATCCCAATTGCTTCAAAAAAACTGAAGATGATGGACCACTTCCAAACTCATTTTACTATGCCAGCATTACCCTGATATCAAAGCCAAACCAGAACACTACAAAAAAGAGAAAATCACAGACCAGTAACCCTGATGAAAA
This sequence comes from Homo sapiens, assembly GCF_000001405.40. NCBI lineage: Eukaryota > Metazoa > Chordata > Mammalia > Primates > Hominidae > Homo > Homo sapiens. The sequence goes on along the minus strand of NT_187660.1, from coordinate 2,487,525 downwards.
CAGATCCAAATATCTTCCATAAAAGACTAGAAAACCAAATTCAATACCGCATTAAAATGGCCACAGTTCTACAGGCTGTACAAGAAGCATGATGCCAGCATCTGCTTCTCCTGAGGGCTTTTGTGCTGTGTCAAAACATGGTGAAGAAGGTAAAAGGTGAGGCGGGCATATGTGAAATGAGAACAAACCCAAGGGGTATCCTGGATTTGTAACAACCTACTCCAAGGGGAACTAATTTATTACCCCAAAAACCAATCCAGTCTTGCAAGATGAGAACTCACTATTGCAAGATGGCACCAAGCCATTCATGAGACCCCAAACACCTGCCATGAGGCCCTACTTCCCAATACTACCAAATTGGGAATCAAATTTCAACATAAAATTTAGTGGGGCCAAATAAACCAAATCCATATCATACCACCATGATTAAGGAGATTTATCCCTGGGATGCAAGAATGATTCAACATACAAAAATCAGTAATTGTGATATGTCACATTAACAGCATAAAAGATAAACAACATATCATCATCTCAATAAATGCACAAAAAGCATTTGACAAAATTTGACATCCTTTCCATGATGAAAAAACGCTCAGAAAGGCTCACGCCTGTAATCCCAGCACTTTGAGAGGCTGAAGCAGGAAGATCGCTTGAGCCCAGGAGTTCAAGACCAGCCTGGGCAACATAGTGAAACCCTATCTCTAGTTAAAATAAACAAACAAATAAGAACATATTTCAACTTAACAATGGCCATTTATGACAACCCGACACCAACATATTTAATGGTAAAAAGCTTTCCCCCTCATATGAAGAACAAGGCAAGGATGCTCATACTCGTCCCTTTTTTCCCACATAGTACTAGAAGTCCTAGCCAAAGTGATTAAGCAACAAGGATCAATAAAAGGCATACACATTGGAAAGGAAGGCATACAACTGTTTGTTCACCGACATCATAATCTTTCATACGGGCATACTGCATTTTATTCTGCTTCACTTTATTGTACTCTGTAGATATTGCAGTTTTCCTTTTTTTTATTATTGTTTTTTGTTTTTTTTGTTTTGTTTTTTGTTTTACAACTGAAGGTTTTTGGCACCTCTGCATTAAGCAAGTAGATCAGCACCATTTTTTTCCAACAGCATGTGCTCACTTCATGTTTCTGTGTCACATTTCGGTAATTCTCACAATATTTTGAACACTTTCCATGACTTCAACACATCAACCTTCCGTCTCAAAAGAAAAGCATCCCATGCACAAACACACCATGTCCAAGGTTGTTCTGGGCTTGTTCCCACGTTATTTTAGGAGCCTAGAATATCTGCTTTTCACCAGTCCTAATCTGACATCTCCAAAGTCCAGTCTCCTACCTTTCTAGATTTCCCTCAAAGTTGCAGTCCCTTGTTTATTATTTTGTGAGGGGAAGATGAAAGGGTTCATGATCTTTACTACAATGGCTTCCTGACCCACAGAAAAGGTTCAATGTTTTCTTGCACTTTATTCTACCTGAGCTAAACTGCATAAAAACATTAAACTCTCATTCTTTTTTTTTTTTTTTTTTTTTTTTTTTTGAGACAGAGTCTTGCTCTGTCATCCAGGCTGTAGTGCAGTGGCGTGATCTCAGCTCACTGCAAGCTCTGCCTCCTGGGTTCAGGCCATTCTCCTGCCTCAGCCTCCCAAGTAGCTGGGACTACAGGCGCCCACCACCACACCTGACTAATTTTTTGTATTTTCAGTAGAGACAGGGTTTCACCTTGTTAGCCAGGATGGTCTCGATCTCCTGACCTCATGATCCACCTGCCTCGGCCTCCCAAAGTGCTGGGATTACAGGCATGAGCCACCATGCCCAGCCTAAACTCTCATTCTAATTGGACAATTTTAAGAAGTATTTTACTCCCAGACTTATAAAACAAGCCTACAGCCAGGCACAGTGGTGCACGCATGTAATCCCAGCACTTTGGGAGGCCGAGGTGGTGGATCACTTGAGGCCAGGAGTTCAAGACCAGCCTGGGCAACAGAGCGAGACTCAAACTCTACAGAAAATTTAAAAAATTAGCTGGACGTGGGGCACCCGCCTGTAGTTCCAGCTACTCAGGAGGATTGCTTGAACCTGGGAGTTCAAGGTTGCAGTGAGCCGTGACCATGCTACTCCACTCCAGCCTGGGTGACAGGAGACCCTATCTTAAAAAAAACAAACAAAAACAAGCCCACAACACTACTTCTTTAGTTCTGAAGCACTGTAAAGTATATTTTAGATTAATAATTTCCAAACCAAGAAAATGAAAGCCTATATTAATTATAAGACCCCAAACAGAAAAAATCTTGTAAAACGATCAAGACCATAAAATTCACATACCTTCTATTTGGTCAATGCAGAGACACAGATCTTTGTTCCGGAGTTTGAATTTAAATGCAAAGCTTCAGAGCCTGAAAATGTCTAAAATTAGACCCATGACTGACAACTGGCCTAGGCTCAATGTCTTTGGAATGTGCTCTACTAAATTTGCTACCATTTGAATGTGTTCCCTCCAAAATTCAGGTGTTGCCAATGTGATGATATTAAGAGGTAGGACCTTTAGGAGGTGATTAGGCCAAGAGGGCTCCTTCCTCCTTAATGGGATTAAGGCCCTGATGAATGAGGCTTCACACATTGGACTAGCTTGCTCTCCTGCCCTTCTGCCTTCTGCCTTCTACCATGTGAGGTGGCAACAAGAAGGCCCTCAGACACCAAATGTTGGTATTTTCATCTTGGACTTCCCAGTCTCCAGAACTGTCAGAAAATAAATGTCTGTTCTTTATAAATTACCCAGTCTCTGGTATTCTGTTATAGCAGCATAAAACAGACTAAGAGAAAATTCCTTGATGATTTTTCAACAAGAGACAGTGTCACTACTTCTGGTGAGTAGTCCCTAACATGTTCTCAAATTCTCCTTTTATGCAAACATAACATTTTTTAAACTTAGTAGTTCCTTTTCCTAAAAATAACCAAATACAGGTTAAGGACTGATTAGTATTAAATATAAGTACAACTTTGGTGCTAAAAGTTAAGAGCTTTTGTTTTCCAGAAAATCAAATCCAAAGAATTCAGATAAAGCAATTTTCTCAAAGATGTATCATCAGTTAGAGGTAAAGCCAGAGGTGAGAAATTATATTCCATTCCAAATACAATGTGCTTTCAATTATTCCACATTAATAGTAGTTTACAAAGGAGATTTAGAGAATTCCTCAAATCAAAAATGACGACATTTATGAAATGTCATTCTTATATAAAATACCTACTTCAGCCATCTCCTCTTCTTCCTCTTCCTCTGAAGTCACTTCTTCTGTTGTCCCATTCTGAAACAGAGAAAGAATCTGCCAGGGCTACACAGGCTGAATACAGGGTGAGTCAATTAGAAGACCGGTGCCATAGCTTTAGGGACAAACTCTCAACCATCTGTCACTGCAGTGCCACTAGCAGAGAGCTTATTAAAATTAAATGTTTATTTTTAAATCCAACTTTGATTTGACAAACAACAGTTATCAGCTTTTAAAAACGGAACAAAGAATAAAAGAATTAGGAATAAAGAAAAGCAATCAGTCAAATACAAAGCAAAACCGAAAAAAATGTTAAAATGTAATCTAATTTAAAATAAGAAAACATTTTACTTACATGGCTATGTGTATAAGATCAATGGCTTATTTTGTTTAAAATAAATATCACAAACTATCCATTCCTTAAAATAACTACCTTTTTAACTTTGAAAAGCCTGAATCATTACATAAATTCAATTGCCTTACATTTTAAAAGATCAGATGTGTTATTTATAGACACTTGACAAAACTAAGAATTATGAAATGATTACCACCTTACTAAAAGGCAAATTTTAGTTTTAAAAACATGTTATTTACTACAAAATACCTCCCTACAAGACAGAATTTACCAACTGACACAATTTACAATGATCAAGTTTAGAAATGAATTTAATGGGGTTTTAAGAAGGGCCTTCATACACAGTTTGGGCAAAGTTCAAAAGATAAGCTTCCTGGCCTGGGCACAGTATATAAATGCTTCTTTAACCATGAAGGCCAGTACAGGTTAAAACCCAGAATATGTAGAAGATCAAAAAACTAGGATTCAGAGATCAAGTAAGACCAACAAAGGTCTCAGCAGTATCTAAGCATCTGTTCTTAGATACTCTGATGGAGTAATTCTTAAGAAAAACAAACCCATGATCACAGAGGGTATTAGAACTCTTCTGGATCAGTCAGCTGGAGAAAGCCATGTAGATAAACATACCCATGAAGAATTAACTTATATTTGCTTTAAATCTGTATCTCTTTAGACATTCTTTGTCTTCTAAAAACTAAATGGAAAAAGGAAGCAAGCAGCAGCTTCCAAAATGTAATTCAACCCTTCTTCATTTCCCTAAATTGTTATACTCCACATTAAACTATTCTGGGTATCTAAAGAATATATTCTTAGCCTAAAAGTCCCAAAGACTTTGGTTGCATCAGTGATTGAAAGAGCATTTTTGAAATGCTCATTTCAAAGCATACCCAGAGAATCTGTTTTTGGTTTTGTTTTTTTTTGAGACGGAGTCTTGCTCTGTTGCCAGGCTGGAGTGCAGTGGCACCATCTCGGCTCACTGCCACCTCCGCCTCCTGGGTGCAAGCGATTCTCCTGCCTCAGCCTCCCAAGTAGCTGGGACTACAGGCGCGTGCCACGATGCCCAGCTAATTTTTGTAGTTTTAGTAGAGACGGGGTTTCACCATGTTGACCAGGATGGTCTCGATCTCTTGACCTCATGATCCGCCCACCTCGGCCTCCCAAAGTGCTGGGGAGAATGTGTTTTTAAAAAGCTCTCTGAGGTGATTCTGACACGCATCCACATCTGTAACCATCAGCCCAGTTACTATCCTTCATTTTGCAAATGATAAAGCTGAGCCCCCACCCCTCAAAAAGGGTAATTTAATCAAAACAAAAAGTGAGTTAGGGTTGTAAAATCCTAAGATGAATTTCAAGATGTGGCCTGGTCCTCTTTCCAAAATCCCACCAAAATGACAGTATTTTACTAAACAGAATAAGTCTGACACAGCAGCAGAAAAATAACAGATACAAGGAGAATACCCTTAGTGAACCAAAACTACAGGGACATGCCGGAAGACACAAAGCAGATGGAATTAGACTGCTGGGCTTGAGAAGGCCACAAACCCAATCCAAATAATGGAGGGACCACTTTTTTCCAGAAGAATCTAACATTCTTTACCGTTCTTGTCCCAACTACAGTTGGTAAGAATCACCCTCCCATATAAGAAGCCTATCTTGATGGCCTCTTACTATGAGTGTGAAAACCAGAGGGAAAAGACAAAATGTTTTTTAATATAACTCAACACAGCAGCAAAATCTTAAAACAGACTCCATCTCTGCCTTTTAACTCAGGAGCTAGAAAGCTCTCCTGCCAGCACCTCCCCATCCTAGTGTCACAGGCGGAGCATGGGTCTGCAAACCAGGAGAGGGAGGCCACAGCAGAAAAGAATGACAATTCTGAAGACACTTGTGATGGTTAATACTCAGAGTCAACTTGATTGGATTGAAGGAATCCCAGCACTTCGGGAGGCAGAGGTGGGTCATTTGAGGTCAGGAGTTTGAGACCAGCCTGGCCAACATGGTGAAACCCCGTCTTTACTAAAGACACAGAAGTTAGCCAGGCGTGGTGGCGGGCGCCTGTAATCCCAGCTACTCCGGAGGCTGAGGCAGGAGAATAGCTTTAATCCGTGGACTGTCAAGAGACGTAGGCTGCAGTGAGCCGAGATTGCGCCACTGCATTCCAGCCTGGGCGACAGAGTGAGGCTTTGTCTAAAAAAAAAAAAAAAAAAAGTTGTTTTTTTTTGTTTTGTTTTGTTTTTGTTTTTTGAGAGAAGTCTCGCTCTTATCCCCCAGGTTTGAGTGCAATGGCTCGATCTCGGCTCACTGCAACCTCCGCCTCCCGGGTTCTAACGATTCTCCTGCCTCTGCCTCCCAAGTAGCTGGGATTAAGTAGCCTGCCACCACGCCGGGCTAATTTTTGTATTTTTTAGTAGAGATAGGGTTTCACCATGTTAGCCAGGCTGGTTTCGAACACCGAAAATCTTAAAGGCCTTTGCCTTTCCCCGCCTGGGCTCAAAAGCCGCCATTCCCCGCCCTGTCGCGGTCCCCGGAGCAGGCCGGCTGACTGAGGGCGACCATGGGTCCCGAGAGGGCTCCCGCCACCGCGGGCTCCCACCTCGGGGGGCGGCGACGGGGGCTGAGAGGGGCCAGTGGCCCCCAAGACAGCCCCATGCGAGGAGCCGGAGAGACAGACGCGCCCGCCGCCTCCTCCCACCCAAGCCTCGCGCAGTCCCGGGGCGGGCCGGGCCAGTTGCGGGAGAAAGGGGCGGGGAGCCTCGCCGGGGCAGGTTCCCCTTTGTCCCGGGACTCCGGGCACCCCCTCTCCGCCCTCTTCCTGCCCCGCGAGGCCGCCGCCGGGCGCCTCACCTCATGTTGCAGTGGAGCGTGAGCCGCAGCTGAGCCTCCTGGTTCTCGTGGAAGATAGACGCCAGCAACTTCAGTTTGGCCTTGAATCTTGACACAGACATCTTCCCCTCATCTCCGGCGGGAAGGGCGTGGAAGGGGAGCCGTCTGGAGCCGCTGTCATGGCCACGACCACCCCGCGGGGCCGCCTGGCCGAGCTCTTGTGAGCCTAAAGACCCGCCTCTTCCTGCAGCCTCCACTCTCCTGGGAGCGCGGCTGGAAAATGGCAAGGGGCACCAGGTCTTGGCGGGAGCTGTGTGGCGGCCTGGGGGGCTGCTCCCTTTGTAGCCGACTCCACCGACAGGAGGCGCGGCCCCTGTCAAGCCGCAGCTTAAAAGGGCAACAGGACAACAGAACCACCGCCCCCGCTACCGCCTGGGAAAAGGCTGCCCCTACCCCGCCCCCGTCCCCGTCGCCCCTACCCCCTCGGCGCACCCTTTTCCGCGGGTGCACAAGTCCAGAGCGTGCGCGCGCTCCCGACTGCCCCCTCCTCCCTTGACCCAGCACCTTTCTGCCGGGCACAGGATCCCGGGGCTAGACTGCCTGGGCTCAAGTTCCAACTTAGCCACTTGCTGGCTGTGAAATACTTGCTTTAAGCAAGTATTTAAGCCTCAGTTTCTTTCTTTCTTTCTTTTTTTAACTTAATCCCAAATGTGATAGTCTCAGTTTGTTGATCTGAAAAACAGAAATTATTTAGTGAGAGTCTATGTGAAAACTTTAAAGTTTTTAAAGCCACTGCCTGGCTCAGGAAAGTCCTCAGCTTTAGCTGTTAAAGTTTTAAAAGCCACTTTAAAGGTTTTAAAGCCACTGCCTGGCTCAGGAAAGTCCTCAGCTTTAGCCTTTATCAGCTATGATTATTATTGTGTTGGCTACACGTGCATTGAGGCAGGAAAATGCTCAGGGATAACAACCAAGTATGCAAATTATCTCATCAGACCCAGCGACAGGCATATGTGTGCATGCTCATGTTTCAGCTCAGAGCCCTTTGTCTAGAAGGCTCTTGAACTCAAGAGGCCCAGGCACTATCAACTTGAATTTGCAGTGGAGCCATCACTTTTGTTGATCAATGAAATTGACATAACGCTCTTTTTTTTTTTTTTTTTTTTTTTTTTTTTTTTTAACACCAACCGTGTGCCTCGAGCTAACTGTGTCAAGAAAAGCATGCTTCAGTTGGCTGGAGTGAGCAATTTAACTTGTGGAGGAATGAGAAACGTTAGTGTTGAGAATAGAAACATAAAACCCCAGGGTAAGGTAGGAACCTACCTGAGAACCTTGGGTGAGTCATCCACCCTTTGGGGGCTCCCTGTGCCTCAGTGGAGTGAAGAATTATCCCTTCCTCGCCTTGCTGCCTCCTGGGAAAGTTGATAAGAATCAAGTGAAATTAAGACTGTCAGGCTGTCATTGTCATCCCTATCAGGGGAAGGGTCCTCTGGGGCCTGAAGGGGCTTTGGGTAAAGCACAGCTGTGTTTTCTCCAGGGACCCACCGTGTTCCCATCCTCCCCCATTGTGGCCCAGCCACTGCCTGTGCAAGTGTCACCCAATCCTTCCACAGGCCATCAGAATTCCACTTCCACCCAAGAGGGGAAAGGACACATTGGAGGCAGCACAGACATTAAACACGGTATTTTCAGAAGGAGCAGACATAACCTTACAGAAGTGCTTTATTTTCTGTAACTAGATTTTGTTTTACTGGAGGCAGCTTTGTATAAGGTTCAGGCGTCTCTTGGTCCATTTTATCAGAAGGAACCATGGGGGTCATTTCATCCATCCCTTTTCATCTAAGCAGCACTACATTCCAATCGTGAAGGCATAAGCTTTCCCTGTCAAGCAGGATGCTGCCCCAGACCCTTAGCATCAGGAAACCCCAAAGTCAAACCTGAATCCAGCCTGCTGAATGAAATTTCAGTCCCATCCTCCCTCCTTCTAGCAAAAGAAGGTTTGGGGGAGATTTCAAAACAGAAGCACTTCTCTCCCCAGGGAGAAACCGAAGAGGAGCAGCAGGTACTGCTCTTCAGCCCACACACCCATCTCAGGTGACAGGTCCCCTCCTCAGTGTGGGGCGACGTGGTGGGGGTAGGTTACCGGAGTGTAGCAGAGTGGGGGGAAACCCCTGGTGCCCTCCTGCTGAGCATCTGACCTTGAGCCCTTTACCCCAGCTCCCCCTTTCCATCTGAAGAACAGTGAGGGATCAGCAGACCTGACTAGAGGGTCTCAGGCATGGGTCCTCTCCCCCAGCCCACACATGAACACACGCACACACCCTTCCCAACACCCAGGTATGCAGATGCACACTCCCCCACAGGAGGAGCCGCCCGGAAATCCCTGAATCAGCTTTTCTGCCGTCCAGGGTCTGTGACAAGCGAGCTGCTGCCCTTCTGAAGAGAGGCTCCATGCCGGCCAGGAGCCGCGGCTGCTGCAGCACTGCAGTCCCCGGCTTCTGGAGTAAGGTCTCTGTCTTGGGGCGGGGGATGCCTGGAGGAGGGGAGGAAGGGGGATTCACTGCGGGTATTGGGAATTTCCCAGTTCCCCAGACTCTGTGGGGATGAGAAGCCCTGGAAAGCCCTGAATGACTGCCCCTCCCCCCCAACACACATGCACACAGGATTTTTGTGTGTGTGGGTTGGTGGGTGAGGAATGTCACTTCCTGGGTCAAACACCAAACTCGAGTCCTGGTCCTGAGTGTGCAGAGCAGAAGGCAAACAGAAAGCAGCTGCATGGAGGGTGAAGGAGAGGCTGAGGGGAGAGGGCGAGGGTGAGGTGGAGCTGGGAAGGTCAGGGGCAGTTAATGGCCAGACAGCAGCAGAAATTCCACCTGGCGAGCTGGGGCCCCGAGGTCTTATCGGGTGAGGTTGGGGGTTGAGGGTGAGGCCCAAGGATGAGACTGAGGCACAGGAGTGCTGCCCAGGCTCTCGGTTCTTCCTGCCCCTCCTGGTGCTCACAGTGGGTGTCAGCCTCGCTTTTCCCAAGTGGGAGAAAGCAGATCTGCGGAGGTGGGAGGTGTTGGGTCCATGGCAGAGCCCTTCTGCTGGGTTCCTATCTGAGAGCAGGCAGAGGGTCCTGTGCCAGCAGACGCTCTTCCTCCTCTGCCCCAACCCCGTACCCCTGCATCCCTCTTTCTCCCCTCTCCAGGTGGCCGGTGAAGAGCCCTGGCACCAGCCTTGACCTCACCCTCTGGGACAGACTGAGGCAGGGGACCGCGGGCTGCCGGAGCCCTCGGGGCGAGCTCCCCAGCTCCCCTTCCCCTCCAGCATCTGCCTTTTGTTCCACCTCTCTTCTCCCTCCCTTGACTCAGGAAAACCTTCATCCCTATCTCCTGAAGCAAATCGTTTCCCTCCCACCCCCGCCCGCACGCCGTTCCCTACAGCCAGGGGGTCCCCTCCCCCCCGTCCCCTCCCCCAGCCAATCCCCGGACCCGAGAGGCTGTAAACTCGGAGCTGGCGGGTGGGGTGGGGAGTGTTGCAGGAGTGCACGGAGCTGGCGGGGACTCCTCAGTAGAATCGGGGGAGTCCCGTAGGGCTCCGGGGGCTCGGAGCCGGCCCCGCCCTCCTCAAACTTCTGTAGGACCGCGCCAGTTTAAACCCCTCTGCCCCAGCCTAGTCCGTCCCGCACACACCTCCCCTTCCCCTGTCGCCCATTTCCCCCTCGGCCGGCAGTACGGACTGCAGAAGGGGGGCGTGGGCGCCAGGAGGCGGCCTCTCCCGCAGCGGGGATTGCCTGGGGCGGAGGACCTGCGTCGCGGTTTGCGGGGATCGCCTTCGGAGGGGCCGCACGCGCTGTGTGCAGGCGGATGTGAGGAGCATCTCAAGAGGCGGGTGGGGGAAGCGGGATCAGGTTGTTACTACTGCAGAGAGAGAGAGAGGAAGAGAAGAGAGAGAGGGAGAGACTCGAGAGCGAGCGAGCGCGGGAGCGAGGGCCGCAGCGGCAGGGCCGGCGGGGAAGTGGGAAGAGGGACCTGGACTTCGGGACCCCAGCCGCCCCCGCCCCCGCCCTCTCCACCAGCTCAGGCTGAACGCGCCTGGAACGTCCCAGGGTAAGAGGGAACCCCAGGCGGGGCACCCCACGAGGGCAGCCAGTAGTCCCGAGCGAAGCCGTGCCTGGACCGACAGTGGCCACCTCCAGGGCCTGAGGCGCGGGCGGACGCGGGGTCACCAAACGGTGACACTCCGACTTTTGGGGCTTGGCGCTCACCGCGGGATAAACTAAGAGTAGGACTGAGCCCGCGGTGGGAACTGTAATCCGGAAATCCATGGGCGTCGGAATTACCTGGCTAGACCCCGGGGAGGTGTCCTGAATTATCTCGGGAACCCCTCGCCCCCAACCTATTTCTCCCCGCGGAGAGCCCGGGTTCAACGCGGAGAGAAGGCGAGAGAAGCCGCGGTGCCTTAGCGCTGGGACCGGGGACCTGCGGGGAAGCAAAGGCGACTCGCCGCAGAGAAGCCGTGGGAAGGGCGCGGGGAGGTGCATGAAGTGGGCGTGCGGAGAGAAGTGGGTGCTGGGCGCGTGGGACCCCGCCGCGCCTGCTTCGCTGAGGAGGAGCTGGAAGAACATGCTCGCGCGACCCTGGGGAGCCCCTGGCGCAGAGTGGGGTGTGCCGGAGGCACCGGCGGTGCGCAGGACTGGCTGCCTTTCTGAGCGCCCCTGCCTTGCCGCAGCCGTCCAAGGTTGAGATGAGCGGCTGTATTTTCTACCCCTTCCCTCTCCCAGGAACTTTCCCACACTTTGACACGCGCCACGGCTCTGTGCATTGGAGGAAGCAGGCTCCCGGGGATCCTGGCAAGCTTGCAGAGGCCCGGGTGGGCAATGGGAGGGGGCAGCTGGGCAGTGGAAACGAGGGCCCTACTCAGTGTGCTGTGTGACCTTCGACAAGCCGCTGCACCTCTCTGAATCTCAGGATGATGGAGGCACATGGTAACCAAGACAGGAATGGGGACGAGGTGGGGGAGGGTGCGCGGGGGAACAAGCTCATGGGCACGTCTGCCCCAGCCTCTGCACCTGGGAATCGCTGCCTTTGGTCACTGGCCTCTCTTAAGTGACTTCAGTGCTCACTTCCGGGGCAGGGGGTGGCAAGGTGGAGCTGTGAACCCAGCGCCCCGGGGAGAGTCGGAAAGCTTCCATTCTGACCTGTCCTATGACCTTGGGCAACTCACTGACCCACTCTGGGCCTCAGTATCTTCATCTGGAAAATGGGGTTTGGAATTTAAGGTATCTGAGGTTTCTCCCAGTCCCAACACCCTGCAGGTGTCGCCCACTGAAAGGTTGGGGATGGGGTGCAGCTGGGTAGAATGACCTGGCCTCTGGGAAGACTGTAGCTCCCCTACTGCACCCCCCATCCCAAAGTAGCAGGGCTGTGACACCCTCAGCCTGTTCATTGGTCATCTCTCCCAACTCTCAGAATCCAGCTGATGGGGAGAAAGGCGGGCTTTCCAGCATTACACATCCTCTTTGCAGAGGGCAGATTCTTTCCTAGGGAAAGGTTCGCTGTGACAGACAGATGACCATAGGTTAAAGGGTGATGTCAAGGACCTCACAAGGTCATGCTGTCTGCTCTCTACCTCCAGACAGGGCTGCATTCATCTCAGATAAGGAAGATCTGAAGGAATTGTCTCGTTTTAGAAAGATCTCCACTACAATAGCCTAGAGCACCCCACTGTGCAATGTGACAGTCCTTGCCATAGGAAAGTCTAATCTAACTCCTTTTTGGGATGAACTCTGGTTCTGTCTTCAGTTGAGATGAGACAATAACTTCATACTGGGCATTAGGGTGTTGCGGACGAGTCCGAGTTTGAGACAAGAGAGCTGAGTTTAATTTACAGGCTCTGCCTCCAATTTTGTGACCTTGTGTGACCTTGGGCAAGGCCCTTTCTTGCTTTCCTCCCCTGTACATTGAGAAGGTAGAACTAGTTAACTTCTCAGGCCCTTGCAACCCCACAATTCTGTGGCTGCAGTTCTGGGCTGGTGTCTGAGTAGCAGGAAGTGGGCTTGGCTGGGTGATGGGAGCAGGTGGTCTCCAGGAATTCCCAATGCATTGCCCTCCCACTTCTGTCACCAGAGTCAAGACAACTTGAGACAAATACAGTATATGAATTTCAAAGCCCGGCACACCCCTGGAGGGAGTCCCCAGGAGACCTTGGCTCTACTGGTTATTAGCTGTGTGACCTTGAGCAAATTACTTTATATCTTAGAGCTTCAGTTACTAAGTAGTCAAAACAAAATGAGAATAGTGGTGGTATTTTAGGGTTTTTATGAGGATTAAACAAGAAGCATATGTAAATACTTGGTCCAGTACTGAGCTAAGTCCTTAGTGAGTGGTAGCTATTGTTAATAATAATACAAGCTGTGTAGCAAGCAGGTGGCAGGGCAGCTGTGAGCAGTGGCCATGGGGAGCAGGGAAAGATTGTAGATTTGCAGTGTGATCTTCCCCTACCATCTTCAAAGCTTCCCTACAAAATGGGAACATCAGCACTATCTCTCTGTCTCTCTCTCTCTCTCTCTCTGATCATTAGGACCATTCTGCATTAGAAACTTCATGGGAAACAGAGAGACTGCTTGACTTTCCAATAATCTCACACCTGTTTTCCTTTGGTTCTCCCTTCCCCACTCTCTGCCACACCTCTGGTTATGATAAAATGGGCCTTTTACTCCATTCCCCGAACCTTCTAGGAAGGGACCAACTGAGAAGCAGAGAGGGGTAAGGCCAGATGTCCCTGGAGTGAGTGGCTGAAGGCATGTCTACACCCAGGTGGAAGGAGTGGCAAAGGGACTGGCTCAACCTGGAGGGGGACTCCCAGGACCCCATGGCCGGGACCGAGGTTTACCCTAGACTTGCTGTGTGACCTTAGGCAAGTCGCACGCCACTGTGGACCTCAGTTTTCTTGTATGTGAAGTGAAAGCTTGGTTTAGATGACCCAAAGTCCTTCTGGCTTTGTTGATCCACGACCCTGCTGGCTCTGCTTTTGCCGAGGCTGGGTGGGGGTGGAGGGGGTGGGAGGTTTGTTGGAGTCATTCAGGCTTTGGGTGTTCACTGCCCTGTGATTCCAGTCCTGTAAGTCAGCTTGGGGAGAGGCGATGACCTCCCCTTCTCAGTAAGAGCGCTGATGGTTAAGAGCAAAGTCTTTGCAGATAGATACATCTAGGTTCCCATCTTGGCTCGCTCCTTAATATCTGTGTGAATTCAGGCAAATTACCAACCTCTCTGAGCCTCAATTGTCTCATCTGTGAAAAGGGAATATTGCCAACCTGGAATAGGAAGTCCATAGTGTGATACTGACTAATGCACAAGGAATGGGTTTTTGAGGTTCTGTGTTATCACAGAGAGGGCTCAAGTTAGAGGAAGAGCAGGGATACAGTTCACAGTCCTGCAGTTGTCACCATGCACACAATCCCCCAAAATGCCCCAATGTCCTGTGTCGTCCTCCTGCTGTGCACTGGCCGCAGGCTCCAGGAGTTTGCATGCTCTGGTCTTCATCATGGGACCTGGAGAAAGGAAGAGCTCAGCCACAAAGGCCAAAGGCCAAGCAAGCATGAGTCTGAGAGGAGTGTGGCTGACAAAAGGCTCCTGATGATGAAGGAACACGAGCCAGCGGCATGGCATCCCTCCATTCAAGGTTAGTCATGAGGAAAGGCTGTGAGATGCTGCCTTGGAGAAAAGCTGAAGGAGCGGGGGACATCGCCTTCCGCAGGGATGTGTTAGATGAGTGCCACGGCAGGACGAGGCACTGAAAGGGGCTGTGGGATCATCTCATCCAGCCCTCTGTTTTGATTATGGGGAAACTGAGGCTTAGAGAGGGGGAGCTCCTTGCCCAGGATCACACAGCATGTTAGTACCAGCGATGGAGCTTGCCAGCCCTTGTAGAACCTCAATGCAACGCTCTTTCCTTCCTCCCTGTTAAGCACCAAGCAGTTATTTTCCATTTTTTCTGAAATCAGAGCACAAGGTAAAATGCCTTGACTGCAGCAGAAAGGACATGGGTCCTGATAGGAAGGAACTTCCTGATCTAGATACTGAGATCATGGGGTCCAACCTTCCCATTTTGCAGACTAGAACATGGAAGCCCAAGAAAATTAAAGAACTAGCATAAGGTGACCCAGTATCAGACACTTGAATTCCCAGGCCTGAGCTCTCTCAGTTATGCCAGCTATGCCACGCTGCTGCTCTTGAGCCAGACAGGGCAGCAGGATAGCCAAATGTGAAAAAAATAAACCCAGATGGGCTTGGGGAAGGGAGGGAGGACAGAAAGACAAAAGACCAAAAGACAGAAATATTACTTCCAAGACCACACTTTTCTTTCTCAGCTTGTCTCAGTTGGCCCCTGCTCCCGCTGTTGAGGCTGACAGCTTGCTTTGCCCTCTGACAGGAGAGAGGAGGGAGACAATAGCCAGCCCCATTGGTCTCACTTCCATTGACAAGGCTGAGTGAAAGAAAGTCAATATTTGCCCAGTAGCAAAGGACAGGGAATAAGTGTGACTTGGGATGGGGCGGGGTAGGGGCAAACAGGGTAGGGTGATGGGGCTTTTGTGATTGCCGTGTTGCTCATGGAATCACAACTTAGCAATTTAACAAAGGGTGCATTTGGAAGCAGAAGGGTTTCTAGTAGATGGTAATGTGGCTATACTGCAGCAGGAAGGGCTCATGTGAGGTGCAAGGAAGGACTTCCTACCAGGGAATTGCCCGCTGTTGGCAGTCCTGAGCTGACTCGTGTGCCCCTAGTCCATGGTTTTTGGTTTTGGTTTTCAGGTTTTTTGAGTGAAAAGGAAGGCTGCAGTGTGTAGGGCCTCGGGTGTGAGCACTTGACTTCTAAAGGAGCTTTTGGATTTTCCGCATTAAATAACCCTTTGTACCTCAGAGTGCATCCAGCCCCATTAGCAGGCACCATCCTCCTGGAAACCCTGATCCCTAATAAACTTCCCTTATTGTTTGGAGCTGACACCTCCCCAGCTTCCAGCTCCCTGGAGAAATGGAACTCTTAAAGCTTTTGCAGAAAGGCCTCCGAGCAGATGGCCCATTGAGCGGATCTCTCAGGCAGAGGCTGCAGAAGCTGCAAGAAAGGCTGTGTATATACCCAAAGGATTATAAATCATGCTGCTATAAAGACACATGCACACGTATGTTTATAGCGGCAATATTCACAATAGCAAAGACTTGGAACCAACCCAAATGTCCAACAACGATAGACTGGATGAAGAAAATGTGGCACATATACACCATGGAATACTATGCAGCCATAAAAAGTGATTAGTTCATGTCCTTTGTAGGGACATGGATGAAATTGGAAACCATCATTCTCAGCAAACTATCTCAAGGACAAAAAAACAAACACTGCATGTTCTCACTCATAGGTGGGAATTGAACAATGAGAACACATGGACACAGGAAGGGGAACATCACACACCGGGGACTGTTGTGGGGTGGGGGGAGGGGGAGGGATAGCATTAGGAGATATACCTAATGCTAAATGATGAGTTAATGGGTGCAGCACACCAACATGGCACATGTATACATATGTAACAAACCTGCACATTGTGCACATGTACCCTAAAACTTAAAGTATAATAATAAAATTAAAAAAAAAAAAAAGAAAGTCTCAGTTCCTTATCTGGGCCCCCAAGCCTAGGGAAAGATGTGGAAGAAGTCCTTGGCAGGTCAAGGGAGGCTGTGAATTTTTTTTCTGCCTTTGCTTTGTTACCTTTCCATTTTTCTTCTCCGCATGTTGCTCCTCTTTTCTCTGTGTCCTGAGATTGGGGAGGGGCTGGGGGGGAAGGAGGGGCAAAGCCCACAGCCTTTCCCCAGCTGGAATGGAATGCTTGAACCCTGTAGCAGCTGCCGTCTGCTTCAATGGCTTTTGTGATTGCTGTGTTGCTCATGGAATCACATCTTAGCAATTTAACAAAGGGTGCATTTGGAAGCAGAAGGGTTTCTAGTAGAAGGTAATGTGGCTATACTGCAGCAGGAAGGGCTCATGTGAGGTACAAGGAAGGACTTCCTACCTGGGAATTGCCCGCTGTTGGCAAATATGCTAGGTGGAAAACCGTGGGAGTTGATCCACCGGACTCACTTACTCTCTTGGGAATGAGCCAGGTTTGTTACCTGCCCCTGAAGGGGCCACAGTGACATTCCTGGAGGTCAGTGCTGCCACCCAAGACTAAACCTAGTCCCACAGCCACCAAATTAATCATCAGGGCCGGCAGTCCTTGGAGACCAGAAAGCCAGAGTAGCTTCCTAAGCCCTTCGTTTGGCCCCGGGCACTGAGGGAGGGGCAGAGGGTGAAAGGGGGAAGGAAGGCCCTTGGCCTGGCCTCAGCCCAGCCAGCCCTGCAGCCAGGAGAGATACTGCAGCACCTACCAGCAGCCGGCAGGAGAGTGTCTCAAAGCTGCTGCTCACAGTGGGGCAGACGGAGCCTGCCAGCTCCAAGCCTGCCTTCAACCTGCTCCCCACTGCTCGGCTGGGCTGGGACTTGAGGGCAGCTGGCTGCTCAGAGACAAATTGCAGCCTGTCCCCCATCCCCGCCCCCAGCACATGGCACCTGGGTGAGAGCACAGCCCAGCTTCTGGACTTATGTGGACTTCCTGCACACACACTTCGTCCTGAGCCTAGTCGTGTGCCCCTAGTCCATGGTTTTGGTTTTGGTTTTCAGGTTTTTTAAGACAGGGTCTCACTCTGTCACCCAGGCTGAAGTGCAGTGGTGTGATCACGGCTCACTGCAGCCTCAACCTCCCGAGGCTCAGGTGATCCTCCCACCTCAGCATCCCACATAGCGGGGACTACAGGTATGCACCACCGTGCCTGGATAATTTTTGTTTTGCAAGGTTTTTCTTTGTTTTTGTTTTTGTTTTGTTGTTGTTGTTGTTTTGGTAGAGACAGGGTTTCACCATGTTGCCCAGGCTGGGCTCGAACTCCTGGGCTCAAGCAATCCTCCTACCTCAGCCTTCAAAAAGTGCTGGGATTACAGGCGTGAACCACCATGCCCAGCCCCTAGTCCATGTTTTAGTGAGACTTGGAATATGCGAAGCCTTGTACTTGTATGTGCTTGGCACTGTGGTGCAGTGGTTAAACCTCAGATGCTAGGGCTAGGTTGCCTGTATTCAAATGCCAGCTCCTCCAGTTTTTTATCTGTGGGACTTTGGCTAAGTTACTTAAACACTTGTTACCTCAGTTTCCTCATCTGTAAAATGGAAATGAAATAGCTTGCCATCAGGTTGGCATGAGGATTTGATGTATGACTATTTACATATAGCTCTAAGAATAGGCAGTGCCTGACACACGGTGCTATAAAGATTTTGCCATAAAGTGCTATAAAGAGTGTTATTATGGTGTTTCTGAAAACTGACTGATGTTTTGTAGGTAAAGAAACATAGCAGCAGAGCTGGGAGTGGGGCGAGGCAGGGGTATGATTGGCTTTGATGAGAAGAATCTAGAATCCAGTGAACCCACTATTAAGTTACTGCACATGGCCCCAGGCAAGCGGTTTTTCCCTATCTCTTGGACCTCAGTGGTCCCCATTAAAAAATGTGGAGAGGGATGCCTGCCTTCCTCACTTCTCCCAAGATGTCCTGGGATCGAATGAGGCAGATGATGGTCTGAAATAGCCAGTGAGCCTAGCGGATGCACAGGTTGGCCTCTCCCTGTCCCTGCTCTGGAGCACATGCTGGCTTGCTGGCTGAGGTCCTGGCATGTTGGGCTTTCTACCAAGGGCACCAAACCCAGTGTACTGCTCTCCCAGTGAGGCCACTTGGACTCTGGGTGGCTCTGGGCTGAATCTGGCCCTCCTCATTTTCTGTTCTTCCTTATTTCACCTGGAAAAAGGATGGTGGTTTTGTATCTCCTAATGCTCCTTAGCAAGGGAGAAGGAGTGTTTCTGAATGCAGTGTATAGTTGTACAAGCAGAGAAGGGGGCAGGAGAACCTCTCCTTCAAGCTGGGACACCCTGGCCATGAGCTCCAGACAAACTGAGGTGATGCCTTTCCTGGGTTGTCAAAAGTGGGAGCTCCTTCCCCCTACCACTTGCAGCCAGACTATCCACTGTGCAGGGAGGCAGGCAGGGGGCTGATCAGAAGCAGCACATTGAGTCAATATCACATTCAGCATCTTTCCTGCCAGGTAAGACAAGGACCCTGGTTGTTAGTGCCCTTGTCGCTTCCTTCTCTTTCCTCCTTCCTGGCTGGGAGGGAGAGCCAACCTGACCTGCTCACAGTATTGGAGTGATGGTTAGGTTAGGGCCTCTTGGTTTGGCCCCAATATCTTCTGCCAAGAACCATGGGGGTGACCAGGTTGTATATACCCAAGCAAGCAACCAAGTGATGCCCACTGCCCTACAGACTTCCCACCTGATCATCTGGGGTGAGTTGTGTGTAAGGAGAGGGAAGGCCACTTTATAAATAGCCTTAGAAATGTCTGCTTCTGGAGCTGTCCTCAGAGCTTCTTCCTGAATATCATTTTACCAAGAGCCCCAGAGATGAGGTTTCTTGGCCAAGGTCACCCCCAAAATCAACCGTGAGCTCATGTCTTGAAGTCCACTATACTTCATCTGCCCCATTCCCCAGGCTTCCCTAAAGAAGATATCCAGCATTGCCTAGAAATGTAGCTTTCCCTTCTGGTGCCTGTCTCCTGTGACCCTGCTCCTGACCTCAAATCCCCCTGAATATCATCCCTTGTAAGTTGTATGGGTTTGGATTAGAGAGCGGGGAGAACTTCCTGAGTGGCCTCATTGGGACAGGGAATGGAGGCTTTCCCCAAGATACATAAGGGCAGGCCTGCTCTCCATGAGTCTGAACTGGATCAGGTCTTAGGAGCTTCAGGAGTTCGACAACACAAAGTCCAAAATCAGGTCCTGCGGCCTCCTAGGCATGGGACTTTGGGCAAGTTGCTGACTGGCTCTGAGCCTTATCATTAAACTGGAATGGATATGATTTACTAACTTATAGAAGTTTATAAATATATATTTACTTTTTGAAAACAGCTTTATTGAGCTATAATTCACATACTATACAATTCACCCATTTAAGGGCACGATTCAATAGCTTTTAATATATTCACAGAATTGCACAACCATCACCACGATCTAATTTCAGAACATTTTTTCACCCCTAAAAAGGAACTCCATACATATTAACAGTCACCCTCGATTCTTCCATTCCTCCCAGCCTTAGCCAACTAATCATCTACTTTCTGTCTCTATGAAATTGCACCTTCTGGATATTTTATTTAGATGGAATTATATAACACATGGTCTTTGGTGCCTGGCTTCCTTCACTCACATAATGCTTTCAAGGTTTAGCCACATTGAAGCATGTATCGGTACTTTATTTCTTTTTATTGCCAAATAACATTCCATTGTGTGGATATACTGCGTTTTATTTCTCCATTCATCAGTTGATGGACATTTCGTTGATTCCACTTTTCAGCTACTCTGAATAATGCCGCTATCAACATTTGTGGAAGGGTTTTCGTAAGGATACGTGTTTTCATTTCTCTTGGGTATATGCCTAGGATTGTCAAATGGTATACTTTTTTTTTTTTTTTTTTTGAGATGGAGTTTCACTCTTGTTGCCCAGGCTGGAGTGCAATGGCACAATCTCGGCTCACTGCAACCTCCGCCTCCTGGGTTCAAGTGATTCTCCTGCCTCAGCCTCCCAAGTAGCTGGGGTTACAGGCATGCACCACCACACCCAGCTAATTTTGTATTTTTAGTAGAGACGGGGTTTCTCCGTGTTGGTCAGTCTGGTCTCGAACTCCTGACATCAGGTGATCCATCCGCCTGGGCCTCCCAAAGTGCTGGAATTACAGGTGTGACCCACCACACTCAGCCAGTATACTTATTTTTAAATGGTATATTTATATTACTAGGCTCTGTTCTAAGTATTTCATATGGATAGTCTCCTTTAATTATCATAATACTCTACAAGGTAGGTACTATTATGAATCCACTTCTTATAAAGTGAAGAAATGGAGGCATCATTTGAGGGACATCAAGGGATTTGTCCAAGGAGACTCAGCTAAGAGAGCCAGGATTTGGACCCTGGCCTCTGGGCCTTCGCTCTTCCACCAACTTGCTCCCACATGTGAGATTTAAGTGAGAGAACGTCTGAAAGTGCTCCCAGCCTGACTGTAGTAGGTGCCCAAGAAACGTTCGTTGGATGCTGGGAAAGGACCAGACACCTTGCATTTCGCTGTCTGACTCACCATGTGGCTTTAGGGAATTTGTGTCCGTTTGAGCCTCAGTTAAATTTCCCCAATACATAAAGCTTCAATATGGCATTTCATAAAGACAGGACTGAGATGGGAGGTGCAATATCATGGAAAGAGCCCTGGATTCTAGATCTGGCTCTCTCACTGGCTTGGAAGGGGTAGTAATTTCCTTTCTCTGTCTCTGGGTTTCCCCACCATTCAATTAGAGGCTGGAACAATTGATCCTAAGTTTCCTTCCAGCTCCCCCATCCTATATAAGTTCTATATTCTTCCTCAGCAACTGGAGTCCCCTGTGGAGCTAAACTGGGATGGGTGCCCAGGGCCTCAGGTCACTGCTGTGCTCAGCAACACTTCTCCCACCCAGTGTGTTAAAGGCCAGGTAGGGGCTGAGTGGGATGAAGATGGGGAGGGGGAGGACCCACCCTAGGCCTCCCTTCCATTATGGAGCCCTTGGTGTGGGCTGGGGACCTTCTCTTCTCTCAGCCAGAAAAGAGCCACCTCACCTACACATCCCCTCAGTCTTCCCTGGCTCCCCTTCTCTTGAGTCCTGCTCCTCTGGAGTCCTGCTCCCTCTGGAGTCACTGCAGCCCTCATTCCAATGAACTACCCAGCCACTTTTGGAGGCTTGGACTAGCTCCTGGTTTGGGATCACTTATGGGAAAGCGCTGGGCACCCACTGGGTGCCCAGCATATTTTGGTGACTTAAATAGGGATCAGTATTTGAGCTAGTGGCTTCCCCTAGGTCATGATTCCCCAGTTCACTTATCCCCATCCTTTGTCAGCAAGAGCATTCACTGCATTCTGCAAACCTAACCTGGCAGCACCAAGCGAGGCGCTTCTGCATCTTCCAACTGCACAGCCACAGCCTGTAAACTTTTCCTTGGCCCTCCCTTTAGTCCATATTCCTTACTTCCTGGATGCCACCGGTCAGAGTGCCTCCTGCATCCCAGGTCCTGTGCCAAACACATAACGTACAGGATGCTGCATTTACCCCTCTGTGGTGGGAATTTGTAGTGTCTCTAGTTTATAGAAGAGGAAGCACATCCAGAACAGGGAAATAACTTCTCCAAGGCCACCAAGCTGGTAGATAACTGTGGAAGGATTTGAGCAAAGGCTGTCTGGTCCCAAATCCTGCATCACTCGACTGAAAGGAAAGATGGCATAAAGGGCTTTTAAGGGGGTGCCCAGAGCCAGGGAAATCAGGTGGAGCCTCTCTGGGCAGGTGGGCTCTGGATTCCTCCGGGGCAGGTCTGTGTCTCTGTGTCTTCTCTCTTCCCCTGCATGGAGAACAGTCGAGCCTGTTGGGTAATGCCTGGGAACACCCTCCTCTGGGCTTAGTCTTCTCATTGACAGAACAGGGTCTGACATTTCCAGCAGCCCTGTGCGCCAAGCTTACCCAGAGATCCGGTGATGGCTACACAGCCTTTCTTCCACTGGTTATAGAGTCACTTTCTCCCAGGTTTGCTGTTCTTCCCTGCAGTGTGATGAGCCGGCGTCTCATCCCCAGCTCCCCATCCCCCAATATCTGTGTGTCTCACTATTTTTAAGCTCCGTGGGCTTAATGAGCTGCCTGCCATGACACGTCTTCGACATTTACCTTTTTCTCTAATGAGCCTCAGAGAGCTAGCCTGGGCTTATTTTTCCCTTGACAGTCCCCCACCCCAGTCAGGAGGCCAGAACTGGGCTATTTCCCTTCGGGGCCCAGACTTGGCTTCCTGAGACCCCCACAGCAGTGTGCCCCACAAATTACCTAGTGGTGGCAACACTGCAGATTCCAGGCCCTGGGGAGCTGACTCCTTCTCTGGTACCACCTTCTGTCTTGTTTCTCCTCTCTTACCCCACCTCAGCCCCTTCCTGCAGAGTGGTGATGTCATAAAGGAAACTCTTGTGGTCCCCACATAATTGGCAGCTACTTCTCTCTGAGGACAAACTGCCTGGCAAACCAGCAGGGCCAGGCAAATGAGGCCAATTGGCAGCAAGGGCTGGGATGGAGATGTCAGAGATTTAGAGGCTCTCAGGGTTGGAAGGGGGACCTCAAATTTCATCTAGGTCAATGCTGTGTCCCCTTACCTGAGTCCTGTCTATAATATCCCTCCCAATAGTGGGCTAACCTCAGCTTGAATGCTCCCGATGATGGAGCACTCATTACCTCCTGGGACCACGAACTCATCAATGGGTGGTGCTGACTGTGCAAAAACCCTCCTTCATTTTGAGCCTAAATCTGTTTTCCAACATGAAGAGAGAAGACCCCCGCAGTGGGTTCATCCTTCTTCTGGCTCCAGCCCTCAGTGCTGCGAGGGAGCCGCAAGTCACTCTTCATGAGGAAACATGCCCGGTGTCTTGGGTGGGGGCAGAGGCACCACTGATCCACAAAGATGTGGTGTGATTTTTTCCTCTCAGGGGACTTTGCTTGGGGGAGGGGCCACTGGGAAGAGCCAAGAAGCTGCTAGAAAAAAACTGAAGTCGTTCCTCCTTCTCAAGTGCGAAGTGAACCTGCAGCAGAACATTAGAAACCCTGATGCAGGCTAGCTCCGTCTGTGGGGACCGTTACATGCTGGTTCTCTGTTGCCAGCTCCAGGGAGTCAGGGTCTAATAAGGAGCCACCCCAGGTATTCCACTTATAGTTATAGCTCCAAGCAGGGGTCATCAGCAGGGTGACTGGAACTCCCTGCGGTTCCAGAGAGCCACAGATGCTCACCCATGCTGGCTTTGGTAGGCAGGGAGCTCAGTAAGCCTCTCGGAGGCTCAGGATTTTGCCAGTTTGGAAGAGCACTGGATGATTTGGAAGAGCACTGGATTCCAAGCTTGGAAGAGCACTTGGAAGAGCACTGGATTCCAAGCCAGCTTGGAAGAGCACAGTAAGGCAGGCTTCTTACTCTGTCACTTCGGACAAGTCCCTTCCTCTCTCTGGCTGTCAGTTTCCTCAGCTGTGATATGTGCTATGTGTGGACCTTCAGAAATGGTGCAGGGCTGGGCCCTGCAGCTGCCGAATGCCATGTGTGTGGGTGGAGGTGCTTCATCCTGGGCCGTGCTCTGCAGGACACAGTGTTTGTCACCAGTGGTCATATGAAGGGACAGTCCTCTGCCCACTTCCATTTCCCCTCTCCTCTGGCCCAGAGCAGGGAGGCCAGAGCCCTGTGTACTGCTAGGCAGGGCAACGGCCCATTCTCAAATGTTTGCTGGGGCCGGGGGTGTGGAAAGAGGCTCCTGTGAGGGAAAACCTTGAGGCCTCTGGTGTCCTGGACCAGGGAGGCTCTCCTGCCCTAAGTCAGGCTCTGTGGAGAGGGTCCCAGATGATGGCGTCTCTGGAGCCGGGGTGTGTTCTGCCGTGTCATCACCTTCCCAAGTCAGCTGTCATCGCTGCGCTTTCCAGGGTGGTGGCTGTGAGGGGTCCCATCATGGTCTGTGGTTGCCAGACACCCACCCAGGTGGACGTCTCTTGCCTGGAAACTGGCCAGCCTCTTCCAAGCCCACCCCATCTCCTCCTAAACCTTGGCTCCCTGCTGCTTTTCCAGGAAGCCTTTCCTCAGTGGCTCCCTGGTTCTAGGTGCCTTTGCCCTGTGGTTCTCAGCAGAAGCGCCTGTGCATCATGGGAAAGCCGGTTGGCGATGGGATGCACGGCGCTCTATTAGGGTCTATGCTCTCTCTACCCATGGTGTCCTCCAGCACCTGGTCAAGCCAGAGTGTGTGGGAGCCAGGGGTCCACCCCTAGCTCTTTCTGCTCTGCACATTCGTTTTTCTTTTTGATGAAGTTATAACTTAGATTCAGCAAAGTGCACAACTTATGGATATATGCACCAGTATAATCACCAAAGAAATTCCCCAGAAGGATCCCTGTCCCCTCCCAGCCCCTGCCTGCCCCTCCGGTGTAACCGCTCTATTGCCATGGAGTCATTTTCTGTTCTTCAGAGCTTTCCTCCGATTCCTGGTCATTCCTCAATCTCCCTGGCTTTCCTCTTTCTCTACAAATCCTCCAAATGCTGATATTTCTAGAAGCCCATCTCTGGATTTCTTCTTATGCCCACACTCTCCCCAGCGGATTATTCTTTTGTGCTAGTGACTTCCAGAGTCACTTCTGAGCAACACACCTGCCCCTCCCCTCCAAGCTGCCTGCTGGGTATGGCCGCTTGGCTGGTCTGCTGGCATGGCTAGGTCTCACCTAATGTCAAACTCCTGGGCTCCAGTGATTCTCCCACCTTAGCCTCCTGAGTAGCTGGGACGACAGGCATGCACTACCATGCCTGGCTAATTTTAAAATTTTTTGTAGAGATGGGGTTTCACTGTGCTGTCCAGGCTGGCCTCAACCTCCCAAAGTGCTGGGATTACAGGCATGAGCCACCACACTAGGGATAGGTTTTGCCTGGGACATCCTTGGGGAGTCTGGGCAACCTCACCTCTTCACATCCCAGTGTTGTCATCTATAGGATGGGAGTGGCAGCTAGAGGAAGAACAGCTAGACTCTGCTGACTTCTGAGAGGAGGATGTGGTCAGATACCCACAAATGAGAACTTGAAAATTAGAGCAACCAAAATAGAGACTCAGCAGCCACGGTTGGAGAAGCCATGGCTGCTGAGAGGCCTGAGTATTGGGGAAGGTGGGCTGGAGGACGGGGAAAGGCTTGGCAGGATCTGGACACAGGGGCAGGAAAGAAGCCAGGGATAGTGCAGTGGCTCAGAAGAGAGGACTTGGCCCAGAGGTGGGCATCAAGAAGGCCGTCTGGGCTGGAGCTAAAGGCATGGGTAGAAGGAGGACCATTGATTAAGAGAGGCCTGAATTATCCCAGGAAATTTTAAAAAGGGGTGGCTTAATCTGGCCCTTAATAGGGGGTTAGCAGAGAGGCTGCCCCACCTCTCCACTGGAGCCATCCCCGTGTGCTTCTGACAGGCCTGTGCCCAGCCTGGCTCAGGAACCAGCCATGGACATAATGCCATGCTTTACATACAGTGCTCCTAAGCCTCGCAGCACTGCGCAGCAGCTTCCATTATCATTCCCATTATGCAGATGGAGTGCTGAGGCCAAGAGAGGTTAAGCAACCTGCTCAAGTTCCCATGGCTAAAAGTGACAGAGCTGAGACTCCAGTCCAGGTCAGTCTGTCCAGAGCCCAGGTGCTAATTCACCCCACTTGGCTGCACCTGGTGTTTCACTTGGCTCCTCTTCCTCAGCAGAGCTGTCTTCTAGGTTTGGATCCACATAGAATTCCAAGTTGAGGCTTTCCAATTTGGAATTCTCCCCCTCATTGCTCCACTCCTCCAGCCCATGGGTGTTTTGAGGCCATGGTTCATCCCTCCTGGCCCCTACCTCCCATGTCTGTCCCGGCTCCCGGTCAGGCAGGAGAGAGCTGGCTTCTTTGGAGCACCTAATTGTGCCCCCGGGACTTGCATGCTCCACTTTAGTTTCTGGAGACCACGAGCTGTCATAGGTGTTGGTGATAATGGGCATCTCTGTCTGAAGAGTGATGGGTACATCTCTGTCCCTGGCGCCTGGCCAGCATCTGGAAGGACGGAGGCGCTCTTGGAAACGGGAGGACCAGACTGCACCTTCCTTGGCTGGCTCCCAGCTCCCACTGAGAGCAGGCTGGGCTCTCCAGACGTCTCATGACCTCTCCCAGGTCCCGGTGTGGCCCAAAGCGAGCTACTCTGCTGCCTGGGAGTACAGCTGTTTCCGTCCTCTGGGAAAGGGTGCTGTGAGCGAGCGACCTGTTTCGCTCCGCCTGAGGCCCAGTTTCCTCAATTACAAAATGGGAATCACAGTCCCCACCTCACAGGGCCCGGATGAAATGAAATACACCGCTGGAACGGAGTGGGCACAGTGGAGGTCTCCCTCCCTGCCCCCGGCACCCACCTCTGAGCCCGGTGCCTTTGTGGTCTTCCCGTTAGACCCACCTTCCCAGTGTGCTTCAGGAGCTCCCTGGGGCTGTTTGTTGGGAAGGAAAGAGCCCTGGGCTGAGTGCTAGGAAGTCAGGGTTCAAGTGCACCGGGAGGCCTTGGGCAAGCTGATCTCTGAGCCTTAGCTGTCTCCTCTGTCAAGGGGCAGAACCACATCTGCTGCACCTCCCAAAGGCCTGAGCTCTGTTGTCTCCCCGTGAGCTGCTTCAGGATGGGGTTGGGTTTTATTCTTCTTGTATTCCCAGCACTTAGCACGGAGCCTGACATAGGATTTGGAGAAAACGAAAGTGAAGATCAGAGGAAAGAGTGGATTTTTAAGCAATTAAACATGCTAGGGGTTATTTTCAAGGTTGGGTAAGGCAGACAACTCCTGGCCAAACCCTCATTAACTGGGGAAGTGGTCTTCATGCCCTTCCTTCGCGCATGACTCTCCAGAGAACCTGAGCTGCACTGGACCTTCTTTCCCCATGGGGAGCCACGGGCCTGCCTACCTATAGTGGAGCACCGCAAGGCAGTGCGCCTGCCCATCCACACCCCACCCATGACCACTCAGGCCCTGGGTGTCAGGGTCTGAACTAGACAGGGTGCCTCTTTCGGCTTTGGGGTTTCTCTTCTCTCCTTTAGCAGGGAGCTTGATGGGACAGAGGTTGCCAGAGTTGGGGGGGCAGTGCCTGCTGAGATCCCCCACCTCCTCCATTGCCTGCTACCAGGCTCAGCAATCAGGCTGCTCCTCTGGGAGCTGGCAGGAAATGCAGTCGTGAACAAGACACGTTCCCACCTCACAGCCTTAGTGATCCTCCAGGAGCTGAGCTGCTTATACAAGTACCTTTGACACCAGGAAGAAGTGACGCAGTCTCTGCAAGAGGAACACACAGAGCCAGGGAAGAGAATTCTGGGCCTCAGGCTCCCCAGCCGCACAACCTCTGCAGCAACCCTTGCCCTCCTGGACAGAGCCTGGGCTGGCTCAGAGTCCCTGACTTGGCGAGCACTGCACCCCTCGTTGTGGGTAACACAAGGTCCGTCCTTGAGTCCATGGTCAGCATGGACTCGGCCTAGCCCCGCTGAGAGGAGAACTGAGGAAAGGAAATGAGTATTTATTTAGGGACCACTTTGTGCCAGCACATGTGGCCTCTTCAATCCTCATAACATCCCTGTGAGACAGGCACCTGATCCTCGGTTTGTAGCTAAGAAATGATCCCAGGGAAATGAACTCATCTCCCAGGGCTGCAGAGCTGCTAAGTGTCAGGTTGGAAAGCAGCCCTGGCTGTTCTAAAGCCCAAGTTCTCTCATGACCCCACTACTCTTTGTGCCCGCTCGCCTTCAGAGGTAGAACTCTCCAAGCATCTCGGAAGGCTCGGTTCTAAAAGCTGAGAGGCTATCTAGGCCGCATGCGGTGGCTCAGGCCTGTAATCTCAGCCCTTTGGGAGGCTGAGGCAGGTGAATTGCTTGAGCCCAGGAGTTTGAGACCATCCTGGGCAACATAGCGAGACACCTTCTCTACAAAAAAGAGCGGGCATGGTGGTGCGCCTGTAGTCCCAGCTACTCGTGGGGGTCGAGGCTGCAGTGAGCTGTGATTGCGCCACTGCTCTCCAGCCTGGGTGACAGAGTGAGACCCTGTCTCAAAAAAAAAAAAAAAAAATGAAAGCTGAGAGGCTATCTTGGGAGATGCAAAGCCACTTTCCAAAGGATGGAAAGAAGTGGAGAGAAACCAGGTCTCCTGATGCCTCTTTCAGGTCCCAGACCTCTTGCCACCTTTGGAGACAGAGGGTCTGGCAAGAGTTGCCGCTGCAGAGGGAGGGTGGGGGCTGGTGACCCTGTGGTCTCTTCCAACCCCGAGGCTGTAAGGTGACCTGCACCGTAGTCCACCCCCTCCCATTACCCAAGTACAGGGCCTGTAGCTATCACCCCAGCTTCCGGGACAAGTCCTGTGGCCCCAGACCCCCAGCCCTCCCTTCCCTGGGGCTTCTCACATTTCTACATGTGGCAGTGTAATGCACCTGCACGCAATGTTTGTATGCATGTTCACAGTGCCGGTTCATGCATGTTTATACATTCATACATGGTGTTCATACACATGGCGCTCACGTGCACCCACATACACATACACAGCCTTTCTGGCATTCTCTGCCACGTCCCTGCACTGGCTGCTGTCACCCATTTCAGCTGGGCCTGAGAGATGGAGACAGGACCCCCACCCCGGTGCTGCCGGCTAGCAGATGCCACAGTGCTGATGTTCTGCTCCATTACTGGGTTGATGGAGCCTCCTTCTGCCTCCGGCCTCCCACCGGTTGCCCACCTCCTCCTTTCCAGGGTGTGAGCGTTGACTGGGGGCCTGGGAGGCAGTGAGCCTGGCGGGGGTGCAGCTGTGTGCGGAGGGCATGGGCCTGGCTTGGGTGGAGATGGGGCTGGAGGCAGGCGGCAGGCTCCTGGACGGACAGCAGGGGGCACCACTAGGTCTCCTCGCCGGGCCACAGGAAGGGAGGAGCCGGGCCTCCAGGCTGGGGAGGAGGCTGCGGTCTCTCCAGCTACTCTCCCGCAGCTTGAGCGGGGGCACCTGCCACCCAGCCCGGGCTCCTGCCCCTGCTCCCTTCCCCCTCCCCGCACACTGGCAACACCCCCTCCCCTTACACCCCCAGTCCACGCCACACACACACCCTACTACACACCACACACACCACACAGACACACACCACACACATACCACACACCACAAACATCACACACCCTACTACATGCCACACACACCACACAGACACACACCACACACACACCCTACTACATGCCACACACACACCACACACATCACACACACACCCTACTACACGCCACACACACCACACACACCACACACACACCCTACTACACGCCACACACACACCACACACATCACACACACACTGACACACACATCCCACACAAACTCACTATACCCCCATACCACACATATGTACACACCACACATATGCCACTACCCACCACTACCCACATACCCCCTGACACCCCACTAGAGCCTCCACCCCTAACCCACACCACCCCCTACATCACACACACACACCATATACACACACCCCACTGTCCCCCACACCCTAGAGCCCACATTACACACTACACATACAGCACACACATCCTACACACACACACCACCACGTATACCCCTACCCACCACACACGTACACACACCACATATGCACACTCACATCACACACACACCACCACACTCACGCACTCCTATTAAAAGGCTTTTGCTTTCGTGCCAAACCTCTAAACCCATCCCTTAGAGGGGCGGTGATCGGCAGAGATAGTATGTTCAAACCTTGTAACATTTAGTCAGAAAGAAAATGCATCAATTTGTAATGGTTTGTAGCTGAAATTGAAGATGTGCATCTGGCATGAAAGATATCGGGACTGTGCTGGAAGGTGCTGTGTGCCTCACATGAGGCAGAGCTGCTCACACTGTGGCTGGAGGATCCATTGATTGTGTGGGTTAATCACTGCTAAGCCACAGAGAGCTCCCCTTTCCCCTGGTGAGCGCTTCCCCAGCTGACAGTTGCCCACGCGCTCTGCAGAAAGCAGTGCCTCTCTTGGGAGCACGACCAGGGCAGACCCCCACGGTCCTACCCGTCCTCCCTCACACTCAGAGCATGCGCACAACAGACCTCCTGGGGCCCACGGGTGCACCCCCCCCCACACACACTTTCCGTATCCTACACCAGGCAGCCCAGGGCCCACTGGTCCCCAAGCCTCCATCTGTCCCCACTCAATCACTCATTCGGGGTCCCCCACCCTTCCTGGCGTGCTCCCAAGCATCTTGACACTCAACCAATGGAAGACCCTCTCCTCCGCCCCAGGACAGCTGCCTGTGGGTTTGGGAGATGTTGTGGGGTGCTGGGGAGTGGGGAACCCTGGAGGCCCAAGATGCTGAGTCTCTGGAGAAGGAGGTGGGAAGGCAGCCTGTCTGGGGGCCAGAGGCAGCCCCCTGGGCTGAGAGCAGCTGGGGGCCCCAGCAGGCAGCTCAGGGCTGGCCAGGCAGCTGGACTGTGACTCAGCAGCTTCTCCGCCTTGGCTAGAGTGCGCCGTGCTGCAGTATTAACTCCCTCTCCAGGGAGCCTGGACTCCAGCTTCTCTCCCACGGGGATGGCGGGCTCCTCTGTGCTGTTTCAAGTTGATCCTGGCTGGGGTGGCAGAGCGGAGGGTGTGCTGAGGGGCCTGCCTGGCCAGGGCATCCCTCTGCCCCCTCACCACCGCTACCCCTACACCCTACAAGCGTTAGCCAAGGATCAAATGGAGCCAGGGCTTGGTGGGGTGGCCTGAGGAGCTACAAAGGCCTGGAATCCAGGAATTGACAACTCAGGCAGTTCTGCCACCATTTAGTGGTGTTGTTTGTGTGATGGAGGTAAGCCACCTCCCTTTGGGGCCTCGATTTCTTTGTTTTCGAAAAGAGGCTGTGGACTGCATTGTCTGTAAGAGTCCTTCAGCCCTCACAGGCTGGGTTTTATTAATATTTGTCTGTGATTTAAGGGTATCCATGCCTGGGGTCTAGGTTCAGAGAGAAATAATCCGAGGCAGGCGTGAGGTGCTGCAGATTTGCAGAGCCTTACTCAGGAAACTTCACCTTTGATCATGGAAGCAGTCCTTAAGGCAGGGAGGGCAGGGATGCTTAACCCTCACACACAGCTGCACAAGCGCAGGGAGGCTAACAGGCCAGCCCAAGATTGATGCAGGAAGGGCTCAATCCTCAGCCATTGGATTCTGAGGTGCCCCTCAGGTGGCCTGGGATTGCTGATCTCAGCATAGATGCAAGAGAAGGAAAATGAGTGTTGCCGCAGCAGGAGAGATTGAAGTTAGACACTAGAAGGACGTTCCAACTCTCAGGAACCTGGGAGTTGTTAGCTTCCCCAGGGCCAGTCAAGAACAGACTCTGCTTCTATGTGTGCAGAATGACAACCTTGCTCCAAAGTGGAGGTGTGCGTGGACTGACCAAGAAGGCTCATCAGACCTCGGTACACAAGGAACTCAAAGAAATGGGTAATTTATTTTCAGAATGAGCTAGAAAATTAATTCATTAACACTTTATCCTCAGCCTCCCAGGACCAAATGTTGGACTGAAGCACTGGTGCAAAACATAAAGACAAACATTTCTCCTTAAGTATTGATCTTTTTAGCCTACGAGCTTCGGCGACAGGTGTCTTGCTGGTTAACCTATTTCCATCTCATTACTTTGGCTTCTGCAAATACAATGCCGGGAAAGATTAAATACTGTAAGCTGTATCCAGTCAGCTCTCCATTATCTGCATTAATCGAGGCCAGTACTGAGTGGGATAATCCACAGAAGTGCCTAGTCCCCAGATCATATTTAATTGATTTGGGGTGGCAGTTGATGGTGAGTGTGTGTACATGTGCGCACACACACACACACATATGCTTTTGGTGAGGGTGAGGATCGAACTTACTCATCTTTGATGTGGCATCAGGATCCCATTTTGGAGGCAGTCTCATTTGGGGGCACACCAAGGGAATCCCAGAAGCCTGCTAGAGGAGACAACAGGGCTTCTAGTCTCCCGACTTTTTGTAGGGAAGAAGAGGCAAAGTGAGAGTCCAGGTGTCCTCTGAGGGTGAGGGGGGCAGGTCCTGGTGGCATTCTCCCTGCAGCATGCCTCCCACCTGGAGCAGGTCAGGCGATTTCCGGGTGAGCTACACAAACCCACTCATTTGTTCTCTCTTTTGGCTGGGCGCAGTGGCTCATGCCTATAATCCCAGCACTTTGGGAGGTCAAGGCGGCAAGATCGCATGAGGCCAGGAGTTCAAGACCAGCCTGAGCAACATAGTGGTACCCTGTCTCTACAAAAAATTTTAAAACTAGCCAGGCATGGTGATGCATGTGTGTGGTCCTAGCTCCTTGGGAGGCTGAGGTGGGAGGATTGCTTGGGCCCAGGAGTTTGAAGGCTGCAGTGAGCTATGATCACGCCTCTGTATTCCAGCCTGAGCAAGGGAGTGAGACGCTGTCTGTAAAAAATAAAATAAAATTAAATAAATTTAAAAACACACAAACCCCCCTCGTTTGTTTTCTCCTTCTCAAGGCTGAGGATCCAGCTCCAGGGTTCTGAAGTACCAGAGGGTGGAAGAGACAGGCAGATTTTCATGGGCTTCAAAATTTTAAAGATACAGAAAGATACCCAGTGAAATATTTTCCAGCTCCTGCTTTCCCAACTCTGCTCCCCAGAAGCAACTACAGCTAATGTCATCGATTCCTTATGCACTTTTCCAGAGCCGTGCTGTGAATATAGAAGCATACAAGCATACATATGCTTCTCCCCCACCCTTTTACACAGGTATCATGCTCACTCCCCTGCACACTGATTCTTCCACTATCTCCCTTGGAGATCATTCCCTGTTCACCCACACAGAGCAAAGCTCCAGGGCATCTGGGTCTTCTGTGATTCTCCCATGTGGGCTGACCATGGGCAGAGTAAAGACCCTCAAAGCAGAACATCCCAGAACTACTGAGAGTGTGAGGGTGAGTGTGTGAGGTCGTCTCACCCCACCTTCCTCCTCCAGCCTAGCTCCCCTTCCCTCCTACTCAACTTGATTGTCAATCAAGTCTCTCTTTAGTTTAGGTACAAGAACTGTGGCTGAGCTCTGAGCACATCTGGGCATTTGGAGTTAAGGAAAGAGAGAGCCTCTAGACATGCTGTTTCTGCTTGTTATAAGAGGGCTCATAATAGGGGGAGAGATGGTGGCCCCTTCCCCCTGCACTCCCCATCCTGGTGTATCCCTAGGCTCTCTGTTGAGAGCATTCTTTTTGATACTCACCTGAAGTCCTGCTTTCTGCCCTGACAGCTCTCTACATGATAGAAAGAAAAGGATAAGATAAAGGATAAGCCAACCAGGTTGTCACCTGCTCCCCAACTCCTCACCCAACCCAGGCCAAATGTGGCTGTTCTCCCCAGCAAAGGGGGCCAGAGGCAGTTAACTAGCACTCCGAGACCCAGGCATGTTCTAGGGTCTGTGCTGGGATATGCATGCCAAGCATGGTTCCTCCTGGACCCATTGCTCCCAGCCTTGGGGCCACTTGCAGAGGCCTGAGTGCTTGGGACTGACACTGTCACAGGGGCCAAGTGGCCATCCTGGGCAGACAGAAGGACAGTGGCCAGTGGACCAGGGAGAGAAGGGAATTCCTGCGTGGATTCTGTTTAGTGACCTTGCTTCTGGTCCACCCCTGCTTCTCCAGCATCATTTCTCACTATTGGAGACTCCCCCTTCCTGAGCTTTCCCTGAGGACTGGGCCCCCTACCTTGCTCCTGAGCAGGAGACCTGGCCTCAGTCAAATTTAGACCCGGTTCTTTATTCTGATCAACTGTGTGACCTTGGGCAGGTCACTTACGACCTGTCTGAGCAGAATTTGCCTTGTCTTTGAAATGATGCTGGTAATTGTGCCCTCCTCCCAGGTGGGTTAGATGAGAACATCTGTGTGCTCACCAAACAGAGTTATGGTGATTGAACCTGTTGTTGCCACCAATGTCCTCCTGCCTGCCCTGCCTTGATGCCCTCCAGGTCCGCAGTGCCTCTGAGGCTTATTTTACTTCCAGCAACTGGGCTTGGACTTTGACCTCTCTGGCAAGAATTTCTGAATTACTTAGAACCTCATTTTTTCAAAGTGTGGTGCCCAGATCACCTGCATGAGAGGAAATGGGGGTGCTTGTTACCATGCAGATCCCTGGGCACATTCCAGTCCACTGAGTTTTCTGAGTTAGGCTCTGGGAGACAGGTGCGATGGCAGAGGGTCTACATTTTAACAAACTCCCCAGGGGGGCTTGATGCAGGCCAAGCCTGAGAGACCCTTCCTCAGTCCCTTCCCTTGTGTGTCTTCTCCCTTGTTGGGGCCTCC
The DNA here is from genome assembly GCF_000001405.40 of Homo sapiens. NCBI lineage: Eukaryota > Metazoa > Chordata > Mammalia > Primates > Hominidae > Homo > Homo sapiens. The sequence continues at coordinate 2,453,045 of NT_187660.1, read as the reverse complement.
CAGGCCCCTTCCTCTTCAGACCTTGACCTGTGGCCCAGCAGGCTGGGAGCAGGCATCTCTCCACACCCCCAGCCTCCCTCCCCGGACAGCTGCAGCCTTCACCTAATGGTGCCATTTCATGCTTTCCTGCTCGGGTGATTCTGACCAGACAGAGGAGTTCACTCTGTCCTGGGAGCCCTGGCACCCAGATCCATTTATCGTCCTTGAGTCTTCCAGCTGGCTGCTCTCCCAGGGACTGCAGCTCCCAGCCATGCGGGAGGCGAGGCAGCTGTGAGTTCCCGATAATTTGGCTCTCCCTCACACCGTTCTCACCGCCATTCCTCCACAGCCATGGGAGCCCTGCCTCCTAGAGTGGGGGAAATAGTCCTGGAGGCGGAGGAGGCTGCTGGGCTGTGGAAGGAAGCACTGGACTGGGGGTCCAGGGATTTAGATTCTTCCTCCACCAAATGCCTGTGCGACCCTGGACAACTGGCTTCACTTCTCCGGGCCTCCAGGAGTCTTGGGGGTGGCATGTGGGGTATGAAAGGGCTCCTGCTGTTTTCCTTCTTTCTACATTTTTTTTTCTCTGACTCTAGAAGGGACAGCAGAGCCAGGTGATAGGGGGTCACATCAGAAGGAGAGACAGCCGAGGGAATCTTGGTCTCTCAGCTACTGGCATGTCTCCCAGGGAAAATGGAAATGCAACCCAAGGGCAGCCTGGGAAAAATAAGCAGTGGTTCTCTACATGCTGGGTAGACGTGGGCTGTGGGAAGGACATGTGGTCTCCACCCATGCAACGTCTCATTTAATCCCAGCCTCAACTCGAGGGTTTAGGAATAAAAGCTGCATTCCAATAGTTTAGAAGTCTGACACTCAGAGAGGTGAAAGAAACCACATGAGGTGAAATGGTTCATAAGGGGGTATGTCTGACTCTCTATAGTCCTAGGCCTGCTGCAAGAGGAGAGGAAGGGTGGGCAGTTCCCAAAGCTGTGCGCAATGCCCCTACCTCCCATGCCAGCTTTGGGGTCTCACTGTACACACACACACACACACACACACACACACACACACACACTCTCACACCAGACCTTGGTTCCTTCCCAATCTATGCTTGAGTGGGTGCCCCTGGATACAGCCTGATGACGACTGAGTCTTAACATGGTTTGTGGAAAGAGCCCCGGGCCCAGAGCCAGCCTGTACTGCACGGGGGAACCCTAGGAAGGCCACTTCCCCACAGAATTCAGTGTCTTCTGTGAAATGACATAATGTGACCCAATCTCAAGTCTTTCCTGCTTGATCATTTACAGACCCACATATTTATTGAATGTGGGCAGATTACCTGAGGTCAGGAGTTCGAGACCAGCCTGGCCAACATGGTGAAACCCCTTCTGTACAAAACTACAGCAAATTAGCTGGGCGTGGTGGTGGGCAACTGTAATCCCAGCTACTTGGGAGACCGAGGCAGGAGAATCGCTTGAACCCGGGAGACAGAGGTTGCAGTGAGCCAAGATCATGCCACTGTACTCCAGCCTGGCAGACAGCGAGACTCCGTCTCAACAACAACAACAACAAATGTGTAAACAAGTGAGCGTCCCAACAAAATTTTACTTACAAAAATTAGGTGGGGGACTGGATTTAGCCCCTGGACTGCTGTTGGCCAACACCTGCACTAGAGCAGCAGCAGTGAGCAAGACAAATGAGGTGGCTGCTTATACAGTCACAAGCTGCATGAGTACCATGGGGATGAGAATGGAGAGCCGGGAAAGTAGGTGGTTGGGGCCTTGATGCGGGGTAGGGGAGGAGGGAGCCATGGGTGTGTGGAGGAAGGCGCACTTGGAAGTGCTGTTTGAGCTGAGAAAGATGTGTAGACTGTATTAGTCTGATCTTGCACTGCTATAAAGAAACACCTAAGACTGGGTAATTTATGAAGAAAGGAGGTTTGGTTGGTTCGAAGTTCCACAGGCTGTACAGGAAGCATGATGCTGGCATCTGCTCGGCTTCTGGAGAGGCCTCAGGAAACTTACAATCATGGCGGAAGGTGAAGAGGGAGCCAGCACTTCACATGGCCAGAGCAGGAGGAAGAGGCAGGGGAGTGGGGGTTGGAGGGTGCTACACACTTTTAAATGACCAGTCTCATGAGAACTCACTATCACTAGATCTGACCCTGTGATCCAATCACCTCCCACGAGGCCTCACCTCCAACATCAGGGATTACCATTTGACACGAGATTTGGGCAGGGACACAGATCCAAACTGTATCATAGGCTTTAGCTCCATGAAGGGGGCACAGCATGTGCAAAGGCCCCGAGGAGGGTAATACAGTGTATTAGGGGAAACAAAAGAAGGAGTATGGGCTGGTGTTAGCAACCCAGGGAGGGAAAGCCGAGGTGCTGCTGGATGGAGAGCATGAGGGGCTGTAGGCGACGCTAGGGCTTTTGGCCTGTCTCCCTGGGATGGCTTTTCATTACGGCGACATGACCGGCTTTGCATTTTATGAAGATTGCCTTGGTGGCAAATACGGAACTGACTGGAGGTGAGCAAGAGGAGACCCAGATCAGGCGGCTATGTCAGGGGCCAGTTGACCTGTGGGCCTGGAGCTCAGAAGTGGCTTGAATCTGACCGAAGAGGATGGCACTGATGCCAGGGTGTGGAAGGAACCACTCAGGGAGACACCATGGCTGAGAAGGGAAGGACCCCAAGGGCAAGCCTGAGGCAACCGAAGGAGGAGTAGTCACAGTTATGATGAAAGCAGGCAGCGGCCAGCTGGTGACCACAGCTCAGGGGTCCAGCTCAAGGAAAATGAAAATGTGGCCTGGGTTTAGTGACCTTGTGTTCATCATCCATGACTTTACAAAGAACTACTTCAGCAGAGGGATGGGGCAGAAGCCACAACGGAGGGGCTGATGAGTGAGGCGGACGTGATGAAATGGGGACCATGTGTTGCGTGTATGTGTGTGTGTGTGCACGTGTGTGTATGTGTGTGCATGTGTGTATGTGTGTGCGCAAGTGTGTGTGTGTGGTCACAAAGGGAAAGGGAGAACAAGGCAGCAGGTGGAGCTCATTTTTGGTGGGTGATGTGATAAACTGGACTGGTCCAGCCTCAGCCGAGGGAAGGGGGAAATGTTAGGCACAAGAAAGGGCAGGGATGGCAAAGACTTCCTGAGAAGTCAGGAGGGATCCTGTGCAGGAGCGGGAACTGGCTTAACCAGAGGAAAAGCCCTCAACTGAGAAGGGGTCAGGAGGAAAGGTCTGTGGTTTGACCCGAGGCTGGGACATTTTGAGAGATTTCTCACTTTTATTTTTCTTTAAAACAACAGGAAAGAGACAGGAGGGGTGTGAGGGAGCCACAGGCCTGCGGAGACTGGAGGAGGAGGCAAAGCTGGTGGGGAGGCGTTTCCTGCAGTTTCTGTGCAGTGCAGAGGGCCTGGATGATCCTGGGGACTGATGGGGCACGGGCTGCCCTCGTACTGTGGGGAGACTCTCACCAGGGGGCTCAGCAGTCAGGGGTAGCCATGGAGAAGGAGAAAGCTGTCAGTGGGATTTCTCCAGGGCTGGCGCTTTGCCAGGTGAATACCACAAAAATGCCAAGGGAGTGCAGGGAATTGTGAACAAGTTGTAGGCACCACAGACCATGGTGGGAAAAGAAGACTAGAGGGGCTGATGGTGGCCCGGGAAGGTCAGGGAGATTTCTCCAGGAACAGCATTCTAGGCTGAGGGAGAGTAAGTGCCGAGGCTGTGGGCTGGGGGTCTGTTTGGTGGGTTTGTGGCTGGTAGCAAGAGGCCAGCATGGCAGGAACTGAGTGACTGAGAGCAGGGACAGGAGATGCCTGTGGGAGCCAGCCAGGGGCCAGGCCAGGCAGGGATCTTATTCTAAATGTGACAAGATGCCACAGGAGGGTTTTAAATAGATCAGTCTGGCTGCAGTGTGGAGATCAGGCTGAGTGGAGGGGAGTGGAAGCTTCCAGATTGGAGGCTACTGTGGTACTCCAGGTGGAGGGTGGAAAGCGGCCAGATTTGGAAGGCACTGTGGGTTGTTGATGAGTTTGCAGACACCTGGGATGTGGGGGGTGACCCCACATGGATGGGAAGGATGACCCCAAGGCTTCTGGTCTCAGCACCTGGTGCCATGTACTGGGTGCATAACTGAGAGGTGGGCCCTGAATCCACCCCATCCACTCTCTGGGCCCACTGCCCATGCCTGCCTTTGACCGAGAGCCTCCTTCTCAGGCATCTTTTATTCCCTTGCTGTCTGGGCAGCTATAGCCTCCTGGTTTTTTTGGAGTCTGGAAAAGCCTCGAATCTGCTGCTGCTGCTTCATGGACTCCCCACATTCCCTCTCTGCAGCTCTAAGTCATCTTCCTCTGGCAGGTTCCCCGGGAACACTGTCTGTCTTTCATAAGAGCTCGGGGATGACATTTGTTATTGGCTGTTTTCAACTCTTTCCCCCCTTTCCTCTGGAGTTATGCTCCATCCTAGTCTTTTTACTTATGACAGCCAAAGTGAAACTTTCAAAATATGCATTTGTACATGTTACCCCTGCCCCCACCCTAAAAGGCCTCCCACAGCTTCTCATTCCTCTTTGCGAAGGACAAAACTCCTTGACGCAGCCTATGGTGCCCCTGATTCTGCCCTGCCCGGCCTGCCAGCCTCACCCTGAACCATGCTCCATCCACTCCAGCTGCCCTGGCCTTCCCTCAGGCTTTGGACTCACCACACTGCATCCCACCTCTGGGCCTTTGCATAGGCTGTGCTCTCTGCCTAGGCTGCCCTTTCATCTCCTCTTTACCTGGATAAATACCCACCCTTCGGGTCTCAGTTCAATCATCAATTTTTCAAGAAAGCACTTTTGCTTTCCCAGATTAGTTCAGGTATGCCCCTTTATAAATGCTCACCACCACCAGATGGCTCTCCTTTCTTGCACTTCTCATAATTACAATTTCATATGCACTTATGTGAAGTGCATGGTAAATTCCATGAGGGAAGCAGGATATGAGCTCAGTAAATACTTGAGTGAGTGAATGAATGAATGAATGAATGAATGAATGTGTCTCTCACATCTGTTCTCTCTACTCCATTCCTTACCTTCCCATCCTAGTGCAGGTCTTTACCATTTCTGGTCTGTGGAACCAGCCTCCCTGCTCCACTCCCCATGGAGCTAACTTCACAAACCCCACTTATAACTGCTCAGCACCCTTCAGTGGTTCCTGCTGGGTATAGAGGGAAGTCTAATCTCCTTTTCTTGGACTCCAACACTCCTGAAATGCAGTTCTCCCCCTTCATTCCTGGCCTGCAGGTTCCCTGAACCTCTGGAGCATTAAACATCTTCATTCCTGGCTGGTTCATTTCACTCCAAGCAGCTTTACTTTGCTACAGGACCATTTCTGGATGGTCAGTCTTGGAGAGAAAGCCCGCATCCACCATGAACCTTGGGTCCCTCTACAGTGCCAGGGCCACTTCCAGGTGCCTCAGATAAGGTTCAATGAACACTTCTCAGATTCACATCCAACCCACATTTATTGAATGCCCTCTATGTGCCAGACACAACCAAATTTATTTTTAAATTTTTCACAGCAGTTCTGAAAATTAGGTATTATTTTCCACAATTGTATATTGAAGAAATCAAGTTTCACAAAGGGATTTGTTTGGAGTCAAATGACAAGTGGTTGGCATTCTTGGGACTACATTCAGCCTCTTCCCGCAGCCCGTGCTGCCTCCTGCCCACCCTGCAGTGGAGAGTGAGAGGGTGGGGTGCTGTAGGGACCGTGGACCGGCTGTGGGCAGCTGTCTGCAGAAAGGGGAGGAGGACTGCCAATCCAGGGGCAAGGGTAGAATGGAGGAGCTAGGCTCAACCTGATAAATGGCATCTACAAAAAGCCCACAGCTAACAGCTAACATTATGTTAAGTGAAGAAAGATTGAAAGATTTTCCCCCAAAGATCAGGAAAAAGACAAGAATTCCCAATGTCACCACTTCTGTTCAACAGTGGACTGGAAGTTCTAGTCACGGCAATTAGGGAAGAAAAAGAAAATGGAAAACTGTCTTCATTTGCATGATTCTATATCTAGAAAATCCTAAGGAATCCACCAACACACACACACGCACACACACACAAATTATTAGAACAAATGATTTCAGGCTGAACGCAGTGGCTCATACCTATAATCCCAGCACTTCGGGAGGTGGAGGCAGGCGGATCACCTGAGGTCAGGAGTTCAAGACCAGCCTGGCCAATATGGTGGAACCCCATCTCTACTAAAAATACAAAAATTAGCCCTGCATGGTGGCACATGCCTATAATCCCAGCTACTAGAGAGGCTGAGGCATGAGAATTGCTAGAGCCCAGGAGGCAGAGGTTGCAGTGAGCTGAGATTGCACCACTGTTCTCCAGCCTGGGCGATAGAGTGAGACTCTGTCTGAAAAAAAAAAAAAAAAAAAAAAAAAAAGAACCAATGAGTTCAGCAATATGGCAGGGTACAAGACTGAGATACAAAAATCTATTATATTTCTATACACTAGCAATGAACAATCTGAAAGTGAAATTAAGAAAACAGTTCCACTTATAATGACATCAAAAAGAGTAAGATACCTAGGAACAAAAGAAGTGCAAGATTTGTAGTTGAAAACTACAAAACAATCTTGAAGGAAATTAAAGGTCTAAATAAGTGGGAAAATAGTGGAAAACTCAACATTGTTGATATGATCCCTGAGCTGATCTACAGATTCAACACAATGCCTATCAAAATTCCAGCTATTTTGTAGAAATTAACAAGCTGGTCCTAAAATTCATATGGAAATGCAAGGAACCCAGAATAGCCAAAACATCCTGATTAAAGAAGAAAAGGCCTGGTGCAGTGGTTCATGCCTGTAGTACCAGCATTTTGGGAGGCCAAGGCAGGTGGATTGCATGAGCCCAGGAGTTCAAGACCAGCCTGGGCAGCATGGTGAAACCCCTTCTCTACAAAAATACAAAAATTAGCCAGTTGTGGTGGCATGGGGCTGTAGTCCTAGCTACTCAGAAGGCTGAGGTTGGAGGATCAATTGAGCCCGGGAGGTCAAGGCTGCAGTGAGCCATGTTCACGCCATGTACTCCAGCCTGGGTGACAGAGTGAGACCTTGGCTCAAAAACAGACAAACAAAAAACAAAGTTGGAAGACCCATTCTGCCTGATTTCAAAACTTACTACAAAGCTACAGTAATCAAGACAGTATGGTCAATAGTAGGCAGGTGCTATTAAAAAAATAATAAAAAATAAAACCAGTGTGGTATTGCCATGAGGTTAGACATACAGATAGAATTGAGAGTCCAGAAATAAACCCTCATATTTGTGGTCAGTTGCTATTTTACAAGGGAATAAGACAATTGGATGGAGGACAGAATAGTCTTTTCAACAAATGTTATACACCAAATGGATATCCACATACAAACGAATGAATGTGAACACCTTCCTTATGCCATACTCAAAGTGGATTGTAGAAACATAGTGAAACCTAATTTCTAGAAGAAAATTAAAAATTAGCCAGGTGTAATGGCACATAGCTGTAGTCTAGCTACTCGGGAGGCTGAGGCTGGAGGATCACTTGAGCTCAGGAGGCCATGGCTGCAGTGAGCCATGATTGTGCCACCGCACTTCAGCCTGGGTGACAGAGTGAGACCGTGTCTTAAAAAATAAGTGGATTGTAGACTTGAATGTGAGACTGAAAACTATACAACTCCCATAAGAAAACAAAGGAGTAAATCTTAGTGCCCTTAGGTTTAGTGATGGTTTCTTGGATATAGCACCAAAAATATGGCAACAAAAGAAATAGCTAAATTGGACATCATCAAAATTGAAAACTTTTTTGCTTCAAAGGACACCATTAAAAGCTGAAAATATGACCGGGCACAGTGGCTCATGCCTGTAATCCCAGCACTCTGGGAGGCCAAGGAGGCCAGATCAACTGAGGTCAGGAGTTTGGGACCAGGCTGGCCAACATGGTGAAACCCCGTCTCTACTAAAAATACAAAAATTAGCCAGGCATGTTGGTGAGCGCCTATAATAATCCCAGCTACTTGGGAGGCTGAGGCAGGAGAATCACTTGAACCTGGGAAGCAGAGGTTGCAGTGAACTGAGATTGTGCCATTGCACTCCAGCCTGGGCAACAAGAGTGAAACTCCATCTCAAAAACAAATAACAAAAAAACACCACACACACAAAATGAAAATATAACCCTAGAATGGGAGAAAATATTTGCAAATTATATGTTCAACAAGGAACTGGTATGCAGAATATATACAAATTCTTACAACTCAATAATAAAAAGACAAAATATTTTAAGATGACCAAAGGATTTGAATAGGTATTTCTCTATGGAAGACACACAAATGGCCCTTAAGCACATGAAAAGATATGCAACATCATTAGACATCAGGGAAATGCAAATCAAAACTACAATGAAATGCCACTTCACCTCCACCAGGATCACGGTAAACAAAAAGACATAATAGCAAATGTCCTTTTGGCTTAGGATTGACTTGGCAATGTGGGCTCTTTTTTGGTTCCATATGAACTTTAAAGTAGTTTTTTCCAATTCTGTGAAGAAAGTCATTGGTAGCTTGATGGGGATGGCATTGAATCTATAAATTACCTTGGGCAGTGTGGCCATTTTCATGATATTGATTTTTCCTACCCGTGAGCGTGGAATGTTCTTCCATTTGTTTGTATCCTCTTTTATTTCATTGAGCAGTGGTTTGCAGTTCTCCTTGAAGAGGTCCTTCATGTCCCATGTAAGTTGGATTCCTAGGTATTTTATTCTCTTTGAAGCAATTGTGAATGGGAGTTCACTCATGATTTGGTTCTCTGTCTGTCTGTTATTAGCGTATAAGAATGCTTGTGATTTTTGCACATTGATTTTGTATACTGAGACTTTGCTGAAGTTGCCTATCAGCTTAAGGAGATTTTGGGCTAAGACAATGGGGTTTTCTGGATATACAATCATGTCATCTGCAAACAGGGACAATTTGACTTCCTCTTTTCTGAATTGAATACCCTTTATTTCCTTCTCCTGCCTGATTGCCCTGGCCAGAACTTCCAACCCTATGTTGAATAGGAGTGGTGAGAGAGGGCATCCCTGTCTTGTGCCAGTTTTCAAAGGGAATGCTTCCAGTTTTTGCCCATTCAGTATGATATTGGCTGTGGGTTTGTCATAGATAGCAAAGCTGGAGGCATCATGCTACCTGACTTCAAACAATACTACAAGGCTACAGTAACCAAAACAGCATGGTACTGGTACCAAAACAGACATATAGACCACTGGAACAGAACAGAGCCCTCAGAAATAATGCCACATGTCTACAACCATCTGATCTTTGACAAACCTGACAAAAACAAGAAATGGGGAAACGATTCCCTATTTAATAAATGGTGCTGGGAAAACTGGCTAGCCATATGTAGAAAGCTGAAACTGGATCCCTTCCTTACACCTTATACAAAAATTAATTCAAGATGGATTAAAGACTTAAATGTTAGACCTAAAACCATAAAAACCCTAGAAGAAAGCCTAGGCAATACCATTCGGGACATAGGCATGGACAAGGGCTTCATATCTAAAACACCAAAAGCAATGGCAACAAAAGCCAAAATTGACAAATGGGATCTAATTAAACTAAAGAGCTTCTGCACAGCAAAACAAACTACAGGATGGGAGAAAATTTTTGCAACCTACTCATCTGACAAAGGGCTCATATACAGAATCTACAATGAACTCAAACAAATTTACAAGAGAAAAACAAACAACCCCATCAAAAAGTGGGCAAAGGATATGAACAGACACTTCTCAAAAGAAAACATTTATGCAGCCAAAAGACACATGAAAAAATGCCATCATCACTGGCCATCAGAGAAATGCAAATCAAAACCACAATGAGATACCATCTCACACCAGTTAGAATGGCAATCATTAAAAAGTCAGGAAACAACAGGTGCTGGAGAGGATGTGGAGAAATAGGAACACTTTTGTACTGTTGATGGGACTGTAAACTAGTTCAACCATTGTGGAAGTCAGTGTGGCGATTCCTCAGGGATCTAG